>NC_000003.12:69100909-69403939 GCF_000001405.40 Homo sapiens | reverse complement strand
GGTGACAAGAGAGACCCTGTCTCTAAAATTAACAAAATAATATTTTAGGGATAGACATGTCTCTGATTCTGGTTAGAATAAAATGTGCAAAGAGAGACCTGTGTGTGTGTGTGTTGAGGTGGGGGGAGTGGGGTACGCATGCGTGCTTATGCACACTTTTGGAATAGAGATAGAGAATGCTGTACTATACTTCATAAGTGGAGTATACTTGAACTTGTAAGGTTCAAATGTCCATATGCCTCTTTTATTTTCAAGCTGATTGCGTTAGGTGTATATTTAAGCTTTCTATACTTCCAAAACCTGTCTTGCCTGTTTCTCCTCTCTGTGAAGTTTTCTATGACTGTTTGAATAGTGCTGACATTTCATAGTCTCAGGGTTTAGTAGCAACGGCAGGAATGGGGTTAGCTTCCCCACTCATTTCAGGGGGAAGGGTTCCTTTCTTCCTTACTGAGATTTCCCTGTCACTGAGCCCTGTTGTTTTGCTAGCAGAAGGCCTCTGTTACAATGCTATGTTACATGGCATTCCTTGTATCTAGCATTAATTGAATCCTTTGGTTAATGAAAATAACTGCCCAGTTGAGCCAGTTTTAAAATGGGGACAGTGAGAATACTTCTGAGTTGTTGAGAACATTAACATGGCTTGGTGGGTGTGAAACCCCATAAGTCAATGCCTGCACATAGCTTCTTTTCTAAGGAATATCAGGAAGGAATGATTTTTTTTCTTTTCTGAGGAATATTTGGGTGTTCATTAGAGGCCCCTGAACCCTTGCTAAGTTTCAAAGCACCTCTGTGATCCAGGCAGTTCTTACAAATGAAGTAGAGGGGATCTGATTTAGCCTTTCTGTTTTATTAGTGTGGACACAGACCCAGTATCTTCAGGGTCCTCCAAACATCTAGCTACTGCTGGCATATCCTCCTGGATGTTCCAGATATAAAATGTTGTTTCTCTTCTCTGCCGTATTCTGTGTTTGAATGATTAATACCATAATACAGAAATTCCAGGGCTATGCTTCCTTTAAACAAAATAATCTTCTGGAGTCTTTTTCAATCACTCTCCATCCAGTGATTTTCATATGTATATCTCATTGATTCCTGATTCTTTTTGATTTACTGTCTGTCATGTGCAATCTGACTAATGTATTGAGGTCAATTATTGCACTGTCTCCTGATGCCAATAATTCTCACCTACCCTCATGTCATACTGTCTATAATCTGGGTTGCTTATTTAGCTATTTGGTATCCACGAGATCTAGAGGCAATGGGAAATTCATTTTGTACATCTTATGTTTGATATTTGGTTCAATTCAGCCCTACATATATGAATTACGCACCTCCTATATCTGAGATACTGTGTTAGGTTTTGGGATACAAAGATAAACAAAACATCCTCCCCTTCTCAAAGCTTTCAGTCCAGTGTAAAGTATATCATTAAAGATCTCCTAAAGTAAGAGAGAACCCACACATTAATTGGGTTAATAAGGTAATAAGGAAAGATATTATTTCATATGTCATAAGGAAATCTATTATGTTAAGATATCCTGAGGTAGGGCAGCTCACACACAATACTTGAAGGCTCCAGTTTCTCATCTTGGTAATTGCCTTGTTTAAAAATCAGCTCTCTGTATTGGCTTCATCCTCATTGTGGCAACAAGATGGCTCAACCAGAGTTAAGCTAGGTTTCCCAGAAGCCCCCTCAGTAGATATCCCCTTTGGTCTTAATGGGCAAAGCTGATCACATGCCCTTTCCTAAACCAATCACTTGACAGGGAGGATGGGATTACCATACCTGCCCTAGGCCTGTCCTTTTGGGTAGAACGGATATTGGATAATCACCCATGACTGCAATAGTTGGGCAGACATGAGAAATAGGAAATTCACTGCAGTTGTGTTATTAACATATGCTGAGACAGGAGGCTGTATAAGATCCCACAAGAATTGCCTACGCACAGGCTACTGCATTTAATCATTTATTATGAAAAACATTTTATTTTTACTAAACTAAAAGTTTTTCTGAAGTCTGTATAGATTACAGTGGTTGTATCTCCTCTTGTTGACCCCTGTGCTTCTTACACTGAGATGTTTGTGCTCTCGGCCAGGCACGGTGGCTAATGCTTTGTAGTCTCAGCACTTTGGGAGGCCGAGGCAGGCAGATCGCTTGAGTCCAGGAGTTTGAGACCAGCTTGGGCAACAAGGCAAAACCCCATCTCTACAAAAAATATAAAAATTTTGGGGTGTGGTGGTGCACACGTGTGGTCCCAGCTAATCAGGAGGCTGAGGTTGGAGAATCACTTGAGCCCAGGACGTCAAAGCTGTAGTGAACAGTGGTGGCACCACTGCACTTCAGCCCGGGTGGCAGAGTGAGACCCTGACTCAGAAAAGAAAGAGAGGAAGAAAGATACACTCTTCTCCTGAGAGATGTCCTGAGAGATTATAGGAAACCCAAAATAAACATTGCACATCTTCCTGGAACAACAGTTTTACTTATTGAATTTTTAGAAAGAAAACCAAAGATATATTATGAAGAAGAATAAAAAAACTTCAGGAATCTTTAAGATAAAATAGGTAAATTCAATTTCTGATTGCTAAAATTGCTTTGGGACAACCCCCAAGCCCCTGATATCCCTCCTCTGTCCCGTGTAGTTTACTTGGATGGAATAGTTGAAGAGGGTCTTCCTCCATATATTTCCATTGCTATGGAAGGAAATTAATTTGGATGTTCTACTTTCATCACAACCATATTTCAGTGATTGTGCATTTTAAAAATTCTTCTTCAGCCTGAACATAATCTATTGTTTATGTAACTGTGCTTTATGATGTAAACATAATGTTTGCATTTTATATATTTCTATGCTGTGTATCTTAAATTATTTATTTTAATTATTTATCTTCTCTAAAACCATATAGTAGTGTGTATGGAAAAGGGCATTCAAAATGGAAGTAAAGAATGCCGGTAACCATTGACATTCTCTGTACTCCTGTAGTTAATCAGTTAACAGACTTAAGTATTCTATTTTAGAAATACGAACAGGGAACAAATCCACAAGGCAAATAAGTTCACATCATCTTATCCTGCTCTTAGCATAACTCAGTGTAATAGAAGCAGAGCTAGTTTCTGAATGCCCCAAAGCACTCTTGAAAGGGGCTTTAGAGAACTAAGCCACTTAGGAGGACCAAATATGTCTCAGATAATCCTTGATCCTACTGTCAAGATTTATTTGAATCAGGGCAAATTAAGAGTAAGGTAAGTCATTAAGAGTAAGGTAGGTCACATCCAGAGACCTTGCCCACCACCTTCTTTCTCAGCATACAGAAATATCTCACACCAAAGCCTTCTTGGATTGCCTTCCTGGGTCTCAACCATTGCA
The DNA here is from genome assembly GCF_000001405.40 of Homo sapiens. Taxonomy (NCBI): domain Eukaryota; kingdom Metazoa; phylum Chordata; class Mammalia; order Primates; family Hominidae; genus Homo; species Homo sapiens. The sequence goes on along the minus strand of NC_000003.12, from coordinate 69,400,574 downwards.
CCCCAGTGGTGTTTGTCTTGTTTGTTTTTTCATCCAGTAGTTAGTTTTAACCCAGTACCAGCCTCAGTTTCCTCCAGGCTTCTTCCTTGGAAAATGCTTCCAGACCTAAGGAGTAGTTTCTAAGCCTTATTATTCTTGGCTCTCAATCAATTCTAAATTTTCTTCTAAATGGTACACTTTTTTTTTTTCTTGAGAGACAGGGTCTCACTCTGTTGCCCAGGCTAGAGTGCAGTGGAGTGATCATAGCTCATAGCTCACCGCATCTTCAAACCCGTGGATTCAAACCCAGCTTCTCAAGTAGCTAGGACTATAGTCATGAGCCACCATGCCCAACTAATTTTTTTTTTTTGGGGTGAAGACAGAATCTCAGTATGTTGCCCATGCTGGTCTCAAACTCCTGGCCTCAAGTGATCCTCCTGTGTCAGACTCCCAATGTGCTGGGATTACAGGCATGAGCCACCATGCCCAGCCTCAATTTTTTTTAAACAAGGAAAGACTTTCCTTTTGTAGGGTCACTCATAGCTTTTACATTTCCATCTGCTCAATTAACAGGTTTATTGAGTACCTAATATGAGCCAGGTATCGTATTGGGTTGGGGCAAAAGTAACTAACAACTGAGCTCATTACTTTCAGTGGCAAAATCTGCAATTACTTTTGTACCAACCTAATACTAAGCAATGACAATATAAGGGTCACAAGACAGGCATGGTCCCTGCACCCATGGAGCTTATGGTCTGGTGTCAAAATCAAGCCTTAGCAGGTAATTTTAAATATGGTGGATGTAATGAGAAGGGAAGTTTAAGCGGCAGTGATGGGGCACTCACCTGCTTTGAGGGATCAACATTAAAGCTAAGGCTTGAAAGATAAATGGGAGTTCACTGGATTCAATCTCAGGATGGAGAAGAGTGTTGAGGACTTAAAGAGCCACAAATATAAAGAGCCTGAGGGAAAAGCATTAGAACCCAAAAGAAGACCAGTATGGCTCTCTGTAATGAGGCAAAACATAAAACAGGAACACAGACAAAAGTTATGCAGAGTGACAGAGCAATCCTTACAGTCAGATCTCATAATGTGACTTGTTTACTAATTTAACCATCATTTTCTCTGAACAAGTTGAGACTTCACCGCAGATAGAATGAATATAGAGATGTTGGGATACAAATTGAGACAGTGGCCTAGGATTGCCTGTCGAAGCAGTTCTTGTTCGGAAGGACATAAGAGTGAATGAAATGGAAGGGCTGGGTTTCACCTGGGGACACCCATTCTCAGATTTCTCAGCGGATTAAAACCCTAAAGCTTTCTGCAGTAGAAACTGGACCACAAACAAGCTTCCACACTCTTCTAAGCTGTGGGGAGGGCCATGAACGAAGTACCAAATAGGAATCCCCTTGGCAATGGATACAACCAATTTCATTTGCTGTATAAACAATTCATGTGGATTGAGGACAGCTCGGGTGGAAAAAATTCAACAATTATTGCATTTGGGCTTCTTCCCTTAAGATTTATTTGTTCCAAGTAATTTTTTTTCTTTCTTTAAATCCAATTTTACCATGGTGCCTTGAATGACTTCTGTAGAAATACTAGAATTCTGATTATACTGCATTGCCTTTTGCTGTCATTGTATTGCCATTTCTTTACTCTTTTAAAATAGCTTATATATATATATGTTACAGTATGCAGTATATGTTTGGATATCATAGACTATGTCAGGATGGATACACAAGAAACTAGGAAGTTTGTATCTTTGGGCAGGGGAAAAGGGCAGAATGGCTACTTGGTTGCATAACGCTTTCCTGTGGGGTTAAGATGAAAAGGACTCTTTTTCTCAAAGCCATGAGTTATGGCTTATCCAGCAGAGCCCTGGCTAGATTACAGCCCCCACTCACTGCCTTAGCCAGGTGCCTTGTGCAACTGGCATCTTGAACAATCTTACATGGCAGCCCTGGAAATAAGGAGCTGGGGAACAAGGATGTGAGGGAGGCTTACATTTCATTGCTGAATAAGCTTTTGTATGATTGCATGTGCATTTCCAATTAGAAATCAAAAAGTAGTATGTGCAAAATTATAGCTAGATAAGAGCAATGCATTCTGGTGTTCTATAGCACTGTAGGATGACTGTAATTAACAATAATATATAGTTTCAATCATCTAAAAGGAGGATATTGAATATTCCCAGCACAAAGAAACGATAAATGTTTTACATGATGGATATGCTAATCACCCTCATCTGATCACTACACATTGTAAGTATTGAAACATCACTATGTATCCCATAAATATGTAATTATTATGTGTCAATTAAAAAATAAAACAAAAGAATAAAGAAGTAGTATGTGCTAATACAGAAAAACAGAAAGAAAAACCTCCTCCACCACAATAAATTAAAATCATCCAATGATCAGAACTCAGAAATCAGTACTGTCAATAATTTAGTATATTTTCCTCTAGGTTTTTTCCCTTACATGCATGCACTCAGTTTTATAACTGAGCTCATGTACAGTATTTTTTTCTGCTCTGATTTTTACCTTGTTTTATAAAATAGGATTTTTTTCCAAATCAAGAGAAATTTGAACACCTTCTTTCTGAAGATATAAGTATTACACACTCATTGTGGAATATTCAGCAAATACAGGTACAAGTTAAGATGTTTTCTGTGGTTTTACCTCTCTTTTTTTGGTAACAGCTTTATTGGGATATAATTCACATGCCATATAGTTCACCTATGTAAAATGTACAACTCAATGGATTTCTGTGTATTTACAGAGTGGTGCAACCGTTACTATAATCTAATTTTAGAACATTTTCATTGTCCCAAAAAAAACCCTGTACTAATTAGCAGTCATTCCCCATTTCTCCCTAATTCCCTCAGCCCTAGGCAACTACTAATCTAATTTCTATCTATATAGATTTGCCTAATCTAGACATTTCATATAAATGGGATCAATATTATATGTGGTCCTTTATGATTGGCTTCTTTCACTTAACAGTGTTTTTGAGATTCATCCATGTCTTGGCATAGATTTCATTTCTTTTTTTAAAGTTATCTATTTTTTGTCAATTGCTTATTTCATTATTAATCGATTGATTTTTATTCACATACCATAAAATTCACTCTTTTAAAGTGTACAATTCATTGGTTTTTAGTATAATCACAAAGTTGCACAACTATCCCCATTATCTAATTTCAGATCATTTCATCACCTCAAAAAGAAATTTCATACCCATTAATAGTCATACCCTATTCACGACACCTCACGCCCCAACTCCCTGGCAACCACCAACTTATTTTCTGTCTCTGTGGATATGTGGCCTTTTTGTTTGGCTTCTTTTACTTGACATTATGTTTTCAGTATTCATCCATGTTGTAGTACGTACCAGTATTTCATTCCTTTTTATGGCTGAGTAGTATTCCGTCATATACGTATACTACATTTTGTATATCCACTCATCAAGTGATGGACACTTGAGTTGTTTCTACTTTTTAGCTATTATGAAGAATGCTTCTGTGAACATTCATGTCCAAATTTGTGTGTGTGAACATACGTTTTCAATTCCCTTGAGTATATACCTCACTCCTTTTTATTGCTAACATTCCATTATATGGATATATCACATTTTAAAAATCTGTTTATCAGCTGATAAACGTATGGGTAATTCCCACCATTTGGCTATTATGAATAATGCTACCGTGAACATTTGTGTACAGGTTTTTTAAAATGCCTGTTTTCACTTTTGTGGGGCACATACTTAGGAATGGAATTGCTGGATCACGTGGTAATTCTATTTTTAACTTTTTGAGGAACTCCAGTCTTTTCCACATTTTACATTCCCACTAGTAATGTATGAAGATGGCAATTCTTCCACATTTTTGCCAACATTTGTTATTATTCATCTTTCTAATTATAGCCATTCTAATGGATGTGAAGTAGTATATCATTGTGGTTTTGATTTGCATTTCTTCAATGACTAATTAATAATGTTCAGCATCTTTTCATGTGCTGACAAAATTCTTGTGATGTTTCTTCTCTTCAAAGAGGGATATGTTTTCTATAATTCTTTTTTTTTTTTATGAGACAGAGTCTCACTCTGTCACCCAGGCTAAAGTGCAGTGATGCCATCACAGCTCACTGCAGCCTCCTGCTCTTGGGTTCAAACGATTCTCCTGCCTCACCCTGCCAAGTAATTGGGATTACAGGTGTGTGCCACTATGCCTGGCTAAATTTTGGATTTTTAGTGGAGAAGGGGTTTCACCATATTGGCCAGGCTGGTCTAGAACTCGACCTCAAGCAATCCACCCACCTCGGCCTCCCAGAGTGCTGGGATTACAGGCATGAGCCACCACACCCAGCCCCTGTTTTCTGTAACTCTTTGGAAAGCTTCACTTTATATCTTGCTGCCAGAGTTGGGTGTTGTGCCTTCCCTTAGATCAATAGTTCATATCAGCAACATAGAAAAAGGACACTGGCAAAATAAGATTATTTGAAAAAGAGGGGAATAGGTGGTGGACAGACAACCAACATTTTCTGCCAAAATATATAAACATACAAAGAATAAACCAAAATTATCTATAAACCCACCAGACTGAGATAATGGAACTGTTTTAGGGTGAGGAAGTCTACCTTAAATTTCTCTGATGCTAGTCCCTTCAGAAGTAAAACCCCTCTTTTCTTTCTCTGTTATTGACTCAAGACCAAAGCATGCAGTTCTTCTCTTCTTTCCTATCAAATACTGCTTAAAGCTCCCTGAACTCTTAGTCTGAGGAATACATAACTATTTTCTCCACTGTGTAACATAGCCATAGGTTTCAAGGCTTGTAGCATGCTGCTTCCTGCTGCTTGCTCTTCTTGTATACAATTCATTTTGTAGTTGAGAACAGTATGTTCCTATCCTAAAAAGTTAATTTTAGGATAGCAAGATACAAGATATACTTTCATGTCCCTTTTTTGGGATGCTAGACTTTTCCTTTCTTTTCTTTTGCTCTTACTGCTAAGGGCCAAATAGTTGAAATTCCTAGCAACAATACTACCAAATTATTCTGTATTTTTAGCAATAATGGGAAAATAGTTTATTTTTATAACCTGTTGCTCATATTTGTTTGATGGTCAGAGTATACCCGGCCTTGAGATATTTTAATACTTTGCAAGCCACTGATATTGGTAATTTCTGTTTCTCAGTGTACTGCAGTTCAGTACTATGTACACCTAGGTAGTATGGTTGATCTTTGGAGAGTAAAGATTTTGCATATATCTTTTTGTTTTTCTTCTACCATTTATTGTATAGGAGGGAAGAGCCATTGGATTTCAAGTAACCGCTCTTTTATCTACCATAAAAAAAATAACTGTTCATTATAGATTTTCTTTTTTTCTCATCTTTTTATTCTTTTTTTAAAAAATTTTACTTTAAGTTCTGGGATACATGTGCAGAACGTGCAGGTTTGTTAACATAGGTATACATGTGCCATGGCGGTTTGCTGCACCTATCAACCCGTCATCTAGGTTTTAAGCCCTGCTTACATTAGGTATTTGTCCTAATGTTCTCCCTCCCCTTGCCCTCCACCCCCGACAAGCCCCGGTGTGTGATGTTCTCCTCCCCGTGTCCAGGTGTTCTCATTGTTCAACTACCACTTATGAGTGAGAACAGGCGGGTGTTTGGTTTTCTGTTTCTGTGTTAGTTTGCTGAGAATGATGGCTTCCAGCTTCATCCATGTCCTGTGAAGGACATGGACTCACTCTTTTTTATGACTGCATAGTATTCCATGGTGTTTATCTGCCACAATTTCTTTATCCAGTCTATCACTGATGGGCATTTGGGTTGATCCCAAATCTTTGCTATGTAAATCATACTGCAATAAACATATGTGTGCATGTGTCTTTATAGTAGAATGATTTATAATCCTTTGGGTATATACCCAGTAATGGGATTGCTGGGTCAAATGGTATTTCTGGTTCTAGATCCTTGAGGAATTGCCACGCGGTCTTCCACAATAGTTGAACTAATTTACACTCCCACCAACAGTATAAAAGTGTTCCTATTCCTCCACAGCATCACCAGCATCTGTTATTTCCTGACATTTTAGATCATTGTTTTATTCTTAATTAAATTGGGTAAACCCAAAGGGTGGACTTTTTGTCATGTTAAGTTCCTAGAGTAATAAAACACATCCTAGAACCATCCATGCCCGCTATGGACTGAAAGTTTTGTCTTCCCAAGATCCGTATTTGAAACTATACACCAATGTGATGGTATTTGGTGGAGCTTTGGGGAGGTAATTGGGCTTGGATAAGGCCGTGGGCCTGGGGGTCCCCATGGTAGGATCAGTGCCTTTATAAGGGGCTGAAAAGACCAGAACTCTCTCTGTCTTGGGAGAAAACAGCCACCTCCAAACCAGGAAGAGGGCTGTTACCAGAAAACAAATTGACCAGCACCTTGATCTTGTACTTCCCAGCCTCTAGAGCTGTGAGAAATAAATTTCTGTTGTTTAGGCCACTCAGTCCTGTGGGACTTTTGTTATAGCATCCTGAACTGTCTAAGACAATACCTTATAAATTTTAGTCTGAGGCCCAAACCAAATTATAAAAACAAAAGAAATTCATTCTTTTGTCTCTTAATTAAAGGACTGAAAAATTAGCAACTCCACCATTTTAAAAATGCTGCCATAAATGCTTTTCTTTAGCAAATCATCCTGCTTCTCTGTGCCTCAGTTTCTTTATCCATGAAATGGGGCCAAAATAACTTTCTCCTACTTGTTCTTGGGAAAATATATATTGTGAGAATCAACTGATGATATAAGCAAAGCTGCCTTTATTTATTTAGAAAAAATAATGGTGCTATATAGACCAATTTATGACTTTTTTTGTTGTCATTGTTGAAGTACATGTAGGTTAAGTAGACTTAATAAGTATAGAAAAAAAATGGTGCTATATAGACCAATTTTTAACTATTTTATTTTTGTCATTGTTGAAGTACATGTAGGTTAAGTATAAATAAAAGGTGACAAATTCTGGAGGTGGGAGGTCAGTCACAAGATTGATACCATTTCTCCCTTAAAGAAGGTGGCAAGCCCTTTCCCCCTGATCCACTGGACTTCCCTGGAACCATCCTCCCATTTGGATGCTTTTACATCTAGACAGATAACTTCTAAAATTTGATCTGGCAGGAATTTCCAATGTCTGCTCAGTTGATTAACTAGTAAAAATGGGTACAAGACAAAGTCTCACACCATGACGCTCTTTTTTTTTTTTTTTTGTACTTCTTCAGACAATATAGATAGCATCCCTCCTCTTTTCTTTGAGCAAGGAGACTTTAATTTGATAAAATAACAGATGAGGGAAATGAGAAAGTTTTGCTTTGTTTACTTCCCCCTCCTACACCCCCAGGAGTGAAATGAGTTTGCTGAAGCCAAAGAATAGACGCTGAATAGGTGCCTTAGTGGTGGATATATTTAGCTACTACGATTTTTAGCCCTTTGTGATGCCAAAAAGCCATTCATAGTCATGAAGGCAGCTGCAGAGAGTTAAGCAGCCTGCTGGTCAGCCTTGGACTATGAGGGGGACAATGGCTACTTCCTCCAATTCATGCTTCCACCACCTCTATGTGTTTCCTGCCATCTCCTCCTGCTTGAGGCCAACACTGAAGGATGCCCCTTAATCTCTCAGTCAAAGGGAAAGATGAAAGAAAGCAGGAGACCAGTCACCTAGCCTCTGGCTCGAGTGGCATTGAAACAGAACTTGTGTCGCTCGGGCCTCCTGCCTCCTTTTTGGAATGGGATGTAGAGGGACATGAGGCATTCAGACCCCCACCCCCTGAGTGAGGAGCCTGCCACTGCATAGTTGGGGAGCCCTCCCAGAGGCCACAAGAGAAGCTTGCTTTGAGGGTGGCACTTTTGCCCACCAACCTCTTACCCCATTCTGTGTGTGAAGGCCCCATGGTTCCCGAGGACTGAGGAACAGGAACACTCCTTCAGCTTAGTTATGTAGATATTCCCACAGCCCTGCCTCAAGCTCTTTCTTTGTACCCTAGAACTCTACAGCAGCCTCGCTGCTGGGCTTTTCTGGTCCCCCAACCATCAAGCATCCCCCTTGCCCTTTTCCCTTATGTTCTACAAATATGGGATCCTTCTTGCCACAAGCATTGTCCTCAAGGCTCCCTGTGCCTTGGATTGCTATCATGTACCCCCATCATCACCTGATTCTCCCGTACTCAGCCTTCAGGTCTCTGCTGAAAGTCATGTGCTCAGGGAGGCATCCCTTAATCCCCCCATCCTCACTCACCTGTCTCTATTGGAACCCCTGTGGCAGTGCCTGCTCCTTTACATTTCTTGTTCAGATTCCTCTTCTGACTTCCCCACTGTCCTCTAGGACTCGCTTAGACAGAGATCGTCTCAGTCTTGTCAGTGTTCTGAGTGCTTAGTTCCCTGCCTGATGCATAGTGCGAACTCAATACGTAATTTTCTAATGAACAAGACTGTGTTTTGGGAATGGATGAACCACTTTCTGTATTCACCGTTAAGACAAATAGTCATTTATTGGTCAGTTCAATAAACATTTATTGATTGCCTGCTATGTGCCAGCCACTGGGGAAACAAATATGAATAAGACCCTTTCCCAGCTTGCACCAGTGGTTTCTGAATGAGGGCAGCTACTACCCCACCTAGCAGCATTTAGAAATGTATGGAGGTGCTTTCTGTTGTGGTTGTCCTAATGACTGGGGCACTACTGCATTTATCAGGCAGAGCCCAAGGTCACTAAATGCCTTCCAGTGCATGGGATACTCCTGCACAAGGAGGAGCCATCCCAGCCAGCCTTGCTTCCACGTCACATCACAGTGGTTCCTCACATAGCTGACAGTCTAATAGAGAAAAGTGAGCTGAGAGGAGCAATATCCCATTGTGTGTACAGTCAGAGACTTTCATAACAGTGCATGGCCCAAAGGAGGCATCAGCATTCCACCTGGGTTTAGTGTGGGGGGAATTTTTTCTATAAACATGCCAAAGAAAGACTTCTTCTAGTACTATGGAGCCTCTGATTTAAATGAAATGATAATTCTGAGCAAACTATCGCAAGGACAGAAAACCAAACAGCGCAGGTTCTCACTCATAGGTGGGAATTGAACAGTGGGAACACTTGGACACAGGGTGGGGAACATCACACTCCGGGGCCTGTCGTGGGGTGGGGGGAGGGGAGAGGGATAGCATTAGGAGATATACCTAATGTAAAGGACAAGTTAATGGGTGCAACATACCAACATGGCACATGTATACATATGTAACAAACCTGCACATTGTGCACGTGTACCCTAGAACTTAAAAGTATAATAATAAAAAAAAATAAAAATAAATAAATAATAAATAAATGAAATGAAACAAAAACTGAAGTACAAAAATATTAATAGTTGTTATGATAGTTATTCTCCCTTTGGATGATAAGTATCCAAAAATTGTAAGTGAAAATCATAGGAAACGGCATTCCGGTTATTTCTCAAAAGACTTTGAGTTCATTATATTCGAAATTGTGGCTGTGTAAAAAAAAACTAACAAACAAAAAACCATTATACAGTGATTGCTTCATTTCTTTTGCCTTTTGGAAAGAAAATAACAAGAGGGAAGACTGTTTCTCCACAACTAGCCATGTGAGAGGAAGAACAGGGTGTAGCATTTATTTTATTTTATTTTTTATTTATTTTTGAGACAGAATCTCGCTCTGTTGCCCAGGCTGGAGTGCAGTGATGTGATCTCAGCTCATTGCAACCTCCACCTTCCAGGTTCAAGCAGTCCTTCCGCCTCAGCCTCCTAAGCAGCTGAGACTACAGGTACACACCACTACTCCCGGCTAATTTTTGTTACTTTTAGTAGAGATTGGTTTTGTCATGTTGGCCAGGTTGTTCTCAAACTCCTGACCTCAAGTAATCTGCCAGCCTTGGCCTCCCAAAGTGCTGGGATTACAGGCATGAGCCACCGTGCCTGGCCAGGGTGTAGCATTTAATTAGACCAGGGTTCTCTGACCTCTGCACCAGGGACATTTTGGGCAGGAGAGTCCTTTGCTCTGGGGGCTCTCCAGTGCATTATATAATGTTTAGCGGCATCCCTGGCCTCTACCTGCTAGACGCCAGTAGCATCTCCCAGTTGCGACAACCAAAAACGTCTTCTGACATTGCCACATGTCTCAGCATGGGAGGGAGGTATAAAATTGCCCCCGGTTGAGAACCATTGAACTAGACCTTGTTTTCATTCACCTCAAGCCCTATGTTGGACGTCCATGATCTGTCAGTTTACCCACACTAGTTTTTCAGGTGTCTAGAGAGTACAGCTGAAAAATGACCACAGACATTAGGTGGACTCTGTGTTTTTGCCAGGCAGAGGGGACCACTGGAAGCTGCCATTTCACTAACTTGCTCTTTCTTCCTAGAGACAGGGGTTGGAATTTGTCCTATCTTCTTGGCATTCATGCTCTTCTTCCTGCCAGTTCCTCAAAGGAGAACCTACAGGAGCCTCAGGCATAATGACAATTTCTCTTTTACGACAGCACAACTCCCAGGTGTATGAGTAATGCTGCCACCCGAAGCATCTTCTTAAGCCTCCAGAGAGAGCTGCAGGAAATTACAGTGTATTGCAGGGAACTCTGTGCTGAGGAGGAAAGAAAATCCTCTTCTTAAATTAAAAAAAAAAAGAAAGAAAGAAAAAGCAAGACAATGTTGAAGCTAGCTTGATTTAGCTCCTTTTCCACAGAAAATTTTAGACTAGCTTCAAGGGTGTGTGTCTGGGATCTGGTTAGTCCCATGTGGCTAGTCCATTTTAAGGATGATGCCATACTTGGGTAGCACTTTTCTCCACTTCTGCACATCTGGGTTCAGTTGCCACCCACTGCAGTCCCTGGAGTGGAGGAAGTTGTATTTCCTTCCCTCTAAAATCACTCAGTCTTGACCTTCGAACTTCTTCTACAAAAGAGGAAAGCCATTTGGATAAGAAAAAAAGCATCAGTGTTTATGTCAGTAGAAATAAGATGTCTTCTGTCTTGCACCCAGCTTCTCTGAGTCCACGGGACAAGTTGCCTCTAGTGGGGAAGATCAAGCTCAAAAAGCTTTTTGGGAACTTGAAAGAGCAACAGAACTGCTCCCTGAAAACAAGTTGCCACAAACTTTCACCTTCAGCAAACAGAAAGTCATAGGAAAGCACATGTAGGTAACTAGTTGAAATTTAAAAACACATTTTATAATATGTACACAGGGACATAGAGAGTGGACTAAGAAGGCTTGGCACAGTGGCTCACGCCTGTAATCCCAGCACCTTGGGAGGCCGAGGGGGGAGGATCACGAGTTCAGGAGTTCGAGACCAGCTGGCCAACATGCTGAAACCCCATCTCTAGTAAAAATACAAAAATTAGCCTGGCGTGGTGTTGTGCACTTGTAATTCCAGCTACTCGGGAGGCTGAAGCAGGAGAATCACTTGAACCCGGGAGGCGGAGGTTGCAGTGAACTGAGATGGTGCCACTGCACTCCAGCCTGGGCGACAGAGGGAGACTACGTTTCAAAAAAAAAAAAAAAAAAAGTAGACTAAGAGACAATGGAGACTGGGGAGGGTCAGAGGGTGGGAGGGGATGAAGGATGAGAAATAACTTAATAGGTACAATGTACACTATTCTTGTGATGGCTACACTCAAAGCCCAGACTTCGCCACAATGCAATATATCCATATAACAACACTGCACTTATACTCACTAAATCTATCATTTTAAAAACCCACATTTTACTTATACTGTTTTATCTGACTACAAAAAACTGAAGCAATTCTTGATTCGGGGGGTTATGGTGATTAGTTTTCTTTGGATGCTTACCCTTCACCAGACACCGTGCTAAAGACCTTATACAGAATATTTTACTTAATTTTCCCCAAACTTTTTGTAGTGAATACTGATAATACATTGTACACATGAGGACATTGAGACTTTGTTGACTTAAGGAGCTTATATGGGGTCTCACGGGTCCTGAGGAGAGGAGATCTGAAGTTGGGTGGGTCTCTTTTAGAAGATTTAGCTCCTAATCACCATACTATCACTATTGTAGTTCTCTAATTTTAGCATGAGTCGGAATCCTCCAGAGGCCAACTGAAAGCTCTGATCGCTGATCTCACCCCCCAACAATTTCTGATTCCAGGGCTGCCTGAGAGCTTGCATCTCTAGCAAATTCCCAGGTGATGCTAAAGCTGCTGGCCCAGTGACCACACTTTGAGAGCCCCTATTATACTACATCCTATCTTCTAAAAAATTGCCCTGACTTTGGAAACCTTGAATGAAAATGATGGAATTTGAAAGTGACTGCTGACATTAGACCTACGCACAGATAGCTAACAGCCAGAGTGTTTCTAGAGCCTCTCTTCTGAGAGGATGGTGTCATGAGACAGAGGTAATTGACCTGTTGTAGGTTTTATTCTGGTATTCCCTTGGCTGCCTGACATTTCCGAGAACACAGTCGAACTGCATCGTTTAAAAAAAAAAAGTACCACCACCATTTGCTCGTACTAATAGGGCATTTTTGAAGTTCAGTAGTTTTCCATTCAGCATGATGACAGTTCTTTTTCAAGCTAAGTTCATTTTCTTTTGATTCAGTAAAATCTATTATATTCAGATTCATCGTTACCATCATCTTGAAAAAAAAACCATCAATACTAATACTGATGGCACATAGAGAAGACTTATTGTGAAGAAAGGTTTGCAAATCTTGGACCAAGTCTTGTGTCCTATTAACTAATTCAACAAAAACTCTTGGGCAATTTTATTAACGAAAGAAATCTCATTTAAAAGTTTTCTGATTACAGTCACTGAAAACAACAGGCACTTTGAGGACAGATTTTGTGTTCTTCGTCTTTTGACTGATTGAGTTTCACCTGAATTAAGATTATAAAAGCACATTTGATACCTGAAATCAAGCTGATTTACTTGTCGATAATCTGTTCTGGAGTCTTCTGGGCTAGTTCAGGAGAAAAGCTTTGGTGCCTTACCTTTCCTTTTGGTGCCACTTAATAGCATAGATAACAACCCAGATGTGAAACAGCCAAGAAAATACAGACAATTGACTTACAGATGGATTCAGGAAAAAACTCCATCCTGAAATTTGCTACAGCACTTTTGCTATGAGAAATCTTCATACATTCTAAGGGAAAATGGAGGCTGGGCACAATGGGTCATGTCTGTAACGCTAGCACTTTGGGAGGCTGAGGCTGGAAGATTGCTTGAGCCCAGGCATTTGAAACCAGCCTGGGCGACATAGTGAGACCCCATCTCTACAAAAAAAATAATGATAATAAACTTAGCACCTGTAGTCCCCGTGGCTGAGGTGGGAAGATGGATCACTTCATCCCAGGAGTTCAAGGCAGCTGTGAGCTATGATTGAGTCACTGCTCTCCAGCCTGGGCAACAGACCTTGTCTCAAAAATAAATAAAGGAAGACAGAGACTGGTGGTAGGCGAGACTCCTTGAGCTCCCTTTTCCAAATGTTTCCAACAATCAGCATCAATTCCCGAGGGAAAACTTTAATAAATAAATAAATAAGATTAATTATCTAGTGACTTCATGAGTGGTGGAACAGTTTCCTTTGGTTTTGAGGGGAGAATAAACTACCCATGCAGGTTGGTGCTTGCAGGTGAGGTTAGACATGTCCAGAGGCTGAATTTTCCAGAACTAAACCACCGATTCTCTTATGGGCTTCTGTTTCCCAGCACTAGTAACGGCAAGCTATTTACAAGGGACCAAGAACTCTGTTTTTCTCCCTGACTGCTGCATTGGTATTAGCAGCATCTTGGTGTGAGGAAACCTGCCTTCCTGCTGGCAACCACAGGAGGCTGTCATTTTCTCTGAGACCCTCAAGTTAGGAGCAAAGGCAGGTTCTAGGGCCGCCTGTTGCTTTGAGACTGTTGCCTTCATCTCCTGCTTCCAGCAGAACCAAGGAAACATTCGTGGCTATTCCCCCAGGAGTAGGGTCCAAAGGGATGCCTTGGAGATTTTTTTTTTTCTCTCTCTCTCTTCTGCATCTGTGGCTGCCCAGAGGTGTTTTATCAGTGTGAACAGAGCAAGATGAGTAAGGTGTTCCCCGAGGCAGATTAGGAGACCACTCGTCCGGTGTGGGGGGTGTGTGTCTGTGTGTGTGTGTGTTCGCGCGCGCGCAAGACGTGGAAGCCAAGTGTGCTGAAATGCAGCTCCCCTCTCTGCCTGCAAAGAGTTGCTCCGCTTCCGTCCCTGCCCCGCGCCCTGGGGAAGCGCCAGGGGGAGTCCTCGCCGGCCAGGGCTTCCCGTGCCCCGGGAGCATCGAGGGCCAGCTTGGTGGAGCTTAGCACAGCTTGCTCGGCGCTGCGAGCGGGCGGGGGTGGACACTGGGCTTCTGTGTGCCAGTCGCAGCCGTTGGCTGGCGGGCACCCAATCCCAGGGCATGCCGCCGGAGCCTGGCCAGGACGCACGGTGAAAGACGAGTTTGGTGGCAGGCTTGACCCCCCGGCTGCCAGCAGAAGCCGGCGTCGGGAGCCCAGGCGGGCAGGCCGCTGGGGTCGGGGCTGCACGTACGAGAGCCGGGACGCCCGGGTTCAGAGCGAAGGAGGAGGCATGGCTTCGGTGTTCATGTGTGGCGTGGAGGACCTGCTGTTCAGCGGCAGCCGCTTCGTATGGAACTTGACCGTGTCCACGCTGCGGAGATGGTACACGGAGAGGCTGCGGGCTTGCCACCAGGTGCTGCGGACGTGGTGCGGGCTGCAGGACGTGTACCAGGTGAGCTGGAGCGCGCGGCACCCGAGGGCCCCAGCAGGATGCCGGGCACTCGTGGGAAGCAGGCTCCACCTGTATGATTTTATTCCCCCCAGCTCTTCTTAAACTCCTAGCAGACTGCTTGGCCCTTGGGTCAAACGCTCAGCAGCTCTAGGTAATTATTGCTTGACAGAGCTTGTGAATTTTTCAAATCGGGCATGGGGGGCACTTGCGAGATAGTCCCAGCGTTTGCAGACATCTGTTACAGAGCAATGGTGTACTGGCGGGCGCTTGACTAGGGAGGCTGTTGCTTTGCAACAGAGGGTCTTCAGAAAGCCACTTAGACATTCAAATGAGTCCTTCTTTTTAATTTCATTGGGGGTGGGAGTGGCTGCTTCTGAAGCAACGGTTTCACACCAATTTGCTGGCAGAGGGGGCCTTGGTGGATTTTTATCCTTCCGTTGGATTTTCAGTTTTCCATCAGGCAGCCCCAACTTGTAAGGCAGAGCCAGGAAAAGCTGATTCTGTGTCTACTGGCTTTTGGAAGGAAGGACAGCAAATTGTGAACACTTTGCAGGAGGATGACAGGCTGGGGAAGGGAGGGGTGGCCCGGCTACACGTTGGAATGCTCATGTTAGGATTTACTCCCTGTCACACAACACAGCCCCTTTATTTCTCTGCTCGGTCCCATCCTGCAGGCAAAAAATGCAGCAACTTTGCTCAACTAGGAGACCATTCATCCTCTCTGGTACTGCAGTTTGCCTGGATTTCTTTTTTTTTTTTTAGACAGTAATTTATGAATTTAAAAGTTCTGTGCTTTGGTTGTTAATATATTTGAGATTTTTAAAAATCTGCATTGTTTAGAAATATACTTGGTGTCTACTGTGGAAAGATAATATCATATTTTCTTTCCTGTGATGTGGAATAGCTTTGTTGCAGTTCCTGGATTTCCCCCCATTTGACCCTGTTCCTAATATGTCTAGAATTTATGTCTTATTATATTGTGTCTCATACATGATCAAGCACTTGATTTTGACAAACCATAATCTTCCATCAATCAGGCAAAATGAAAAGGCCAGCACCTAAGGTTAGCCTGTGGAAGTCTAAAGAGTCAGCGTCCCCTTGTCACCCTTGTTAAAATATGAGGAACATTTGAACTTGTGCTTTCACTGCTTCTGCTTTGTATAACATATCTGTGATATCTTGCATTTTGAAATGGAATCTGAAAGGCAGGTTGGGAACCAGGGCAGCATGTGGGAGTTTGAGAGTATTAGGGAATTGTGGATATATCCCATCTGGCCACATTACATAGCTCTCTGGCTTTTTGGAGCCAGAAGTGTGTCTGTCTTTCAAGCCTTTTTTTTCCTCTCTTGGGAAATCCCTGTTCAGTTTGGTCTGTAGAATAAGTGCCCCTTATGTAATTTTGTTTTTCCTTTTTAGTGTTTGAGAAACTTTCAAAAAGGGAACGCAAATATTGTAGCCAACCAGAGTGACTCTGTGCCTCACTCCCCAAGGATTCAGAGGATTTATGGCTTATCTGTAATACTGTTACTGACCAATTCAAAAATAAAGATTCCAGAAACCTGAGACCTTATGGATTCTTTATAAGGTTGACTGATAATTTTTATGCAGAATAGCAATTTGAGACACTGAGCTACTAAAATATATGTATTTTTTTCTTTTCTCTAAAATGGATGGTGACTGAGCCAATACCATATCATAATTGATAAGAACATCTAAAATAATGGTGGTAGTCAGGCAGTGTGCTGTGTGTCTATAATCCCAGCTACTCAGAAGGCTGAGGCAGGAAGATCCCTTGAGCCCAGGAGTTTGAGGCCAGCCCGGGCAACATAGTGAGACCCATCTCTTAAAAAAATAAAAAATAAAAAAAAAATAAGTCCCCACTCCTTATTTTTAACTTTAATCAATTGTACATTTCAAAATAACTAGAAGAGAATAATTTGAATGTTTCTAGCACGAAGAAAAGATAACGGTTGGGCACCATGGCTCATGCCTGTAATCCCAACATTTTGGGAGGCTGAAGTGAGAGGATCACTTGAGCCCAGGAGTTCAAGACCAGTCTGAGCAACATAGTGAGACCCCATCTCTACAAAAAATTTAAAAATCAGCCAGGTATAGCGTCATGAACCTGTGGTTCTCTCTGCTCAAGACGTTGAGGCAGGAGGATCACTTGAGCCCAGGAGTTCAATGCTGCAGTGAGCCATAATTGTCCCACTGCACTTCAGCCTAAGTGACAGAGGGAGACCTCCTCTAAAAAATTAATTAATTAAAATATTTAAAGCATTGGCTATCCCAATAACCCTGCTTTGATTATATGAATGTGTCACATTATCACATGTACCCCCGAACTATGTACATCTAATATGTATCAATGAAAATAAATAACAAAGGCTTTTATGAATACAGAATCAGAAGAAAATGATCTCTAAGTTTAATATTTCCTGTGCTTTTGCAAAAATAAGATTTTCAAAAATATTTTCAGCCTTTGAATATTCTTAATTGTGCAACATAATCCTTTGCAAAGGAAGATCATTTTTTAATGCTTTTCAAATATTAAGTGAAAAAGTAGTGACTTAATTGTGTAGAACTAAAAGACAGTAACTGCAAGTTAAATAGACAAGGGAGTTAATCCAGTCTTTGCCTATGTATGACCGTGGGTAAGTTAATCTTACTATACTTCAGCTTCATCATTTATAAAATGAGAAATTAATAGTACTAATCACAGAGATTGATAAAAGAATTAATTGACGTGAGATATTTAGCACGCTGCCTGGAGTTTAGAAAGCATCCAATAAATGTTATCTTTTCCATGAGTTAGGATTTTTTTTATTATAATAGAAAACCCAATTCAAACTTGCCTACAGAGTAAAAAGAAATGACTTTTGTCACAGCTGAAAAGTCTAGCAGTAGAATGAACTTTAGGTATTGTTTGATCAGGGTACCATGCTTTCAGACCTGGTCTTGCTGATGTGTTGGCTTTATCTTCAGCTGGTTTCTTCCCTCACAATAGCAGATAATCACAGCAGTTTCAGGCCTTATATCCACACATCCAGAAAGAAAGAATTTCTCATATCCTCCAACTATCAAAAAAAAAAAAAAAAAAGTCCCAGTTTACATGCTGGAACTCCAATTTAGGGTCTGTACCCACTCCTGATGCCATGCACTGATTGGCACAGAGTATGGGATGACAATTTATGCATTCTCAATGAGAGTGAAATGGCCCAAAGGAGGCAAAAATTGTTTTGGAGGAGGGGGGTGGGAAAAAAATTCACTACTTTTATTTATAAAGCACGAATATACATGCAATATATAAACAGAAATACAGCATATCTGTGACATTAAAATGGGAGGGATTGGGCTGGGTGCAGTGGCTCACACCTCTAATCCCAGCACTTTGGGAGGCCAAGGTGAGCAGATCACTTGAGGTCAGGAGTTCAAGACCAGCGTGGCCAACATGGCAAGACCCCGTCTCTACTAAAAATACAAAAAGTAGCTGAGTGTGGTGATTCATGCCTGTAATCCCAGCACTTTGGGAGGCTGAGGCGAGTGGATCACTTGAGCTTACGAGTTCGAGACCAGCCTGGCCAACATGGCAAAACGCCATCTCTACTAAAAATACAAAAATTAGCCAGGCATGGTGGCACATGCCTGTAATCCTAGCTACTCGGGAGGCTGAGGCATGAGAATCACTTAAACCTGGGAGATGGAGTTTGCAGTAAGCCATGATCACACCACTGCACTCCAACCTGGGCAACAGAGTGAGACTCTGTCTCAAAATAAATAAATAAAATGAAATAAAATAGGAGGGGTGACAAACAAACAAAAATCTAAAAAGGCTCCTTAAGCAGATAACAATGAATTAAAAGGTTAAGAAACACTGGATTGCATTGATTTGCTGAGGCTAGAGGGGAAGGGACCCATTTCTGAACCTAGGATTGAGGTTGGCCCTACTCAGACCACAGAGCTGCCAGGGAGGAAAGGCAAAATGTTTGGCTGAAATGCAACCAACAATGTTCACTGCATCATTAGAATATCAAATCTAGTGCTCTTTACATAAAAATATTAGCTATTTTTCAAGATAAGTACAAAGATTAATGCTCAAATACCTTTGTATGTATTTTGCCACAGGAATTTGAGTTAAGGGGCTTATCATAAGATTACCCCTTTGCTATCCCATAATTGTGAATTCTAAATCAGAGAGGGGATTGTTCCACTGCACTGCTCAGCTTTCAGGCATATGGACTAGAAACACACACACCAGGGAGTTACATATTTTACTGAACCAAATTTTAGATGATCTTGTTGATAAAAAGGTGTCATTTTTCTTGCTTCTAGTCTGAATAGTCTTGTTTGTAAGGAAAGCCAAAGCTTCATCACTCTAGAGAGAAATAGGGTGGGAAGGGAGGTATCCATTACATGAAATACCTGTCAGTCTCCTGGGGGTGTTCTTTTTATTCATATACTATAAGTGAAACAAGATCTCCCACCTATTCATAAGGTATTTGCCAACAACATTATTGTCAGGCTAGCAAAGCTAGGAAGGCATAATTTCTTTGGAATTGAACACTTCTTCCATTTCTAGATATTGGAGAAGCAAGTGACTTAATTTGCCAACAAACCATGAATAATTAAGATACTAGCTATAAGGTATTTCTGTAGTAATGAGACTAAATAAAAAGCAGGCTCAGGCTGCATTGAGGCTGCCTTGAACAAAGACTTACTTTATGAGTGAAGCCTTGAATTTGGCTAAAGTAGCAGACATGAGCATTCACCTTCACTTTAAGCTAAATGCTAAAAGCTGATTCATCAGCCATATCCCTGTCCTCCTTATATCTTGCCTGGATGGGTTTTGTTATAGCAATTAATTAGGTTTCACAAACAACTTAGGTGGAAAATGATGACAGAATATTACAGAAAAAAATAATCAACACCCTTTGCTTTTTATTAAGTGTGACATGTTCTAACAAAACCCTCAGTTTATTCCTTGGGATTAGGTTTTCCCTTCCTCTCCAGTGTCCCAAAGATAGAATTTCTTGCAAACCCTGAAGGGAGTCATTGCCTCCAACAGGAGGCAACTTGCACAGACTCCGGGATATTTAAGTGACCAATAAGAGGCTGGGTCAGCTCCCCTGAGGCAGGTAGCTGTCCCTGAGGGGGTAGCATAGAGCACAGAACACGGCAGAGTCTGTAGGCTCAACTTGAGCAAATTTGACCTCGGACAAATTGCTTTCCCTCTCTGAACTTCATTTCCTCCTGGGTAAGAGTGGGGGAACAGAAGCAGCCGCATTATGAAATAGGGTGAGAAATTCATGACGGAACATATATATCACTTAGCACTGTTCCTGGCACAAGCAAATGCTCAATAAATGTTAGCTCTGGTTTATGTAAAGGATTTAATACTGAACTCAGAGAAGGTACTTGATAGAGGGTAGCTAGGGGCATTACTATTGCTTTTATAGGTGAGACTAGTTCCTCTAGTCTCACCTGGACTTGGTGAGACTACATTCCCATTTTTACATGTTTCCTGAGGATGCTCAGTAAGAGAGACTGTGAAATTTCCCACAGCAGCGTGTGTGGGGTGGACCTTGGGTATTTGGACTGTGTTCCACACGGTAGAGCACATGCTCTTTTAGCTAAGCCCACAGTTAAAATCTAGAAGGTCACAGCCATCTCCCACTAGGGTCTCTGAAGAGACAATCTTGCTATATCCAAGACTCCAATGATCCACAAACTGGTAATGCCTGAACTCTGGATCTCACCACATTGGTGGGCAAAGGCCAAGTCCTCCAAAGGACAATTCCCTATTGAGCCCTTGTACATTTCATACTGTATACAGTTTGCTTGCTCTCACCCTTCGCTCTCCACAGTCTTCTAAATTAGTTGGACTAGAAAGGGAGTCAGCAAACTATGGCTTGCGGGCAAAGTCGGGCTTGCCTCTTGTTTTTGTAAATAAAGTTTTGTTGGCTCACAGCCAGGCTCATCCATTACATGTTGTCTACAGCTGCTTTCACACTGTAATGGCAAGATTGAGCAGTTGTGTCTGAACTACTTAAAGTTCAGTAGCTGATGCAAGAACTATTGCCCACAAAGCTGAAAATATTTACTATCCAGCCCTTTACAGAAAAAGTTTGCCAATCCCCAGACAAGAAAAAAAAGGTGGAGAATACTAGAGGAAGAAAAGTCCATAATTCTATCACAGAAAAACAGAACTTAAAGGAATATGGAAAAATTTTCTCATCAAAAACCTAGGCGTGGCTGGGTGTGGCACCTCGTGCCTATAATCCCAGCATTTGGGAGGCCAAGGCGGGCAGGTCACTTGAGCCCAGGAGTTTGAGACCAGCCTGGGCAACATGGCGAAACCCCACCTGTACAAAAAATACAAAAGTTAGCTGGGTGTGGTGGTGTGTGCCTGTAGCCCCAGCTACTTAGGTGGTTGAGGCAGGAGGAACGCTTGAACCTGGGAGGCTAAAGCTGCAGTGAGCTGAGATTGTGCCACCGCATTTCAGCCTGGGCAATAGAGTGAGACCCTGTCTCAAAAAATATATATATATAATTACTTAGAAATTAAAAAACAAATGTTCAAGATGAGTGCTCAATTTACCTTTACTAGGTCCTTCTCTGTAAAATATAATGATTGGAGTCATAGATTGATTTATTCATTTGTTCATTCATACCTGAAATAATTGTCAATGGCTCACCAAGTCTCAGTTCTGATGCCAAGGTGTTAGAAACACAAAATCAAAATAGACTTTTGTCTTGCCTTCAGAAAATGTATTTTCATGTAAGGGAGACAGTTAAGGAAACCAAGGTCTATGAAAGGGCTTTGCCTTTTTAGATGATCAGTGGAGGGAGTCTAAACCAGACAGGAATAATGCAAAAGGGAAGGACCAAGGAAGCTTCCTGGAGGGAGTGACTCTTATGCCTTTCTTTGAAGGACAAGTAGGAGGAAGGTAGAAGGGTATTTCAGGCATGGAACATGACTTTTGTTGGGGATTATAAGAGGGTTTTTTGGTTTTTTTTTTTTAACCTTGATGAGTAGAGAGACAAAGACAGAGAGATTTTGATTGAGAATAATGCCTGAACTTGAATGACCCTGTACTTTAGAATTTTGATGTTTATGGGGAGATCTTTGTGGGGAAGGAAGGAGTTGATTTAGAAATACCACTGGCAGCCGTGAGGCGGATAGACTTGGGAAGTATTGCATAGGGAAGCAGTAAGGCAAGGGAAGCTCAGAGGCTGTTGTAGTGATGTCAGTGTATCAGTCAGCATAAATGGGGTTAGCCATGGCAACAAACAGCCCCAGGATCCTGGTGGCTTAAAGCAATAATTTTCTCTACTTTTGCTCATACTATCTATTCAATCACTGGTTGGCTGGAAGCTTGGTTGATTACTGTCATTCAGGCCCACAGAATGTTCCTAAACATTGCCAGGTGCCCTGATAGAAGGTGAAGAGCTCTTCAGAGTCTGGTCCTAGCAGTTAAATGCTTGGCCTCTAAGTGGCTCATGTCACTTCTCAGTCATTGGCAGAACTGGTCACATACCCACCCAACCAAAGGGGCCAGGCAAACCAATTCTGCCTTGCCACAGAACAGCGTGAATGCTGACACAGATTTGGTTCCTTAGGTAGCAGACTCTGAAATGGAGATTAACAAGCAGGAAGTTTATTAGAGAGCCCTCTGAGGACCTACACCTGGAGAAGGGAATAAAAAAGAAGTAGGATTGGTGACTGAAGCCTGTAATCCCAGCTCTTTGGGAGGCCAAGGTGGGCAGATCACTTGAGGCCAGGAGTTCGAGACCAGCTGGCCAATATGGCAAAACCCCATCTCTACTAAAAATACAAAAAAAAAAAAAAATTAGCCAAGTGTGGTGGCACACACCTGTAGTCCCAGCTACTCGGGAGGCTGAGGCAGGAGAATGGCTTAAACCCGGGAGGCAGAGGTTGCGGTGAGCAGAGATCACGTCATTGCACTCCAGCCTGGGCAACAGAGTGAGACTCTGTTTCAAAAAAAAAAAAGAAGAAGAAGAAGTAGGATTAAGCAGAGGGAAAAGTTGAACTAGAATTCAGGCTCAACAAAAACTGCAGCTGACCTCCCAGGTAGCTCTGAAGCTGAGAGTTGTCCCAGGTTGTTACGAGAGGGGTAGGTCTTCTCCCCACCTTCATTAACCCATTATTGGAGATGGGCTACCCTTGAAAAGGGGGATGGGATGACCTTGGAGGAGGCAGCTCTCTTTAAGGGACTGCGATTTCCAGACGGGTTTGAGATCTGTCTGCTCACAACACTCCCAACAGCTGGGGAAATAAGTTTGGGCAACACATCAAGCACCTTCTACGGGTGCCTCCCCAACAGGTGCTAGGACCAAAGCCTGCACTGAAGCAAGGGCAGCAGGAAGAAAGTGAAGAGTGAGATTGCCTTGATGTGAGGATGTAGAATCTAGCTTTAAAACACAGCCAGCCTTCAGAGAGGTCTCCTGACTGCTTGCTACACTTTTTTCAAGGGATTGGACCACAACAGACTCAGCTACTTACCATTATAGTAGTGATTAACACATACAGAAAGGAGAGAAAATTTGGGTGATAAATGAAATGAGTCCATTTATCACTGAGAAAATTAATCTTCTACTTTTTCTGGTAACCAAAGATTTTATGGCAGGGAACTAAGATGCTAAGGTACCCAAAAACTAATTTTTAATTTTTTATCTTAATTTTTTAGCTCATCACCTGACAGAAATTTCTAAAAGAAACATGTCACCTAAACTCAACAAAATTAGTCCCAGGTTCTTTGAAAAGCATTTTTGAACCTTTGTTGCACAGCTTGAAAAGCATCAAGAACGGACTCTCCGGACTCTTCAAATGAGTGTTTGTTTTTCACATTCCATCTTTTCTTGGTGGAGCTTGTAGCATAAAATAACTTTCTCATTCATCCCCTACTTATGTTTATTCTGAACATTATATTTTTGTTGTCCCAGTTGGTTGTTGTGGAAAAGTCTGAATGACTCAAATGAGGAATCAGATCTGCAGTTCTAAATTTTATAAACAAGACCATATGACTTACAACATGGAAAGCAGACAGAAATTAAGCTCTCATGAAAAAAATTAAAATTAACACCCATATGTAATAGATATATTGTGTATATATGTACATACATAACAGATATACATCCTGGCATCCTTGAAATAAACTTTTGCTATAAAAAATGCTAGCAAATATGGTAAATTAAATAGTCCCATTTTCCCCTAATGTCCTTTTTAGTCATTTTTTTGTCTCTTAAATTTTGTGTGTGTGTTTAGGTAAAGCTTTTTGCTTAAATAGCTGTTTTTCCTTTAACTGGTACTTTTATGTAACCTTGCTGTCTTGACTTGAGTAACAGCTACTAGATATTAAGCAGCTGCTATATGCTAGGCCTTTCTATATGCTAGGCCTTATGCTTGGCACTTTGCATGTGCTACCTTTAAGAATAAAAAACTTTAGGACTTATTTCAATATACAGAAATATAAAAGGTAATATAGGGAAAAATCTATGCTCCCAGCACTGTTTAAGGCATCTTACAAATAATCTGCCATGTTTGTTTTGGTTACTTTTTTGTAATATAATAAAATTATATTGAATCAGTTGAAACCTCCTTTGTACCTCTTCCCACTCCCTAGAAAATCCTGCCCTGAAGTTTTTTATTCCCAGGCATGTTTTTATAATTATGTCACATCTGTTTGTATCTATAAACAATATATATAATTCTTTGTGTGTCTGTAAAATTTATATATGTATGCATCATTCTGCTGCTTTTATTTTTCTTTCAGTAAGTTTTTGGGATTTATCTCTAAATTCATTTTCAATCCCTATATCCCATTGCATGAATATATCAATCTCTTGTTGATAGACATAAGTTATTTCCAAATAACAGTACAGTGAAAATTTTTGTACTTGTCTCTTTGTGCATATGAGCAAGACTTTCTGTATGGTGTATACTGAAAAGGAGAGTTCCTAGATTTTACACACTTTATTAGATGTTGTGCCTTTATCCTCTTCAGTATGATATTATGAACCCCATTTTATTGATTTTATGTACTTATTATAATAGGTAATAAGTCACAGTGTTGGAATTTGAATAGCATGCTAGCTGACTCTAACACTCAGCCTCTGGCCACAAATTTGCTGCTTTATTTTAAGAGAAATGACACATAAAGATACAATTTTTTCATTTGTTCATTTGTTCATTCACTCAAAAAATATTGGATGGAAACATAGTCTACTGCTTAAAGATGAAGTCTATGAACTCAAACCGCCTGAATTCAAATCGTAACTCACCTTTTACTGGTTATGTGAGTTCTCTAAAGCTCTATTTTTTTCTGCTGTAAAATGTGGACAATTATAGTGCCTACATCAAAGAGTTATTTTCTTGGGATGGTTATAAAAGTTAAATGTATTAATATTTAAAAGCACTAAAAACACTGTTAGATGTTATATGGATGGACCAATAGATGGGTGCTTGGTTAAATAGATGATTGGATGGATGGAAGGAAGGATGGATGGATGGATGGATGGATGGATGGATGGATGGATGGATGGGATGGGGTGGATGGATGGATGGGATGGGGTGGATGGATGGATGGGATGGGGTGGATGGATGAATGGATGGATGGGTGGACAGGTAAGTGGGTGGGTGGGTGGATGAATGGATAGATGGGTGGATTGTTAGATGGATGGATGTTGGATGGATGAATGGTAGGTAGGATAGATAGGTAGGTGTTTGGTTGGATGGATGCTTGGATGGGTGGATGGGTAAGTGGGTGGGTGGGTGGATGGATGATTGGATGGGTGGGTGGGTTGGTGGGTAGGCAATTGGATGAATAGATGAATGGTTGGATGGATGTCTGGCAAATTATCTTCACGTATGCATTGTTCATAATTTCTTATGCACGTAATTTCTTAACCTTTGAAGCTTCTAAAGTTTGCAGAAGCCTTGACTCATTCCTCTCACCACCCAGATGAAGAATTGTAGACTGGATGGCCACCAGGAAAGGGGCCCACTGACCACTGTGTAGACACACTGTGGGCACATGGTTTTATGGCACAGGATTTTATGAGGCAGCACTAGCCTCTTAATGCTACTGTCTGGTTTATACTAGAAAAGCAAACATGCTTACAACTTTTAGTTGCTTTATTTCTGTCTCTCTGACAGGAAATTGTTAAATTTTCTTCCTCCTAACTCTGACCCTTACTCCATAGTACTAAGAACTCGATATCCTCATGCACAAAAGCTCTAGGACCCCATGTCTGCTATCTTTCCCATCTGTATAAGCTGTCCTCTGATCTGACCCTGAGATTTGCAACTGCTAAGAAGACCTGGTTATTATAAGCATCATGCTACCCTTGGGTAGTGTAGCCAGCAAATATTTTTACAGGAATTAGTTTGTCTCATTAAAATTCGATTAGATGCTTATTACCTAAGAGAGAAAAGGTCCTTGATAAAATAGGGAAATAGAATGGGCTAGAGCCAGCTGAACCTGGGATAAAAATAAAATCTCCATCACTTATCGGCTATACGACCTTGAGCCAAGCTGCTTACCCTTTCTAAGCCTGTTTATTTACCTATAAAAAGATAAAATAAGATCTTTTAAGTTTGGTATAAAGGTTAAAGATAACATTGATGGAGAAATAGTAGCTCTTCAAATGTAAAAATTTGGACCCCTTGCAAAGACTTGATCCTAAGCCAAAAGTTATCATGCTAGAGTGCAAACTCTGACCAGGATTTAAGCCCAAACACCCTACTTAATAGGTGTGTGACATGGACAAGTTACTTGACTTCTTGGTGCCTCATTTTATCTTCTGTAAGATGAGGAAATAATAGTGCCTACCTACCAGGGTTGGTGAGGGGACAAAACAAGATTATCTAAATGAAGATTTCACTAGGCTGCCTGGCTCATCTTAAGCATTTATTAATCGATTGATTGATTGATTGAGACAGGGTCTTATTTTGTGTCTCAGGCTAGAGTGCATTGGTGCAATCATAGCTCACTGCAGTGTTAAGCTTCTGGGTTCAAGTGATCCTCTCGCCTTAGCCTCTCAAGTAGCTAAGACTCCAGGCGCGCCACCACACCCAGCAATTTTTTGTATTTTTTTATTTTTTAGATGGGATCTTGTTGTTGCCCAGGCTGGTCTTGAAATCCTGCCCTCAAGCAATCCTCCCACCTCAGCCTCTCAAAGTGCTGGGATTACAGGCATGAGCCACCATGCCTGGCCAGTTATATTTATTTAATAAACATTTCTCTATATGTCAGACACAGTGCTGAGCATTTTGTATTCACCATTTTATTTAATTCTTCTAATGATGTTAAATAGGTATAATTAAACTCATTTGGCAAATATAGAAATTGTTCACAGTTGTTAATTAATTTGTTCATGAGCAAAGATTGGAGCTTAGATGTGTCTAAATCCTAATCTCATCCACTTGAGTCATTGAATGAGATGAACTTAGTTTGCCACTTACCTAAAGTCAGCCTCTTCCTTTTCTACATTTACCTACATTTCTTTCTAGCACTCTCCTAGTCTCTAATCTCTCCCTCTACCAAACTCTGTAAACATAGCTGGATTTGATAAACTCATTTAAACTAAAGTAAAAAGGGTCGGTAAAACTGCCACATCTATTCTTTAAGTAGCCTTTCCACTTCAAAAGAAGAAAAAGTCTTTGGTGAAGTTGTTAATTTCTAATTGCAAACATGCAAGCATCTACAAACACCTGGCTGAGAGTTCTCTCTCCTCCTCTCACCCCAGTTATCCCTAAAGTCAAATCATGGAGGTGTTTGCATCAGCACAAGGGAATCCTTGTAAATCTTAGGGGTTTAAGTGCACAGACACTAGAACCACACTGCCTGAGTTCAAATCCCAGCTTTGCTACCCATTACGTGTATAACCCTGGGCAAGTTACTCCATGTCTGTGCCTCATTTTTAAATTGGAGATATTAATATTATACCTGCCTTCTAAGGTAATGGTGAAAAATAAATGAATATTTATGTATGTATACATGTAGGTATGTACACACATATACACACATATATAATGCTTAAAAAGAGTGGACCATAATACACACTGGATATCATCATTTAAACTACCATTCTATCAGATATCATCATTTATTGTTTGTTTGTTTATTTATTTATTTGTTTTTGAGACGGAGTCCTGCTCTGTTACCCAGGCTGGAGAGCAGTGGCATGATCTCAGCTCACTGCAACCTCCACCTCCCAGGTTCCGGTGATTCTCCTGCCTCAGCCTCCCAAGTAGCTGGGATTACAGGTGCGTGCCACCACGCCCAGCTAATTTTTGTATTTTTAGCAGAGACGGGCTTTCTCCATGTTGGCCAGGCTGGTCTCGATCTCCTAACCTCGGGTGATCCGCCCACTTCAGCCTCCCAAAGTGTTGGGATTACAGGCATGAGCCATCACACCCAGCCTCATTGTTTATTAAAGCACTTTTTATTGAGCAATATTTATTACCTTCCAGGCACTTTTCTGGGCACTTGGGATACAACAGCATAACAGACAGAGGTAGGCCCTGCCCTTGTGGAGCTCAGAGTCCACTGGGGATGAAGCTGGCAAGGGAGAAATGTGACAAAAGGCTTCTTTCCGAGGTTTTATTAATGTCAAGACTCAAAGGATGAGAAGGAGCTTGGCACGTGCAGACCAAGGAGAACAGCATTCCAAGTGGAGTTAATGGCAGACGCAAAGACACTGAGGCAGGAAAGACCTTAGGATGTTGTAGGAATGGAGAGCACAGTGGAGTGGCCAAAGTGTTGCAAGAAATGTTAAGGTCATGAGAGGTGGGTTTGGCAAGGCAGCAGAGATTAGATCACACGGTGCCCTGGTGTTCTAGAGTTTGCAGTAAGTGTGGTGGGAAGCCATTGAAGATGTTTCAAATGTGGAAATAACTTGTGCATTCATTTCAACAAATATATACTGAGGGCCTATTACATTCTAGGCCTGGTCGAGGCAGTGGAGATACAGCAAGAAACCAACAAGAAGCTCTGCCCTCTCAGAGCGTACTTTGTAGTCAGCTATTTGTCAGTAAATGGCAACTCCATTCTTCCGGGTGCTGAAGTGAAAACCTTGGCTAGTTTTCAACACTTACATTCTACTTCTAACCCATCAGCAAATCCCTTTGGCTCTACCTTCAAACTATATATCCACTTATCATCTTCATCACCATGATCCTGGGGCCAAGCCACCCTCATTTCTTAGCTGGTTTGTTGCAATAGCTTCCTAACTGGTCTCTCTGCAAATGCCAACCGCCCCTGCAGTGTTTTCTCAACCCCACCTCCAGTGCGATTTTGTTCAAAGTAAGTCAGATCGTGTCATTTTTCTGTTCAGATCCCTTCAATGACTTCCCAACTCTGAGAAACAACCTGGCCTTACTATCTCTACAAGGCCCCTGTGTGTCTGTGTGATCAGTATTCCTTCTACCTAGGCTCCTCCCAACTCCTGCCTCAGTTCCAGCAAACACACCCAAACTCTGGTCTTAACTCCCAGCACCCTTCCCCTCTTTAACGCTTCTCCAGCAACCCTGGCCTCCTTGCTGTCCCTCAAACCTGCCAAGCACATTCCAGCCTCAGAGTTGTAGCCCACAGAATGTTGTCTGCCTGGAATCTCATTCCTGAGAAGTCTACATGATGCTTACCCCATCACTTCCTGTAGGTCTCTTCAAATGTCACCCCAACCAGGGAGGTGACTCCCAACCATGTCTTAGCCTGCTTTATTTTTCACTGTAATCCTTTTCACCACACCACCTGACTCTATGAATATATTTGTTCATATGCTCATTTCCCCTGCCAGAACGTTATTCATAGCTGAAGGCATGCAGGGGACTTCACTGTTAGAATCCTCAGTGCCTGGAACAGCACCTGGAACCAAAAATGTGCTTCAGAAATACTTGTTGATTAAATGAACAAATGAATCTACTTTACACTTTAAGAAGCCTGCTCCAGCCACTCTAGGGAGAATGACTTAAAAGGCATAAGAGCGGTCAGGAGGCCATTTCAGATCTCCAGCTGAGAGACGATGGGGACCCGGGCAAGGGTAGAGGCAGCACATGATATGAGAAGACACCAAGCATTTGGAGGAGGAGAAAGCAGCATTAGCAGAACTCTGCCCGAAGGCAACGTTTGCATTCCGTGAAGCTTTAGAAACCTCATGTGGGGAAAAAGCCATGTATGTTGAAATACATTTGTATGTGTGGGTTTATTCTTTTTCATTATTGAAAATAGCCCACGCCAGTGTAAGCTGATTGAGAATACATTCGTTTGGCTTCTCTAACGACCATTTCATCAGAAAAGCATTGCTTTAGATAGCAGAGTAGCTTATTTCCTCTAACCCTGGTGCCAGTGGGCTCCCTCAAGGACACCAGCTTGTGTGTACTGCCAGCTGCAAGTACCCACCCGTGCCCAGCCCAGGGCGGGGACCTTGGCAGCTTCTGCAGTTCTTGTCAGCCCTGAGTGTCAAGCGATCGCTATTTCCTGCACCCGGCCCTGTGGTTGGGCTCTGGAAGGTGCCCTGTTTTTCCTGACAGACATTTCAGACCGTTTGCTCTCTTTTTTTTGGCATTTCTATGTACGTTTTTTAATCATTCTGACCCTGTCTCAGGTCTTTCCCATCCACTGGAGTTAAAGGATGAACGGCCCTTCTGATTGGATTTTCCTGGATTCTTAGGAGCAAAAGAAAAAAAAAAAAACAGGAACAAAAGCAAAAGCAAAATTTATTTCTGGCCTTTATTAGTGTTTAATTAAAAGCTTGCTTTCCCCAACTCTTTGGCTGTGTTCAAGCTTTTCAAAATTCTGCAAGCACAGACAATATAGAGAGAATTTGACTCTTTAAGTTACAAGAGCTGCTTATTATGTCTAATTAGCACCATCAAATAATGACGGAATCTGCCATCATCATTGCTAAAGAAAAAAGTCATACCAGGTATTTCCCAAATGTTTCTCAGGAGAAAGTACCTTTTCTTTTAATAAATAGGCTACTACCAATTTTTAAATGAATTCAGTGTTTAAGTTAGAAACAATTTTGGTCAGGATACAAAGAATCTTAACTGTCAAATCATACTTAAATTTATGAAGCTATTTCTTCCTTAGGATTTTTATATTTTGAACTTTCTAGGTATTGATGCCAGATATAGTTCCAGCCGAGCTCATAAGATTTTGCTCTCAAATTCTTTTTGGGAATGAGATTTTTTTATTTTTTAGTGAATGTGTTTTTCCTTCAATAAACTTCAGAAACCAACTCTGAGTTTCAAAAATCTTTTTTTTCTTGAGATGTTAGTGCCAGAATCTGAACAGTCTCCTTTATTCAGCACACAGTTGCATCAGTTTAATTTTTTCAGGCTTATATACTAAATTAGGTTACAAAAATTCACCACACTTTTATCTGTGCATTGTGTTTTAAGTAAATCAAATTTAATTATGTTCTTTCTACCCTTTTTTCTTTTCTCCTGGCCTTTTCTTTGTTTTTTCTCTGAGCTAAATAGGTCATGCTTAAATCTATGAAGAAATAAATATGTGTGCATACTTAATGTATGACATATGAAAAATGTACAAATACATGTATGTATTTATGTATAGATAGGACTGTGTATCTGAAGTTTTTCCAGAAAGTAAAACCATGAGCCAACATATTCACTAAAGATAGCTTTCGCTTTTTTTCCACCAACCTTCAGCATTACTTTTAAACTTATAGTATGACTCTGAAATCATCAGTGCAAATAATATGGTTAGACTCCATAATAGGTGTATTCTTTAGAAAATTACTATTAATTTTGATGAAGTTTAGCAAATGAAAATTTGATAAACAACTTCATCTGTTTCCTTTGATTAAAAAGAAGAAAACAAGCTGGGCCCTGTGGCTCATGCCTTTAATCCCGGCACTTTGGGAGGCCGAGGTGAGAGAATTGCTTGAGCCCAAGAGTTCAAGACCAGCCTGGGCAACATGGTCAAACCTCATCTCTACAAAAAATACCCAAAAAATTAGCCAGATATGGTGGTGTGTACCTGTAGTCCCAGCTACTCAAGAGGCTGAGGCAGGAGGATTGCTTGAGCCCAGGAGGTTGAGGTTGCAGTGAGCCGTGATTGCACCACTGCACTCCAGAGAGTTATGTGCTGAAGCTCCCACATTATTGGCTTGCCTGGCTTGTCTGTGAAGTGGGAGTATGCCATGGGCTACTTCACTGGGGAGGACTGAGTATCAAGTGTAAGGCAGAAGAGTGAGACATACTCAAAATGTGGCAATTGCATTTGTTCAAGAAGTATGCAAAGCACCTGTCCAAGAACGACAAGGGGGGTAGGCACAGGCTTGAGGGATCTGTGAGAAAAAAGACAGAGGATGTGGCCTGGGAAACCACAGTGCCTTCCTCAGCCACAGCAGCTGCATTCATTATTTACTGCTGTCTAATGTCATCAGTCTGTTCTAATAGATGTTGTAATGGGATGAACAGCTTTATCTGTTTCCTTTGTGTGATTTGCACATATCCTGTGGGAGCTAAGGATATTGGAGTCAGGTGGTATGAGTTCCAATGCTGGCCCACGTCCTTTACTGGCTGGGTAACTCAGAGCATGTTTCTCAACCCATTTGAGCCTCAGTTTCCTCATCTGTAAAATGGGAACATGATATCTCGTGATGTTGTCGGGTTTAAATGGGAGAGTGCCATGTGACTGCTTAAACAGATGCCTAGAACATGAAAAGAACTCAATAAATTATAGTTTAGAAAAAGGCCTTGGCCACGAAAAGAGGTAAAATAAAAAAAGAGAGAAGGAAAAGCATCCCAGAAATGGGACTATAACATGTTTTACATACTGATATATGTCATATAGGTGAAATTACCTAAAATAAGAATGAGAGGAAATGGATATTTTAAAGCAGAAGCATTAAATTATGATTGATCTGATAAATTGTTGCAACCTTTTTATAGCACAGTCTAGTTGTTTCCAGTCAAAATGTAAGATATTTGTTCTCTATGACCAAGCATTTCCATTTCAGGAAATCCTCCTAAGGACATTCTCATGTAATGGCGCACGTGCAAGGATTTTCATATTTTCATATTTCAAATAGCAAAGCAGTGAGAATAAACAGAATAGTTCATTAAATGACAGTACCTCGGTACTATGGGATTCTATGAGATCAGGAGAGAGAATGGAGTTGAAAATTGGCTCAGATAATTGTCAATGATATATTTTTTGGGTAAAAACAAAAATATTGGCCCAGATAATTGTCAATGATATATTTTTTGGGTAAAAACAAAAATATTGGCCCAGATAATTGTCAATGATATATTTTTTGGGTAAAAACAAAAACAAAGTACAAGACAATATATGGGATGTGTACATGTGTATGTATATATGTATGTATGTGTATTGTTATGGATATATGCAAGCAATGTGTGTATGTATGTGTTCATGTATGTGTGGAGGGATGGGGCTGGACATGTATAGCCCAAATTATTAATAAATAATTTTTACCTCTGGGAAGTGTAAGTGGATGAAGGAGAAGTTTCTGCTTCTCTTACTTTCATATTATTCTGAAATCAAATATTTTATAGCAAGAATATCTATAATATTTTTACAATTTTGTAAAATGTCCTATTCAAAACATTTGATCCAGGCTCTTGTGTAGACCATTTCTGGAGAATAAAGATCTGTTTAATTTAACTTTGTGTCCATTCACACAGTGCCAGAAGGTAGTAGTGTCTCCAAGTGTTTGTCTAGTATGTCCATTTAAAAATGATTGTTCACTTGGCACGGTGGCTCATACCTGTAAACCCAACACTTTGGGAGGTTGAGATGGGTGGATCACTTGAGTCCAGGAGTTCACGACCAGCCTGGGCAACATGGCAAAATTTCATCTCTACAAAAAATACAAATTAGTCGGGCATAGTGGCAACACCTGTAGTTCTAGCTACTCAGGAGGCTGAGGTGGGAGGATCACTTGAGCCCAGGAGGTTGAGGCTGCAGTGTGCTGTGATCATCCCACTGCACTCCAGCCTGGGCAACAGAGTGAGACCCTGTCTAAAAACAAAACAAAACAACAAGAAAAATACAAAGACTATTAATTATTATTGATATGAATACTATTGAAAAAAAAGGTCGTGTTTGTGCTCTTTTAAGAACTATAGAGTTTTTATCATTAAAGCAACATATGTTAATAAATTTAATTGTTAGAGATATGCATGGCTTAGAACATGAAGGTTCTTTAATGGTTATTAACAGGGCATATATTTGCCAGATATTTTCTAAACCTATAGTGACATACATATCATATCATTATAATATAAATTTTTACAGAGGTGAGATCACCCTATACTTACCTGGCAGGGGAGATACCATGATCACGAGGTGAGATCACCCCACATAATTTATTCTAAAATGTATTTACTTACATGTCTTACATACTGATATATGTCATTATTTTTAATAAGTGTTGTATATTCAATGGTATGAATGAACCATAATTAATTTTTAATAATTACATCAGTCTCCTATTGATGGACATTAAGTTGTTGTCAATTTTTTTTGTTTTTGTTTTTGTTTTTGTTTTTTGAGACAGAGCCTTGCTCTGTTGCCTAGGTTGGAGTGCAGTGATGCAATCTCGGCCCACTGCAACCTCCGCCTCCTGGGTTCAAACAATTCTCCTGCCTTAGCCTCCCAAGTAGCCGGGATTACAAGCCTGTGCCACCATGACCAGCTAATTTTGTGTGTGTGTGTGTGTGTGTGTGTGTGTGTGTGTGTGTGTGTGTGTTTTGTAGAGGTGGGGTTTTTCCATGTTGGCCAGATTGATCTCAAACTCCTGGCCTCAAATGATCTGCCCCCTCCTCAGCCTCTCAAAGTGCTGGGATTACGGGCATAAGCCACCATGCTTGACCTGTTTCTAATTTTTACTAAGACAATGCTACAGTAACCATTCTTATACATAAAACATTTGTGGGAGCATTTCTGTGAAGTGAATACTTTGAAATGATATTGCTGGAATTTGGAAGGAATTTGGTTTTCCGAAAATTCCACAGCTGAGTGCGGTGGCTCACACCTGTAATCCCAGCACTTTGGGAGGCCGAGGCGGGTGTATCACTTGAAGTCAAGAGTTCAAGATGAGCCTGGCCAACATGGTGAAGCCCCGTCTGTAATAATACTAAAATTAGCCAGGCGTGGTGAAGTGCGCATGTAATCCCAGCTATTCAGAGGCTAAGGCAGGAGAATTGCTTGATTCGGGAGGCAGTTTGTGGTGAGTCGAGATTGCTTCACTGCACCCCAGCCTGGGCAACAGAGCAAGACTCCATCTCAAAAAAAAGAAAAAAAACAAAGGTTGTATCTATTTATGCTACTACCAAGTGAATAAGAATCATTCTTGTCCACATTCTAGCTAGCAACTTTGATTTATACCAGTCTGCTGGCCAAAAATGTACATTTTATTTGTTTTTATTTTACTTCATTTATTAGTAGAGATGTCCAATTTCCATAACTTTCTTAAGGACCATGATACTTGGAATACTGGAGTTGTTCTTGCCCGATAACATTGGGGGAAACACATACTGTGTTTTGTCACAGTATAAATTGGTTTGAGAACAATTTTAGAGCCAGACTTGAGAGCAGGTTTTAGTCTCCTAGAGAATATTTGTCATCTCAGAGTGATATGGAATTTCCTTGTATAGTTAAAATAGGTTTATATAGAGCATTGCTGGTTAAAACCCAAGTGCCATAAAGATAGATGTTCACACAGCCTCTCTGTTATGCACTAAAATCTTAAGCTTTAGAAATGGCTGAGAATAGTTATTGCTTTTTATAATCACTATACTATTCGGTTTCATATTGTGGTTTCCTCCTTTACTGTTTAGTGAATTTCAGCAATTTTGTTTTATCTCTTCTGTAAATGGCCTAAACTTCATTTAGATGAACTGAGAAGGAATCACCAAGGCCTTTATTTATTTTTTTAAAAAAACAAGTGAGAAAGCTTGGGGTAGGAGAACAGAATGCTGCACCATTTATTTTTTCTTTTTTGTCTTAGATGCCCAGGGGTTTTTGAGCTTCTTTGGCCATCTAAATTCATATTTATTAACTTAAATATAATTTAACCAGAGTCGAATTGTCTCGATGAGATTTCATAGCCACGAGCGACCATGAAACTGTCATTTGTCTCATTTGGGGAGGCACCAGAACTGATTACTCAGGAGATGATTGAAACTGCTGATCCCATTAATGCCATGGTTATTCTGGAGATAGTGCCCTGAGGGTGAAGATGGGTTGACCCACAGATTTGTTTGTATATAGACTTTAACCAGAGCCAGGCTGACTCAGAGGCAAACTGGAATTGCTGCAGGAAGTTTCCCAATGAATGTTTTTGTCATATTTTTTAGCTGCTCACTCACCACTGGCATACCATTAGCACCCAGTCTCCCTTCTGGAGGTGCCCACCAGGCAGATGGCAAAATGGCAGGTCCCAGCGCATGCTTCCTGCCGTGGC
Source organism: Homo sapiens (assembly GCF_000001405.40). Taxonomy (NCBI): domain Eukaryota; kingdom Metazoa; phylum Chordata; class Mammalia; order Primates; family Hominidae; genus Homo; species Homo sapiens. The sequence continues at coordinate 69,364,344 of NC_000003.12, read as the reverse complement.
CACCAAGGGGCCAGCTTGTCCTCTGTCTGTCCCCTGGTTCAGCTTGGCTAAACTTGCATGTTCCTGTCTTCTGAGTTTGAGCTAAAAGGACAGGATGTTTGGAAGTCAGAATCATCAAGGCAGTAACTGAGGTGAGTGGGACAGGCAAGATAGTCGCGTGACATAACTTGTTACTTTGCTCCCTGTGGGTTCTCTTGTTTTGTGTTCATTTTCTAAGCCTGATTTAAACATCCATTCTTTGCTTCTTTCATCCTGAGAGGCCTGATTTGGTTCAGGGATCAATATCACCCCCTTGCCCATATAACTTGGGTAAATACTGATTGATTGGTCTCTAACCCAGTGCTTCCCTACTTTCTCTGATGTCATAGAATACACAGAAAATGATAGTGTTTGTGTGGCACCTGGAGTAAATGGAAGAAGCTGCTCAGGCTGGAGGTGATCACCAAATTGTCTCTGGCTGCCTCCAGTCCTGAAAAGACCAATAGCTCAGTACACCTGTTGCCTCAGTACACTGGTTTTGAAGCTGTGGTTGAAGCTAGTCATGATGACCTTATTCCTCTGCCAGGGATTGGTTAAGGGTAAACATAGGACCCAGCTCTGGTCAATGGGGAGCCATTTCTTAAAAAGCTGTCTGTTCTTGAAAATAGGCATGGCTGGGCCAGGTGCAGTGGCTCACGCCTGTAATCCTAGCACTTTGGGAGGCCAAGGCAGGCGGATCACGAGGTCAGGAGATTGAGACCATCCTGGCTAACATGGTGAAATTCCGTCTCTACTAAAAATACAAAAAATTAGCCAGGCGTGGTGGCAGGCGCCTGTAGTCCCAGCTACTCGGGAGGCTGAGGCAGGAGAATGGCGTGAACCCAGGAGGCGGAGCTTGCAGTGAGCTGAGATTGTGCCACTGCACCCCAGCCTGGGCAACAGAGCAAGACTCCGTCTCAAAAAAAAAAAAAAAGGCATGGAGGCCAGGTGCAGAGGCTCATACCTATGATCCCAACACTTTGGGAGGTCAAGATGGGAGGATCACTTGAGCTCAGGAGTTCAAGACCAGCCCGGGCAACATGGCAAGACCCATCTCTATTTAAAAAAAAAAAAAAAACATGGTAAAAAGAAGTGATCCTTTTTTTTGGAGTGGAGATGTGAGAGCTTCAAGGATGGCAGCTATATTGCAACCATGAGGGAATGTTACGTAAGAAGAATGGGCCGGGTGGAAAAATAGAAGAAGCCTGGGACTTTTACGATATTGCTAATCTGTTGACCTCACCAACCTTGGCACTGCCCTACCTGGAGATACTGAGAATATAGATCCATATTATTAAAGTTATTTTCACTTTTTGTTTGTTTTTTTTTTTTTTACTGTAAAAAGCATTCTGATACAATATAAGCTCAGGACTTGAAGGTCAGGACTTATAGAAGAATTGTCCAACAACAACAACAAAAGTATTCAAAATGAAAAACTTTTTAGGAAACATATAATAAAAATTGGAGATGTGCTGATATAAGGAAAATGTTTAAGTTCAGAATAAGATGGGCAGGAATAGAAAGAAATTGTTTAAAATTCACAGTTCTTTATTTTAAAAAGTATGGGATTTTTAAATTAACATGATAGTTTGTTTTTGTTTTTTGTTTGTTTTTTTGGGGGGGGGGTTGGCTTTTTGTTGTTGTTGTTTTGAGATGGAGTCTCACTCTGTCACCCAGGCTGGAGTGCAGTGGCACGATCCCGGCTCACTGCAACCTCCGCCTTCCAGTTTCAAGCGATTCTCCTGCCTCAGCTTCCTGAGTAGCTGGAATTACAGGCATGCGCCACCGTGCCCAGCTAATTTTGTACTTTTAGTAGAGATGGGGTGTTACCATGTTGGTCAGGCTGGTCTCGAGCTCCTGACTTCGTGATAGTTGTCTTAACCAGAAATATTTACCAGTGTCTCAGTGAAATGCTAGAGAACTGGAAAGGATTCCAATTAACAATTGTGAGAGGCAGAAGAGCACACAAGTCAAGAGCCTGAAATTTGGAGCCAAACTGTGTAGGTTCAAAGCCTTCATCTGCTACTTCCTGGCTGTGATTTCATGTAAGTTATTTAACCTCTCTATGCCTCAGTGTTCTCATCTGTAAAATGGAGATAATAATAATAGTCCCGACCTCAAAGTTATTGTGGAGTTTATATTTATAATAAACAGGAACAGAGTATGGCACATATGAAGTACTATATAAGTGCTTGTTATTATTAATCTACAATTATCACCTAAACCTATACCTGTGCAAACAAAAAGTCACTTAAACACAAATGCTTCTACTACTTCACAGTCACTAAAATAACTAAAATTAAGAAGACCTATAATACCACATTTTGGCAAAGATGTGGGATAACCAGATCTCTCATATATTGGCAGTGTAAAATGGTATGACCTTTTAGGAAATTATTTGGCAGTTAAACGTACATTCATCCTATGATCTGTTAGCTCTATTCATGCACATTTATTCAAGAGAAATGAAAACATATGCATGTGCACACACATGCATACACACACAGCTTGTAAAAGAATATTCATAGCTTATAACTTCTAATACCCCCAAACTGAGAACAACTGATTTCCATTAACAAGAGAGGAGATAAATAAACTATACTATATTCATGCAATGGATACTACTCAGCGATCAGAAAATGAATGAATTGCTAATACATGCAACACCATGAATGAATATCAAAAACATTTTGCTCAGTAAAAGAAGCCAGGTATTAAAAAATACATACTCCATAATTCAATTTGTATGAAGTTCTACAACAGGAAAAACTAATCTATTGTGATAGAAATCTGAATAGTGGTTGTTATGGGAGGTAGGGAAAGATTGGCAGAGGTAGCTTTCTGGAAAAGTTTTATATCTTGGGGGGGATGTGGATAACATGGCTGTAATACCTAAAATATGTATTTTTATTATGCATCATTTATAGTGTAATTTTCTAAATGAAACAAAAAGCAGTAACAGACACTGCCCAGGTTTTGAGTAGTAAATGCACAAGATGAGCATCTTTTTATCCCAGGTAGCAAGGAAGCTGACAAATACTACTGGTAGCAAGGAAGCTGACAAATACTACTAAAACCATGTCACAAGGACTTGGAAACTGGCTTGAAGAGGCTCTCACTCACCAAAATGGCCCAATCTGAATATCAGTAAAGAAAATTTTAAAAAAAGAAAATAACTTTAATGGATTGAAACACATAAATTATATTTAAATGCATATGTTCATAATGACAAAATGCACTTTGACCACCCTTGAAAGTACCCAACTCGTTATTTTGGAAACTGGCAAATAAAGATAAAGAGTCAAACATTTTCTCTGCCTTTCTTGTATGAATTATACTACTGGGTAACCAATTAATAGATAAGGAAAAAAATCTCTCATTATAGAAATATTCTCACTAGTAAGTAAGGGATAATAGAATTAGAATGCCATCATACTGCCACTTCTAATTAATTAAATGATATAGCTGTTGAGCATTAGCAGCTGCTAATGTCACAAAAAGAAATGGCTCTTCTAATGAAAAAACACAAGTGGCGACCTATGAGATAGTATTGCCAAAAAAGATCTAACTGAAATCTGATAAAGCCTTGGGACTCAACCAACCTACAGGAACCATGGTAAACAGAGGAACATTTAAGTGACACCAAGGGAATGCAATCAGCAAAACTTAGGTGCTAGGAGAATTTACAGGATAAACAGCCTAGTTTCTTCAACAAATGAATTGCAATGAGAGAGAGAGGAGAGAAAAAGAGAGAGATGGATGGAACAGGAACCTGTAGGTTAACAGAGACCTAAGGAAAATATCAACCAGTTGCAAAATGTGGAGCTTTTTTTTATTTTGATTCAAACAAACTTGGGGAAAAAAGACATTAATCAGATAATTGGATATTTGAAGACTAGAGATCTGATGATATTAAGGAATTACTGTTAACTTTTTTAAGTATTTAGGGTTATGTTTAAAAAAGAGTCCTTATCTTTTATATTGAATTATTTACAGATGAAATTACTTAAGTCTTGGTTTTGCTTCAAAATAATACATATAGGAGGACAGAAAGTAGGCAAGAATATAAATGAAACAATATTAGCCAGGTGTTGATAACTTGAAACTAGGTGGAAAAATGGGAGGTGGTTATGACACTGGTCTTTGACTTTTTGTGTGTACTTGAAATTTTCCACTACAAAAACTTTTTTGTTTTGGTTTTAAAGGAATACAAAGGGAGAGAGAAAGGGGAAAACAAAACTCCAGGTTCTGCAGAAAGACAGGAAGGAAATCTAACAGAATGCCTGAGTGTTAACCCCTGGATGCATTCCACCTTGTCTACAATGGCCAAATGGAAAGGCCATTTGTAAGAGCATGGGCCCTGGGTTCAAATCCTGTTCTTCTACCCCCAACTGGGGAGACTTATGCTACCAGACATCTCCGTGCTTCAGTTTCCCATTTGTAAAATGGATTTCAAGAATGAACTTTGAATACCCTTTTCTCTTCATTTTTCCAAACACAGAGATGAGACTCAATTTTACAAAGTTTATGTGCGTCACCTAAAAAACTGCACGTGCCTTATGGTAAAACCAAGTCAAAAGTCATGGCCTTCAACCTGTGAAACAGACAGAAAGGAAACCCCTATCATGCCTGCTTCTCTCCCTACCTCTTTTCATCTCTGTTTTTCCATTTATGGTTAAGAAAACAAGAAAATTCGCCGAGCACAAAAGTTTTCCCTCTTTTTCTGTCTAGAGGGGAATATGAGTAATGAACTTTTCCATCAGGGTTGTTTTTCCTGGACATAGTGCACCCCCTCCAGCTGCTAAAACATGTGATCCTGAAGGAGACCTTAAATAAACTTAAATGTTCCTTATCGGTCAGTCCCAGTTTGTACTAAATTATGAATTAATTTTCTGTATTTGGTACTTTTCCTTTTTAAACAGAAGTTCTATTCATTCAAAATATTAGTTGAGAACTTTCCAGGTTCCACGTGTTATAGCCCTGAACAAGGCAGAAATGGTCCTGAAACCAACTAACCTGTGGCTGGCTCTTTCCTGACCTCCAGTCTTAATCCAGGAGCTCACTCTCCCCATACAGCGTTCTCCACCCCTCTTTATCATGTCCTCCTGCTTTATTTTCCTCCTAAGTCTTACTCTTGTCTGAAATTACCTCATTTATGAATTAAATTATTTTTTGTTTCATGCCACCCTCTGGATACCTCTCCTGCTCACTGCTGTTCCCCCACCACTTAGCACCATGCCCAGCAGAGCTAGCTACATAATTTACCAGACTCTACATATCTTTTCTGTGTCTATAGCCAAATACCACAGACTGGGTAATTTATAAAGAAAACAGATTTATTTGGCTCATGGTTCTGGAGGCTGGGAAGTCCAACAACATGGCACTGGCATCTGGCAGGGTCATCCCATGGCTGAAGGCAGAAGGGTGCACAGGTTCACAGGAAGAAACAGGAAAAATGTGGGCTGAACTTATCTTTTATTAGAAGCCCACCTCCATGATAACTCATCTACTTCTGTGACAATGAATTAATAATCCATTATCATGTCTTGAAGGTCCCACTTCTTTTTTTGTTTGTTTATTTGTTTGTTTTTGAGGCAGGGTCTCACTGTGTCACCCAGGCTGAAGTGTAGTGGCAGAGTCTTGGCTCACTGCAGCCTCAACCTCCCAGGCTCAAGTGATTCTCCTACCTCAGCCTCCTGAGTATCTGGGACTATAGGCGCATGCCACCACACTTGGCTAATTTTTGTGTATTTTGTAGAGATGGAGTTTCACTATATTGCCCAGGCTGGTCTCAAACTCCTGAACTCAAGCAATCTGTTTTTTTTGGCTTCCCAAACTGCTGGGATTACAGGCATGTGCCCCCCGGATCTGGCCAGTCCCACCTCTTAATACTGTGAAAATGGCAATCAAATTTTAACATGAGTTTTAGTGGGGACATTCAAACCATAGCACAATGCAAAATGAAAATGTGGGATTCCTTGTTCAAAAATGATTAAGAATTGTGAGACAGCAGAACACTAAACCAAGCATGAGGCCCTTCTGAGCACTGAATCCTGTGGGCCTACATAGGCCACACACCCAGCTCTGACATCCAATACCTGATAGACATTCAAAAAATAATTACTGCAGTGAATGCAAATTTAAGAAAAATCATCAGGTATCCAAGGAGCTCTGACATACAGATTGATAAAAGATTAAAAACAGAAACCAGCATGTGTGTGAAAGAAATGTGTAATTCCTCAATTGCAGAGTTGACTATGAGGTGACAAATAAAGTGATTACTCTTCTCTTTTTGAGAGATGCCAGGTCCAGGCTGCAAATTTTTCGAAGGTCAGAACCATGGTGTTTTCATATTTGACTTCCTTGTAAGGCCTCTGCATGTATTTGATGCTCAAGAAATATTTGAACTGAAACTGAATTGTTTCTAGAGGCTGAATTAGAGAAGGATGAGAAGTTATGAGGAAATATTTTTTCTTTAGTGCAAACCTCACTAAATTTAGGAGGAGATGAGCTGGTCTTCAAGTTTGTCCTCTTACTTTATGACAAATGGTTTAGTGCTATGCCCAGCTGTCAGAATTTTGGAAAACTGCAATACATTGCCTCTGTTGTGATTTTATGGTGCGTCTGGCATTCATTCAGTATGTGAAATGTTCTGTGATGAAAGTGATAGTTTTGAGATAAAACGCAAAGCTTCTCCTAAAGACAAAAATTGGGATCCTGCTTCCACAAATTTTTCCTTAAATTGGTGGACATATTTCCTTTATTCCACCCTCACAGTCAATAAAACCCTCCACAAAGTCACCAATACATATGTACAAGCTCACCAGTTAGGTGATCATCCAACTGTGTCACAATTTGTATTTTATAGGCACAGTTTCACATATAAGCTCATATTTCATTTGGACCTATTCCAGGATATAGTTTCATTTTCAACGGGACTCCTAAACAGGGCTCCCCAAGTCTACATTCCTGAATCCCAGGTTAAGCCCTGCCTTGTATCTGGCTGCACGGCAGAAGGCATTTGGAAGAACATTTGTTTCAAGTTGGATATAGCATCAGCTTTGCCACTGTCCCATTCTGGCCTTTGAATGCCAGTTATCTGGGACCCCTTCTGATTTACTGATTACAAAACTCCTATCTGATACCCTACTACTGCAGGAATTATCCATTTCCTCACGACTGAATCCCTGGCACCTATGCCCTTGTCCCGTCTTTGCACCTAGAGCCCCACCAAACTCTCCAATCCTGTGTTTATAAGCACCCACATTCTTGAACAGTGTTGGTCAGTGGACTAATGGTGTCAGATTCCAATTATCCTTTCTCACACAAACTGACATATTAGATAGGATATTTTTGTTTGCAAATAAAGTTTTGTTTAAAAATCAGAACCAGCTTGAGCAGAAACGGAAATTATAGACTCAGTAACTGAAAAGGCCAGGGAATGACTTCAGGTTCAATGGCATTTCATAATTCAGACAGTGACATTGGAGTATGTCTCTCTCCAACTCTTCTGTCTGGCATGAGGTTTCCTGGTAGCCCCAGATTTTCATCCAAGCAACTTTGTAACTCCAGAACAAACAAAAACAAAGATACTTCTTCTCTGATCCCTATGACTAATGGGTATGGGGTGTATTAGTAAGGGTTCTCTAAAGGGACAGAGTTAATAGGATATTATATATATATGTATATATATTATATATATGTATATATACGTGTGTGTATATATGTATGTGTGTGTGTATATATATATCTATATATAAAGGGGAGTTTATTAAGTATTAACTCACATGATAACAAGGTCCCACAATAGGCCGTCTGCAGGCTGAGGAGCAAGGAGAGCCAGTCCGAGTCCCCAAACTGAAGAACTTGGAGTCTGATATTCCAGGTCAGGAAGCATCCAGCACGAGAGAAAGATGTAGGCTGGGAGGCTAGGCCAGTCTTGTCTTTTCACATTTTTCTGCCTGCTTTATATTCTGGCCACAGCGGCAGCTGATCAGATGGTGCCCACCCACATCACGGGTGGGTCTGCCTTTCCCAGCCCACTGACTTAAATGTTAATCTCCTTTGGCAATACCCTCAGAGGCACACCCAGGATCAATACTTGGCATCCTTCAATCCAATCAAGTTGACACTAAGTATTAACCATCACATGGGGGTAGAGTGATTTTATTGGTCAGTCTTGAATCACATATTCATCTTCTTTATATGGGGATATGGGGTTCCCCCCTACCCCCAGTTATTTGGATGGTGTCCCCAAAGAAAAGCGGGGATCCTGTTTCCTAATTTTTTTTCTTTTTTGAGATGGAATCTTGCTTGCTCTGTCACCCAGGCTGGAGTGCAGTGGTGTGATCTCAGCTCACTGCAACCTCCGGCTCCCAGGTTGAAGCAATTCTCCTGCTTCAGCCTCCCGAGTAGCTGGGAATACAGGTGCCGGCCACCACACCTGGCTAATTTTTGTATTTGTAGTAGAGATGGGGTTACGCCATGTTGGCCAGGCTGGTCTCAAACCCCTTACCTCAGGTGATCTGCCAACCTCAGCCTCCCAAAGTGCTGAGATTACAGGTGTGAGACACTGTGCCCGGCCTCCTAATTTTAATACTCCTGGTAGACTCCATCTCTATGTGTTCTCACACCATAACCTGAGCTTACCCAGCCTCCCCCCTAATTTGGTCTGTCAACCTTCATCTGGCCCTCAAGCTGCCCTGGCCTCCTGGTTTTAGCCTTGCCTAATCTAGCCCAACTTGCTGCTGAAACTGGCTATCAACATTCCGATTGTCCTTCAACAGTGAAAACATTTTTACCATACAATCAGAAATGTCCCACTAGTTCTCTCAGTCGACTCTCCAACCCAGTAAGAAAAGGTACCATGTATTGAGTTTTTACTGTTATATATTAACAAATAGAAGGTTCTGTCAAATAAAGTAATACAATAATTCCCCACCTTCCAAACAAGAAGACTCAGGCAAATGTTTTGGGTCAACCTATATAAAATTTTAGAAATGTATATGAAATATTAGAAAATTTACTCCTAATATTAGGAGTGCTCATAACACTTGTTATGCAGATTAATAACTGGAGTGATTTCTGCCTTGTGCTCTCCCTCTTGATAGGATAATTTTATTCAGCTTCTTCATGTGCATGTGTGTGCTGGCACTGGAACAAAAGTCCTCTTTGAGTCATCCTTTTATCACAGCGCAGCATCTCCACTTCTGCCCAAGTTGTTTGAGCTATATAGCACTTTTTCAATCTCCATATATGATGCTTTTCTGGGAATATCATTGCCCAGCTTTTTTTTTTTTCCTTTTTCCATTTATCCTACAAGTATATGTGCATGAAATAATGTTTAAGTAACTTGTTTCTTCTAACATCCAACCCGTCCAATTGGGAGGTCACGTGCTCACAAATAATTACTAAATATGTATTAAACTTTTTGCCACCTTTTCTACTGATATCATCAAGTGACTTCTATTTGCATCCAAACTTAGCATTGACTGAAGTTGTTACAGGCTGCCATGTCTTCCCCAGACAGTATATTGTGGTCATAGTAATTAGAGTCTTTAGAAGGATCTGAAGATAAAGCCACTCCCCGGTTTCTGAGGGATTAACATTTTGTGGGGGTAAAGGGAGGTACCCCACCCTATATTTAGATACCTGTGGTATCTCCCAGGCAAATTCTTTGAGCTTTGCATGAACTATCTCTTTTAATTTCCCCAGCACTCCTGAAGGAGATCAGGATTTTTATCTCCATTTTACAAAGGAGGGAACCAATTCTCAGAAAGATCAAGTAACTTTCCCAAGGATATATACAACTGTAAAACACGAGGTTTCTCTGACTCTAGAGAGTCTTAGAGATTTAATCTTATGGTTATATTCTTAACCATACCATACTCCTGAGCAAAATTCCAGACTGTTCTTTTTTTCAGGAGGGAGAAGCATGATACCCTGTCACAAACTTTTACTTAGTCATTCTCTTTTTTTAAAAAAAGTAAATTTATTATTTTTCCAGTATTCTATATGTTTTTCTCTCTGCCTTCAAGCATAATGTATTTTGATTATTTCCTATTCACTGAATGACTTCAATAGTAATGATTTCATTAAATGCAAATAGTGAAATGAATCTTTTCTGAGACCACGTCATTCTGCCAAGATTTTCTGTTGTGGCTGGCATCTCTGATTGATTTTACTAAGGTTGTTCCATGGAATTCTAAGTTTCTTTCTGAGTGGAAAAGCTGTTAACATCAACTGGCTGTGAGTAGCAAAGTTGAGTTAAATATTGTTTTTATTTATATTCATTAAATTCCCAGCCTCATCCAGAACATGCATAGAAGTTTAGATTCATACATGGCATCGCCTATCTCTGAATAATTACCCAACCTAAAGCTTGCATTATCAAGGAAGTTTAGAAAACAGTAGATGACATTTCATCATATGTTTTAAATGTGTTGTAAAGAAAGCGTTTGAGTGGCCAAAAGAAATAGCAGAAGTTTTTTAGTTGTTTTTATTTTCCCATTTCTCCCGTGACTCATATTGAAAGGCTTTTGTTTCTAATCAAAGAAACAAACAGTATGGTCATTTCCTTGAGATTATATGGCAGCGGAAGGCGTCGGGAGTTTTTAAGTTCCTACTTCCACTGGCTTGTAGTTGGAGAAAATGCAAGCACATGCGCGCACACACACGCGCGCGCACACACACACACACCGCACAAGTGCTTAATACGTGTGTCTTTTGTCTTAAGCACTCTCTTCAGTTCCTTTAAATGAGCCGAGGTCATGGTGGTTCGGAGGTAAGAATGATTTTTTTTTATGATCTTCCAGTTGCAGACTGTGTAACGGTGCTTCTTCAGCTTTGACTGGCATTTCATAGCAAAATCTTGGGCAGATTTTAATATTGTACTGGGGGTGGACTAATCTAAGAACTAATATTGCAGAACCCAACTTGCAGAAAAGGAAATTACAAGAAATGTTTATCTTCACTCTTGTGAAGGAATTACTTTTTCCAAAACGGAGTTGGATGTGCTCTGTTTGATACCAAGTGAAGATGGTCCTTAAAGACGCCCATCGTCTGGAGGGTTTTCCTGTCATTGTTTTAATGCTATCTTTGCTCCTTTAAAGGTCGTGAAAGGCTGATTTCTTATTTTGCTTTAGAACTTTGGCAAATATGAAGTATGTAATTCCACTTCATCACCCTTTCCCCTGCTCCCACCACTCTCCTTTTTTCTTCTTCTTTTTTTTTTTAAATTTTAAATACTGGAGTTTCTTTATGGATGTAGAAAAGACAGAGAGAGGGCAGGAACTGTGTCAGTAAGCAACACAGAAATGCTTTTTGATTTATAATTGTTCATCGTTTCATCAGCAAGATGTGTTTGGGGCCTTCCCTGTTTTTGTGAACACTTGGCAACAAAAATTCCGTGGTGTCCTAGAGCTCATTAGCAGCCCATCTGAAAGGATCCTTTGATGTGGGTCCCTGCTTTGCCTCCAGAAAGAAGAAGGAAAATTGAATTTTGTCCTCCAGTCTAGTTTGTGGTGAGGATTCTATGTGATCAGAATTCAGCAGTTCAAGATAGAAACCTCGGAAATGCCATTTTTGGGGACGGCTTCCAATTAATTAATAAAACTTTTATGATTTGTCAGAGGAAGTCCTACATCCTTATTAAAGGGAAGGTTTTTTTTCTTTGCTGCCTTGTAATGTGGTTATGGCAAACTCATTAAGTCCAACTCCATGTGGCCATTTTTCTTCCTTGATGGGTAGATGTTGATGGTGGAGGGGAGGAATATCTGGGTAAAAAACAAAGGAAATTATCTCATCCAGTAGACTGCAAAACTCCTGGGGATAGAAGGAAGTCTGTAGAGGAAGTGGGCAGGATTGGGTAGAGAAGAGAAACATCAAAGAAATTAAATATATCACAATAGGAACTGGAATAGTACCCTTTTGCTATAATGTAACAACATAATAGTGTAGCCTTAGAAATGAGTCCATTGTCTCTAAATCGGTCCTATCTAAAGGTATCTAATGTCCGAAGGAGTGAAAAGGAATATAATCTTATCCAAATGCAGTCCTGTGACCTGGATTCTCAGAGTGACATTATGGTGACCTAAGGCCTCATTATAAATGATCCTGTTCTGAAGATTCAGGCCATAGAACATCCTGAGAAGTAAGACTATCTTGTTATGCAGCTCTTTCAGGGGTCAGAAACTACAGCTCTTAGCAGAGGGCCTAATATATTCCCAGATATACCAAGTCCCACTCCAGAGCATACTCTGTGTGTTCCACTGTGTTTGATCCTACATTTGAAGTATGCAGGGAAGTTGTTACTACTAGAATGGAGGTTGCTGCAGACAGGTACTATGTCTCACCCATGGAGAGAATTCCCAGTAACTATCAGGAGGCAGGGTGATGGGTGGTGGACAAATATTATTGGCTGAGCAGAATTGTTAGATATATTTATGCCATGGAACATTTAAACCAGAAGAAACCTTGTAAGTCACTTTGTCCAATCTCCTCATTCTGTTACTGAAGAGATTAAAATCCAGAGAAGAGGAGGAATTTTTCTAAGACTTCCTATCCCGTTAGGGGCAGGGCACAGCCTGGATTCTGGATCTCCTGAGTTCCGAATCTATGCTCTGTCCACCCTTTGCCTTTTCTGGGCCAGAGGATGATTTTGCCTAATTTCCAGCATCTCTGAATTTCATGAAGCAAGAGTTTCTTTACATGGGTGCGTGCATCTTGGAATAGAAAAGTGGGAGCTGCATCCAAATGAGATTCTGCTTTCTGTTCTGCATGGTTTCCAATTGCTAGCAGAAGCCTGTGCACAGGTGTGCAAAAGACCCCAGGAAAAGAACTACATGTCTTGTCTCTTATCACAAAAAGCTATAGTGCTAGGTAAAACCATACTAAAACACTTTCTCTTTGTTTCAAAAATATTTTGGCAACCTGAAAATACTAGTGAGCTCTCAGCAGAGGCCTGTCTCGGGATCATAATTCAAGTATGAGACTTACGTTTGTCCCTGAGGTAGATTCTGTGAAGCTCCAATTAAGACTTTTTTCTTGCTTAATGTTGGAAAACTAGAAAAAATTTTAAATGCAATATTTTCCTAAACTGGAAAAGTAAGCCTGAGTACAGGTAAACTATACATTAATATATGTTTATGTGATTTGGCAAGGTTAAACAATCAATTTATTATTCCAATAACAGCAATCTAAGAAAGGAAGGTATTGGGCTTGCTGTATACTTCAGTTGCTTTTTTTTTCCTTAAAGGAAGCTTTTGTAGATCAGGCTGTAAAGGTATGCACACTTCTGTTGTCTTGTATTGGTTTATTTTCTCATTTGGTTTTCTTTTTTTATTATTATTATACTTTAAGTTCTAGAGTACATGTGCACAATGTGCAGGTTTGTTACATATGTATACATGTGCCATGTTGCTGTGCTGCACCCATTAACTCATCATTTACATTAGGTATATCTCCTAATGCTATCCCTCCCCCCTCCCCCCTCCCCACACCCCAAGGCAGGCCCCAGCGTGTGCTGTTCCCCTTCCTGTGTCCAAGTGTTCTCATTGTTCAATTCCCACCTGTGAGTGAGAACATGCAGTGTTTGGTTATTTGTCCTTGCGATAGTTTGCTGAGAATGATAGTTTCCAGCACCATCCATGTCCCTACAAAGGACATGAACTCATTCTTCTTTATGGCTGCACAGTATTCCATGGTGTATATGTGCCACATTTTCTTAATCCAGTCTATCACTGTTGGACATTTGGATTGGTTCCAAGTCTTTGCTATTGTGAATAGTGTCACAGTAAACATACATGTTCATGTGTCTTTAAAGCAGCATGATTTATAATCCTTTGGGTATATACGCAGTAATGGGATGGCTGGGTCAAATGGTATTTCTACTGCTAGATCCCTGAGGAATCGCCACACTGTCTTCCACAATGGTTGAACTAGTTTACAGTCCCACCAACAGTGTCAAAGTGTTCCTATTTCTCCACATCCTCTCCAGCACCTGTTGTTTCCTGACTTTTTAATGATCGCCATTCTAACTGGTGTGAGATGGTATCTCATTGTGATTTTGATTTGCATTTCTCTGATGGCCAGTGATGATGAGCATTTTTTCATGTGTCTATTGGTTGCATAAATGTCTTCTTTTGAGAAGCGTCTGTTCATATCCTTTGCCCACTTTTTCATGGGGTTGTTTGTTTTTTTCTTGTAAATTTGTTGGAGTTCATTGTAGATTCTGGATATTAGCCCTTTGTCAGATGAGTAGGTTGTGAAAATTTTCTCCCATTCTATAGGTTGCCTGTTCACTCTGATGATAGTTTTTTTGCTGTGCAGAAGCTCTTTAGTTTAATTAGACCCCATTTGTCAATTTTGGCTTTTGTTGCCATTGCTTTTGGTGTTTTAGACATGAAGTCCTTGCCCATGCCTATGTCCTGAATGGTATTGCCTAGGTTTTCTTCTAGGGTTTTTATGGTTTTAGGTCTAACATTTAGGTCTTTAATCCACCTTGAATTAATTTTTGTGTAAGGTGTAAGGAAGGGATCCAATTTCAGCTTTCTACATATGGTTAGCCAGTTTTCCCAGCACCATTTATTAAATAGGGAATCCTTTCCCCATTGCTTGTTTTTCTCAGGTTTGTCAAAGATCAGATGGTTGTAGATGTGTGATATTATTTCTGAGGGCTCTGTTCTGTTCCATTGGTCTATATCTCTGTTTTGGTACCAGTACCATGCTTTTTTGGTTACTGTAGCCTTGTAGTATAGTTTGAAGTCAGGTAGCTTGATGCCTCCAGTTTCGTTCTTTTGGCTTAGGATTGACTTGGCAATGCGGGCTCTTTTTTGGTTCTATATGAACTTTAAAGTATTTTTTTCCAATTCTGTGAAGAAAGTCATTGGTAGCTTGATGGGAATGGCTTTGAATCTATAAATTACCTTGGGCAGTATGGCCATTTTCACGATATTGATTCTTCCTATCCATGAGCATGGAATGTTCTTCCATTTGTTTGTGTCCTCTTTTATTTCATTGAGCAGTGGTTTGTAGTTCTCCTTGAAGAGGTCTTTCACATCCCTTGTAAGTTGGATTCCTAGGTATTTTATTCCCTTTGAAGCAATTGTGAATGGGAGTTCACTCATGATTTGGCTCTCTGTTTGTCTGTTATTGGTGTATAAAAATGCTTGTGATTTTAGCACATTGATTTTGTATCCTGAGACTTTGCTGAAGTTGCTTATCAGCTTAAGGAGATTTTAGGCTGAGACAATGAGGTTTTCTAAATATACAATCATGTCATATGCAAACAGGGACAATTTGACTTCCTCTTTTCCTAAATGAATACCTTTATTTCTTTCTCCTGCCTGATTGCCCTGGCCAGAACTTCCAACACTATGTTGAATAGGAGTGGTGAGAGAGGGCATCCCAGTTGTCAAGGGGAATGCTTCCAGTTTTTGCCCATTCAGTATGATATTGACTGTGGGTTTGTCCTAAATAGCTCTTATTATTTTGAGATACATCCCATCAATACCTAATTTATTGAGAGTTTTTAGCATAAAGGGCTGTTGAATTTTGTCAAAGGCGTTTTCTGCATCTATTGAGATAAGCATGTGGTTTTTGTCTTTGGTTCTGTTTATATGCTGGATTACATTTATTGATTTGCATATGTTGTACCAGCCTTGCATCCCGGGGATGAAGCCCACTTGATCATGGTGGATAAGATCTTTGATGTGCTGCTGGATTCAGTTTGCCAGTGTTTTACTGAGGATCTTTGCATCGATGTTCATCAGGGATATTGGTCTAAAATTCTCTTTTTTTGTTGTGTCTCTGCCAGCCTTTGGTATCAGGATGTTGCTGGCCTCATAAAATGAGTTAGGGAGGATTCCCTCTTTTTCTATTGATTGGAATAGTTTCAGAAGGAATGGTACCAGTTCCTCCTTGTACCTCTGGTAGAATTTGGCTGTGAATCCATCTGGTCCTGGACTTTTTTTGGTTGGTAGGCTATTAATTATTGCCTCAATTTCAGAGCCTCTTATTGGTCTTTTTCAGGGATTCAACTTCTTCCAGGTTTATTCTTGGGAGGGTGTATGTGTCGAGGAACTTATCCATTTCTTCTAGATTTTCTAGTTTATTTGCGTAGAAGTGTTTATAGTATTCTCTGATGGTAGTTTGTATTTCTGTGGGATCGATGGTGATATCCCCTTTATCATTTTTTATTGCATCTATTTGATTCTTCTCTCTTTTCTTCTTTATTAGTCTTGCTAGCAGTCTATCAATTTTGTTGATCTTTTCAAAAAACCAGCTCCTGGATTCATTGATTTTTTGAAGGGTTTTTAGTGTCTCTATCTCCTTCAGTTCTGCTCTGATCTTAGTTATTTCTTGCCTTCTGCTAGCTTTTGAATGTGTTTGCTCTTGCTTCTCTAGTTCTTTTAATTGTGATGTTAGGGTGTCAAATTTAGATCTCTCCTGCTTTCTTTTGTGGGCATTTAGTGCTATAAATTTCCCTCTACACACTGCTTTAAATGTGTCCCAGAGATTCTGGTATGTTGTGTCTTTGTTCTCATTGGTTTCAGAGAACATCTTTATTTCTGCCTTCATTTCATTATGTACCCAGTAGTCTTTCAGGAGCAGGTTGTTCAGTTTCCATATAGTTGAGCGGTTTTGAGTGAGTTTCTTAATCCTGAGTTCTAGTTTGATTGCATTGTGGTCTGAGAGACCGTTTGTTATAATTTCTGTTCTTTTACATTTGCTGAGGAATGCTTTACTTCCAACTATGTGGTCAATTTTGGAATAAGTGCAATGTGGTGCTGAGAAGAATGTATATTCTGTTGATTTGTGCTGGGGAGTTCTGTAGATGTCTATTAGGTCCACTTGGTGCAGAGCTGAATTCAATTCCTGGATATCCTTTTTAACTTTCTGTCTCATTGATCTGTCTGATGTTGACAGTGGAGTGTTAAAATCTCCCATTATTATTGTGTGGGAGTCTAAGTCTCTTTCTAGGTCTCTAAGGACTTGCTTCATGAATCTGGGTGCTCCTGTATTGGGTGCATATATATTTAGGATAGTTAGCTCTTCTGGTTGAATTGATCCCTTTACCATTATGTAATGGCCTTCTTTGTCTCTTTTGATCTTTGTTGGTTTAAAGTCTGTTTTATCAGAGACTAGGATTGCAACCCTTGCCTTTTTTTGTTTTCCATTTGCTTCGTAGACCTTCATTCATCTCTTTATTTTGAGCCTATGTGTGTCTCTGCATGTGAGATGGGTCTCCTGAATACAGCACACTGATGGGTCTTGACTCTTTATCCAATTTGCCAGTCTACATCTTTTAATTGGAGCAATTAGCCCATTTACATTTAAGGTTAATATTGTTATGAGTGAATTTGATCCTGTCATTATGATGTTAGCTGGTTATTTTGCTCGTTAGTTGATGCAGTTTCTTCCTAGCCTCGATGGTCTTTACAATTTGGCTTGATTTTGCAGTGGCTGGTATGGGTTTTTCCTTTCCATGTTTAGTGCTTCCTTCAGGAGCTCTTTTAGGGCAGGCCTGGTGGTGACAAAACCTCTCAGCATTTGCTTGTCTGTAAAGGATTTTATTTCTCCTTCACTTATGAAGCTTAGTTTGGCTGGATATGAAATTCTGGGTTGGAAATTCTTTTCTTTAAGAATGTTGAATATTGGCCCCCACTCTCTTCTGGCTTGTAGAGTTTCTGCCGAGAGATCCCCTATTAGTCTGATGGGCTTCCCTTTGTGGGTAACCCAACCTTTCTCTCTGGCTGCCCTTAACATTTTTTCCTTCATTTCAACTTTGGTGAATCTGACAATTATGTGTCTTGGAGTTGCTCTTCTCGAGGAGTATCTTTGTGGCATTCTCTGTATTTCCTGAATTTGAAGGTTGGCCTGCCCTGCTAGGTTGGGGAAGTTCTCCTGGATAATATCTTGCAGAGTGTTTTCCAACTTGGTTCCATTCTCCCCGTCACTTTCAGGTATACCAATCAGACCTA
Organism: Homo sapiens; assembly: GCF_000001405.40. Taxonomy (NCBI): domain Eukaryota; kingdom Metazoa; phylum Chordata; class Mammalia; order Primates; family Hominidae; genus Homo; species Homo sapiens. The sequence goes on along the minus strand of NC_000003.12, from coordinate 69,346,345 downwards.
GATTTGGTCTTTTCACATAGTCCCATATTTCTTGGAGGCTTTGTTCATTTCTTTTTACTCTTTTTTCTCTAAACTTCTCTTCTCGCTTCATTTCATTCATTTAATCTTCAATCACTCATACCCTTTCTTCCGCTTGATCGAATCGCTACTGGAGCTTGTGCATTCATCATGTATTTCTTGTGCCATGGTTTTCAGCTCCATCAGGTCATTTAAGGACATCTCTACACTGGTTATTCTAGTTAGCCATTTGTCTAATCTTTTTTCAGGGATTTTAGCTTCTTTGCGATGGGTTCAAACTTCCTCCTTTAGCTTGGAGAAGTTTGGTCATCTGAAGCCTTCTTCTCTCAACTCATCAAAGTCATTCTCTGTCCAGCTTTGTTGCATTGCTGGCAAGTAGCTGCGTTCCTTTGGAGGTGGGGAGGCGCTCTGCTTTTTAGAATTTTCAGCTTTTCTGCTCTGTTTTTTCCCCATCTTTGTGGTTTTGTCTACCTTTGGTCTTTGATGATGGTGACGTACAGATGGGGTTTTGGTGTGGATGTCCTTTCTGTTTGTTAGTTTTCCTTCTAACAGTCAGGACCCTCAGCTGCAGGTCTGTTGGAGTGTGCCAGAGGTCCACTCCAGATGCTGTTTGCCTGAGTATCAGCAGCAGAGGCTGCAGAACAGCGAATATTGCTCAACAGCAAATGTTGCTGCCTGATCGTTTCTTTGGCTTTGTCTCAGAGGACTACCCGGCTGTGTGAGGTGTCAGTCTGATCCTACTGAGGGGTGCCACCCTGTTAGGCTATTCGGGGGTCAGGGACCCACTTGAGGAGGCAGTCTGTCCGTTCTCAGATCTCAAACTCCTGCTGGGAGAACAACTACTCTCTTCAAAGCTGTCAGACAGGGACATTTAAGTCTGTAGAGGTTTCTGCTGCCTTTTGTTTGGCTATGCCCTGCCCCCAGAGATGGAGTCTACAGAGGCAGGCAGGCCTCCTTGAGCTGCAGTGGGCTCCACCCAGTTCGAGCTTCCAGGCTGCTTTGCTTACCTACTCAAGCCTCAGCAATGGCGGGTACCCCTACCCCAGCCTCACTGCCTCCTTGCAGTTCGATCTCAGACTGCTGTGCTAGCCATGAGCGAGGCTCCGTGGGCATGGGACCCTCCGAGTCAGGTGCAGGATATAATCTCCTGGTGTGCCATTTGCTAAGACCATTGGAAAAGTGCAGTATTAGGGTGGGAGTGACCTGATTTTCCAGGTGCCATCTGTCACAGCTTCACTTTGCTAGGAAAGGGAATTCCCTGACCCCTTGTGCTTCCCAGGTGAGGCGATGCCTCACCCTGCTTCAGCTCACTCTCGGTGGGCTGCACCCACTGTCCTGCACCCACTGTCCTACAAGCCCCAGTGAGATGAACCCAGTATCTCAGTTGGAAATGCAGAAATCACCCATCTTCTGCATCGCTCAAGCTGGGAGCTATAGACTGGAGCTGTTCTTGTTCAGCCATCTTGGAACTGCCCCTGTGGTTGTTTTTTCTTTTTTTCTTGTAAGTTCAGTTGAACAATTCTGCAGACGTTGTACTTATTCTTTCAGGAACATGCTTTTATACTATCATTTCTATTAGATGTTTCTAGATTCAGGTTTTCCAGTCAGGAGGGACAGTAGTCCAGAAACTGGTCGTCTATAAAGGAGAAACTTTATCCTATACAACAGTATGGTGTGGCTGAAAAGCCCAGTAGACAAGAGAGAGAGAGAGCTGGACTCCAGGTCTAACTCTGCCACTTACTGACAAGCTATGTGGTCTTGGAAGCTAATTTTTCATATTCAGTCTTCAGAATCCACATTGATGAGTGAAGGGATTAGACTAATGCTGAGGCTATTTTTCAGCTTAGAAATGCTCTGTAACTCTTAATTATTTGTAGTTACTTCCCTATTACCCAAATATATTACAGCTCTATCTGTCACTGTGTTTAACCTCCATCTCTCTCCCTCTTTCCCTTCCTTTCCTCCCTCCTTCTGTCCTTTTTCTCCCCCTTCTTTCTTCCTTTCCACTGATATTCTCCTTTTCACAAAGAAAGAAATTTGGGGCACAGATTAAAATGGCCCAGATGCCTGTAGAGCCACTGGCAGTATATGGATAGGGACAAACTAAGTACGGCAAGGTTGGAAATGGAGAAATTACTGATGCCACTAATTGGAGTCAGACATTGAGATGCTGTCCATGAAGAAATCAGGATCTTTGGCAATGGATGCAGCTCTTAGATTGAAATTTGACACTGGCCCTTGGATTCCAAATTCTTTAAAAGTCAGCACATATTCCCTGGGTATGTACTGCACCAGCAATGTGTCAGGCTTCGGCTTACAGAGGTGAATAAGATGCAGCCACTATACTTATGGGTCCATTACCAGTTGGGGAATATAAATAGCTCTTACAAGCTTGACTTTTAGTTCATTTGCAACTCACTCTTGGGGAGTATAGAAACTGTTAAGACGGGCCGGGTGTGGTGGTTCACGCCTGTAATCCCAGCACTTTGGGAGGCTGAGGTGGGCAGATCACTTGAGGCCAGGAGTTCGATACCAGCCTGGCTAATGTGGTGAGACCCCATCTCTACTAAAACTACAAAAATTAGCCAGGTATGGTGGCACACACCTGTAATCCCAGCTACTTGGGAGGCTGAGGCAGGGGAATCACTTGAACCCGGGAGGTGGAGGTTGCAGTGAGCCGGGATCACACCACTGCACTTCAGCCTGGGTGACAGAGCGAGACCCCGTCTAAAAAAAAAAAAAAAAAAAAACAAAAAACTGTTAAGACAAAATGGCTGTAAGTAGTGGAGTTTAATTAATATGATTTTTAGGTCAAGAGATTAAATTGACAGGGGTATATCCAGGTAGGAATTGAATAATGTCAACTAAGACAAACAGTGACCCTAAAGCATTCAGGAGTCCGTGGTTAAAGGTTCTGTTTTTGATAGGCTTTATCCACACCTAACGGACAAAGAGAGGAAGTGTCGAGAGTGGAGTGTTAGCATGAGGCTTTGCATGTAAATCCTACTTTGTCATTGACAAACTGAGTGACCTCCCCTCTGGGCTTCTGATGGGGGTAATTAAAACTACCTTTTCAGCCTAATGCAGTGGCTCGTGCCTTCAATTCCAGCACTTTGGAGGTTGGGACAGGAAGATCACTTGAGGCCAGGAGGTCAAGACCAGCCTGGACAACATAGCAAGACCCTACCTCTACAAAAATTTTAAAAATTAGGCAGATGTGGTGGTGTGCCTCTGCAGTCCCAGCCACTTGGGAGGTTGAAGCAGGAAGATTGCTTGAGCCCAGGAGTCCGAGGCTGCAGCGAGCTATGGATTGTGCTACTACTGCATTCCAGCCTGGGTGACAGAGCGAGACCCTGTCTCTAAAAATAAAATATTTTAAAACTACCTTTTAACAAATTTCTCCCTATCCCTCCTTCCCCCACCCTTCCTAGCCTCTAGTGTTTGTTAAAGGATGCAAAATTACAGCTAGACAGGAGGAATAAGTTCTAGTGTTGTATAGCACTATAGGGTGACTGTAGTTAGCAGTAATATATAGTTTCAAATAGGAGGATATTGAATGTTCCCAACATAAAGAAATGATAAATGTTTGAAATGATGGATATACTAATTACTCTGATCTAATCACTGTAGATGATATGTATTGAAACATCACTATTATCAATTTAGAAATAAAACTACATTTTAATGTTATTGAGGGGGTTAGAGCTAGCATCTGGCACTGAAGTACCTAATAAGTGGCAGTTACTTTTGTTTAATAATATTATTATACAACTATCCCAAATATGGCAAATGATGGCAGTAGTCTCATAAAAATATTTAGACACCATCAGAAGATTGAGTGTACAAAGTAATGAATGGGTAATCTTTTTTCAGGGCCTGTAATGTTCATAATGATATAAATAGAAACCAGTTATTCATTAGCCCACATTTGAATCTCTCTGCATCTTGATAGTGTCTGGATATCCCATCAGCATTCTGTCATTTGGACACATGAGATCACTTGACTCTGCACTTTGTCTGGATTTCACTTGGCAAAAGTTCACAAATAAGTAATCACAGTATGTCCATTGCAGACTCTGGTCTTGCCTTCAGGTCAAGTGTTCATCTTTTTAAGGACCTGTTTCTCAACCACTTTAAGGACATGGACCCAATACAAATCTAGATCCAGGAAGTTATAAAAAGCCTTCCTGGAAAGATTCTCATTAACACATTTTGCCTATATTTGTGGGGGGAAGTGTTTGCAAGCTTCTCTAATGTCATTAGTAGACCTGTGAGAGGTCACAGCTTAAGAACTACAGCCCTAAGTGAGCTGTGTGTTTCTTTCAGAGAAATGGTGAGAAACTATTAGGCCTTTGTGTGTGTTGCCTGTCTTAGTCCATTTTGTGCTGCTACAACAGAGTAACTGCAACTCAGTAATTTATAAAGAGCAGAAATTTATTTTTCACAGTGTGAGGCTGGGACATCTAAGATCAAGGGGCTGGCACTCAATTTGGTAAGGGCCATCTTGCTATATCCTCTCATGGCAAAAGGCAAAAAGGCAAGCTTGCCAAATGCTGCATGAAGCCTATTTTATAAGGGCTTTAATCCGTTAAAGAGACAGAGCAGGCTTCAAGGTTTAACCACCTCCTAAAGGCCTTGCCTCTTAATACTACAGACATTGGCAACACCTGAATTTTGGAGGGACCACAAACCATAGCAATGCCCAAGAAACAAGGTTTTCTGGAACTCTTTAGCACCTAACTGTATTTGAGCCTGCCAGAAGTGTGGTGTCCCATAATTAACATGGGCTCTGTGGAAGGTATTTAGAATGTAAGAGCAAGCCTTGCCACCTCCACTCCTGCAGCCATTTATACTGTTTCTCTGGGAGCAGGAATCATACCTTTAGCAACAACCAGGTGCAGAGGAGGCAGGTTCCCTCTTGGTATTTGGCCTTGTGTTGAGTTGAGAGTAAGGTCACTCTAGTGGGACCTGAAAGTAATTGTTCTGTTCACCAGTAGAACAGTCATCTGGCTTTAGGGGATTCATCTGTAAATCTGCAGAGATTTTTTTCAGTAACCACTGCATTTGAGTTGAAAGAATAGGAGGTTGTTCGTGGTAACTGTACATCTCCAAGTGCCCACCTTGAGATGCAAACAGCCCTCTTCATTAGAACAAGCACTGAGGTCCAAGGAGCCTCACTCATCTTGCTTTACAGTATTCTTTTTTCCTTCTTTTTAAAAGAAACCATTGATCAATCAGTGACACTTTTAACTATTATATATGAAAAAGAGTGCTATGGTGTCTTCCCAATTTTTATAAAATGAATATGCAACTCCTTTTTTGTATTTTTATATTTTATATGCAACTCCTTTTTTTATTATTTTTTGCAACTCCTTTTTTTATTACACAACTCCATTTTAATTATTTTTTTATTGCGTAGCCTCTTTTGCAAAGTGCATGCTATAAGCTGAGCATAGAGTGGTTAGCAAGACAAAGTACCTAGAGGCAGACATTAAATAACAAAGTACATCAGTATTTAATCACAATAGTGAAAAGTGATGCAACAAAGAAGTATAGAGAACTAAAAGACGATAACACTCATAATAAGAGCTATGGAACCCAAAGCTATTCGAAACACTCTATGTACATCAGCTCATCTAAACCTCATAGTGTAGCACCAGTATTACCTCCATGATGCAGATCAGGAAACCAGGTATCAAGGAGCTGAAGTCGTCTGCCCATGGTGGTGACACTAGCAAAGCATCTAAGCCATGATTTGAACCCTGGGTGTTCTGACTGCAGGATCTTCACCCATAACCACTGCACGATGTCTCCTATGAAAACATGACTTTTAGAACAAGATCACATCCTTCGCAAAAACATCAATGGAGCTGGTGGCCATTATCCTTAGCAAATTAACGCAGAAAACCAAATATCATATGTTCTCACTTGTAAGTGGGAGCTAAATAATGAGAACACATGGACACAAAGAGAGGAACAACAGACACCAAGGCAAGGATAGAGGGTGGGAGGAGGGAGAGTATCAGAAAAAATAACCATCAGGTACTGTACTATGCTTAGCACCTGTGTGACAAAATCATCTGTACACCAAACCCCCATGACATGAGTTTACCTTTACAACAAACCTGTACATGTACCCCTGAGCCTAAAAGTTTAAAAAAAAAGAAAAGAAAAGAAATAATGGCTTTTAATCTATGTTTTTAGAGATGAGTTGGGTTAGTCAGGCACTTTCCCCAACCCCTCATGCCTTGAGCTGGAAAGGAGATCTTACAGAGGAAGGCAATGTGGCTGGGGCCCAGGGAGTAAGAGGAAGTTAACACAAGACCAGGGGAAGAGTGGGCAGGAATGAGGCAGTGCAGGGCTTGGTAGGCCGCCTCAGGGATGGGAGTTTTTTTCTGATTGAATTAGGTTCAATCAGAACCTAATTGGTTGGCTCTGAAGCTAAACTGCCCTGTCAAGAATCCCCTCTCAGGGGACTTTGCATGCCTGTGAGATGAAGACACTGAGGGGTGTTCTCCTGAGCTGGCTGGATTATTTCACATCAATTTAATATTGTGGATATGGAGAGCAGCCTGCCTGGGGATGTTTCATCTGTTTTGCTGAATTGTCCCATGGATGTCTCTCCCAAGTCGAAATGTTTTCTGCCTTTTTTTCGAGGCCTGCAGAACTATATTTGCCTTTTTTGTTTTCATTTTTTTTATTGTACTTTAAGTTCTGGGATACATTTATTTTTCTTAATGGTTCATGTAGCTGCATCATTCCTGTGACAGGTTTGGTAATTAATAGTCATCATGGCTAACGCTGAGTGCCACGCACTGTGCTGGGTGCTTTCCACGAATTCTCCTGTTGCCTTCTCAGTTCTGTGGGGCAGATACTGTCATTATCCATATTTTTCAGATAAAGAAACAGACTAAAAGGGATTAAATGACTTGCCCAAAGTCCCACCGGCTAGTGTCAGAGTTAGGTCTCGCACACAGGTTTGCCTGATTCCAAAGTCCATGCTTGACTCTCCACTGTGTCGCCTCCCCACATGTGGAACTTCTTATTTTATGGATGCAAAAATGTCCAAAGTTAATGATAGAACTGATTATAAAACTCGGGTTTAACATTAAGTTTCATTTTCTAGGCCAATAGTTAAATCTCATAGGAAAAAAAAATAAAGGAAATGAAAGGAAACTGAGTAGAACACCATGGACCTTCACCATGACCTGAAGCAGGCTTGCAAACATGTTACAGTTTTACCAGCCCACAGACCAGCTGAGTCAGTCACATTGGCATAAATAGAGGAATATAAAGCAAATGGCGGGGGATGCGTAAAGATCTGTGCTTGGATATTAACCCATGAGGATTCTGGGAGAACTAAGGGGCAGAGAAGAATAGTTTTAATAGGTATTGGGTGCTTACTATGTGCCAAGCACTATACTAAGTTATTTATAGCTATTCACTAATTTGATTTTATTGGGGTTTTTTTGTTTGTTTTTTAACTTTTATTTCAGTTTCAGGGGTATGTGTGCAGGTTGGTTCTGTAGATAAATTTGGTGTCATAGGTGTTTGGTGTACATATTATTTTGTTACTCAGGTAATAAGCATAGTAGTACTCAACAGGTAGATTTTTGATCCTCACCCTCCTCCTACCCTCTACCCTCAAGTAGGCCTCGGTGTCTGTTGTTCCCTTCTTTGTGTCCATGTGTACTCAATGTTTAGCTCCCACTTACAGGTGAAAACATGCAGTGTTTGGGTTTCTGTGCCTTTATTAGTTTGCTTATGATAATGACCTCCAGCTCCATTCATGTTGTTGCAAAGGACATTTTCTCACTTTTTTATGGCTGCATAATATTCCATGGTGTATATGTGACACATTTTCTTTTTTTATTATACTTTAAGTTTTAGGGTACATGTGCACAACGTGCAGGTTTGTTACATATATATACATGTGCCATGTTGGTGTGCTGCACCCATTAACTCGTCATTTAACATTAGGTATATCTCCTAATGCTATCCCTCCCCCCTCTCCCCACTCACAACAGTCCCCAGAGTGTGATGTTCCCCGTTCTGCATCCATGAGTTGTCATTGTTCAATTCCCACCTATGAATGAGAACACGTGGAGTTTGGTTTTTTGTCCTTGCGATAGTTTGCTCAGAATGATGGTTTCCAGCTTTATCCCTGTCCCTACAAAGGACCTGAACTCATCCTTTTGTATGGCTGCAGAGTATTCCATGGTGTATATGTGCCACATTTTCTTAATCCAGTCTATCATTGTTGGACATTTGGGTTGGTTCCAAGTCTTTGCTATAGTGAATAGTGCTGCAATAAACATACGTGTGCATGTGTCTTTAAAGCAGCATGTTTTATAATCCTTTGGGTATATACCCAGTAATGGGATGGCTGGGTCAAATGGTATTTCTACTGCTAGATCCCTGAGGAATCGCCACACTGTCTTCCACAATGGTTGAACTAGTTTACGGTCCCACCAACAGTGTCAAAGTGTTCCTATTTCTCCACATCCTCTCCAGCACCTGTTGTTTCCTGACTTTTTAATGATTGCCATTTTAACTGGTGTGAGATGGTATCTCACTGTGGTTTTGATTTGCATTTCTCTGATGTCCAGTGATGATGAGCATTCTTTCATGGGTCTTTTGGCTGCATAAGTGACTTCTTTTGAGAAGTGTCTGTTCATATCCTTTGCCCACTTTTTGATGGGGTTGTTTGTTTTTTTCTTGTAAATTTGTTGGAGTTCATTGTAGACTCTGGATATTAGCCCTTTGTCAGATGAGTAGGATGCAAAAATTTTCTCCCATTCTGTAGGTTGCCTGTTCACTCTGATGGTAGTTTCTTTTGCTGTGAAGAAGGTCTTTAGTTTAATTAGACCCCATTTGTCAATTTTGGCTTTTGTTGCCATTGCTTTTGGTGTTTTAGACATGAAGTCCTTGCCCATGCCTATGTCCTGAATGGTATTGTCTAGGTTTTCTTCTAGAGTTTTTATGGTTTTAGGTCTAACATTTAAGTCTTTAATCCATCTTGAATTAATTTTTGTATAAGTTGTAAGGAAGGGATCCAGTTTCAGCTTTCTACATATGGCTAGCCAGTTTTCCCAGCACCATTTATTAAATAGGGAATCCTTTCCCCATTGCTTGTTTTTGTCAGGTTTGTCAAAGATCAGATAGTTGTAGATATGTGGCATTATTTCTGAGAGCTCTGTTCTGTTCCATTTGTCTATATCTCTGTTTTGATACCAGTACCATGCTGTTTTGGTTACTGTAGCCTTGTAGTATAGTTTGAAGTCAGGTAGCGTGGTGCCACATTTTCTTTATCTGTTCTACCATTAATGGACATTTAGGTTGATTTCATGTCTTTGCCACTGTGTTTGTTTGTTTTTGTTTTTTGAGACAGAGTCTCACTCTGATGCCCAGGCTGGAGTGTAGTGGCATGATCTTGGCTCACTGCAACCTCTGCCTCCCAGGTTCAAGCAATTCTCCTGCCTCAGCCTCCAAAGTAGCTGGGATTACAGGCATGCGCCACCATGCCCAGCTAATTTTTTATATTTTTAGTAGAGATAGGGTTTCTCTCCCCAGGCTGGTCTCGAACTCCTGACCTCATGTGATCCACCCGCTTCAGCCTCCCAAAGTGCTGGGATTACAGGCGTGAGCCACCACACCCAGCCAAGCCATTGTGGGTATTCACTCATTTGATCCTCACAACAACCTTATGAATTTGGTCATCTTTGCATGCCCATTTTACAGATAAGTACCAGTGCAAAAGCCTTTTGGATTATTTCTCATTCTTCCACTTTTGCCTCACCCACTCCAGTTTGGTCTCCTCACAGTAAGCAGACTTATCCTTTATATATAGCCCCAGATTATCTTCTCCATGCCTAAAAGCCTCCATTGGCTTTTTGCTGCATCTGAAACAAACTCCATACTTCTTACTATGGCCTACAATGCAGTGAATGATTCTAGCCCAGTAGTTTCAGACTTTAGCAGGCATGAGAGTGACCTGGAAGGTTGTGAACACACAGATTGCCGGGTGCCACTCTCTATTCCTAACAGGCTCCAGTTGATGCTGCTGTGAGTCCTAAGACCACACTTCAAGAACCACTGATGAGCCCCTCATTAACTCTAAGCTTGTCTCTTGTTCTCTCCCTCTTGGTGACCAACCTCCAACCACATTTGTTGCCTTTTTTTTCTTAAACTGTGCATTCTCCATAGGGTGACTTCACCCCCCAAGGGAAGTTATAATTGGTTCTTGAGGGGTAAAGAAAATCTTAGGTATTACAATAGTTTTCAGCCCTTCAAAACTCAGTTCTTAGCCAGGTGTGGTGGTTCACACCTGTAATCCTAGCACTTTGGGATGCTGAGGTGGGCAGATCACTTGAGGTCAGGAGTTCAAAACCAGCCTGGCCAACATGGTGAAAGCGTGTCTCTACTAAAAATACAAAAATTAGCCGAACATGGTGGCACGCACCTGTAATCCCAGCTACTCAGGAGGCTGAGGCAGGAGAATCACCTGAACTTAGGAGGTAGAGACTGAAGTGAGCTGAGATCGCAGTGTGGGTGACAGAGTGAGACTCTGTCTCAAAAGAAAAAAAAAAAAAAAACTCAGTCCTGCCCAGCAGATAAGATATAAAGTATATCTGTGTTATTAACATTTCATGGGGGAGGAGGGTATTGGGGGAAAAATTGTCTAGAGAGGCTCCTTAAGAGTGCAATTATGGGGCCGGCTGCAGCGGCTCATGCCCATAATCCCAACACTTTGGGAAGCCGAGGTGGGCAGATCACAAGGATGCAAAAATTAGCCAGGCATGGTGGTGCGTGCCTGTAATCCCAGCTACTCGGGAGGCTGAAGCAGGAGAATTGCTTGAACCGGGAGGTGGAGGTTGCAGTGAGCCAAGATCGTGCCACTGCACTCCAGCCTGGGCAACAGATCAAGACTCTGTCTCGGAAAAAAAAAAAAAAAATGCAATAATGAAAAAAAAAAGTTATGCAACAATGTCTTAACCCAAGCATGTTCTGCCTCAGGGCCTTTGCACTTGTTGGCCTCTGTCTGGAATATGCTTTTCTCAGATCTGCCAAGGCTGAATCCTCATCATTGCTATTTCTGGCTAAATGTTGCCTCCTCAAATAGCCGTTTCCTAGCTGCTTTATTTATAGCATTTTAGAGAGTGTCTCACTCTGTCACCCAAGCTGAAGTGCAGTGGCGTGACCATAGCTCATAGCTCAGGGCATAACTCATAGCTCACTGCAGCCTCAAACTCCTGGGCTCAAGCGATCCTTCTGCATCAGCCTCCCAAAGTGCTGGGATTACAGGTATGAACCACTGGCCCAGCCTGCTCTGTCTAAAGTAACAACTCTCCCCATCACATTAGTCTGTATTCTCATTTTCATGGTACTTAACACGACCTGAAATCACCCTGTGTGTTGCTTGATTTGCTTGTTTTCTGGCTTTCTTCTTCGCTGGCAAGTCTTTGAGAGAGGAGCACTTGACTCTCTGGCTTGTGTCACTGTTGAGTCCCCAGAGCCTATTATAAAGTCTGGAACACAATAAGAGCTTGATGAATATTTGTGAATATGTGAATGGATGCTAGTCACACAGTGGATAAAGCAGTGGAGCTAAGATTTGGATTCAGGTGCTCAGACTTCAAATCACCTATTTAGCAACTACTGAAACCCAGGGGTCATTGAGTGGAAGGTACCCAGTAGGAAGAATGCTGTCACAGTTAACTGGGTCTATAGATGACAGTGCTCAACCTCTGAGTTATCCAAAAGGCACAGCAAAGAAGCAAAATGTTTCCCCTAAATTCCCCAGATCATTTAATCCCAGTCCCACTATTGTATTTTTTTAATTTTTTTTTTTTTTTTTGTAGAGATAAGGTCTCACCATGTTGTCCAGACTGGACTTGAACTCCTGGCTTCAAGCAATCTGCCCACCTCCGCCTCCCAAAGTCCTGGGATTTATAGGCATGAACCACCGCACCTGGCCTCCCCACCATTTTATTTTCTCCCGTGGCTATCACAACCAGGAATAAGAGAGGGAGGGGGACCTCAGTGGTGATTTTATGCTAAGGATTATGGATAACACCATCCCCCCATTTTACAAATGAAGAAACTGGGGCTCAAAAAGCTTAATTAAATGTCTAAGGCCACTGAGGCAGCAATTAAAGAGGATGTGAAGCCAGTCTGCTTTGTCTTCTTCTGGAGCCTCTCCTTGAGGCTGACACACCTGATCATAGCCCCATTATCTTAAGAGTGTTAGCCATATCCAGTGGCCAGCACACTCTAGACACTTCTGTTATTGTAGAGAGACCTGTTAGAGATGGATGCAAGAGATTTACCCTTTTTCAGCCTTGCCTCTGCTGTCTTGGGGAAGTGGGAAGGTTGCTTTAAATGACGTGTCTCGTGATCTGTAAATAAAAGAAAAATAATTTCTGGCCACTTCAATTATGGCATAAGTTTTGGTTATCTGACACCTACCCTCACCCTCTCCCCAACAAAAATGTGTAGTCACTACTTTATCCTCAAGAGCCTGGCACAGAGTAGGTGCTCAAAAAATAGTCATTCACTGGAAAGCAAACAAGACAATGGATGAAGCCAGCAAAATGGACCACGTTCACAATTTGATGGAAATTGGGTATTTTATTATGTAATCAGAAGAAAGAAATGATAAAATAGACTAATTGCCAATTATAGGGAAAAAACAGTCCCAATTGTCCCCTGTTATTAAAGTTTAATTAATAACTTACTCCTGTGTTGCAGAAGAAGAGGTACCTATGAATTTCTGTAGCAACTAAGGCAGAATTCAAATTGGCTGTCACACAGAGACATTGTAATGGAACAAAACTGAAAGTTCTACAAGGATTTCTAATTCTCAACCAAAATATTCATGGAAATCTGGGGGTGATCTGGCTCATTTGACTTTTCCAGGTTCATATCTTTTTTCTCCACGTTTCATCCCCGTCTGCACCACGGGATTCCCTTTTCTTGTTTAAGCAAATCATTTCTCTTTGATGAAACTCTTCCTTGCTCCAGTGCACTAAAGCCTTCAGGACTCTGACAGTAGTTGGAATAGTTCACAAGCCAAAAAAACCAGAGATTTTTATCTCCAGGACAGTTGCAGAATTCTCCAATTTTTTTTAAAATGTGTATTTTTTTCATTGACTGCAGTCTAATAAAAGGCTTCAGGGACTGGCAGGCTGAGCCATCGAGGCAGCCAAGACCATAACGATGGAGCACTGCAGATTCCCAAAAGCATCCCTGAGTTGAGAGAGCTGCATTCAGCTTACAATTCTAGTTTAATGTGATGGAAAGGCTTCCCACTGTAAAAGGCACAAGATGAAGCATTGCATACAGGAACTGGCTTATATTTTAGCTTGATATTTTTTAACTCTGCTTTTTGGTGAATGCTCTTGTTAAGGACGAGGAGATGGTTTGAAGCGATAGAAAAAAGGAGCTCCTGGCTGGGCACAGTGGATAATGCCTGTAATCCCAGCGCTTAAGGCGGGAGGATTGTTGGAGCCCAGGAGTTTGAGAACAGCCTGGGCAAAATTGCAAGACCCCATCTCTACAAAAAAAAAAAAAAAAAAAAAAAAAATAGCCAGGTGTGGTGGTGCACACCTGTAGTCCTAGCTACTCGGGAAGCTGAAGTAGGAAGATCATTTGAGCTCAGGCGTTCAAGGCTGCAGTGAGTCATGATCACGCCACTGCACTCCAGCCTGGGCAATGGAGTGAGACCCTGTCTCAAAATAAATAAAGAAAAAGAAAAGAAAGGAACTCCCATCAGGAGTCTTGTCTCATTTACCTTTGTGACCACAAGGGAGGAAGAAGTCCCTGGGGAGTCAGACAGGTATGATACCTGATCTTGGCCATCCTCACCTGAGGCCGGTGACTTCAGGCAAGGCATGTGCCCTCTCTGAGTAGCTGCTTCTTTGGGCCTCAGTGACCTCATCTGTAAAATGAGGGTATGACATTTCTGGCACATTGAGACTCCTTGTAAAGTTCAAAAGAGGAAATAGAGGTGAAAGCACTTCAAAAATTTGAGGCACTCCAGACAGGTGAGGTGATGATGGAACATTCAGACTAGGTTTTATGTGGCCAGACCTGCCTGCTCCCTTCTCTTCTGCAAGGTCCAGGGACAGAGTGGAACCTGCTCACCACCTGCCCGGCACCTGAACATGGCCTGTGGGAGCTTTCATCCTGAAGGAGTCTGTATCAATTGCTTGGTGTTTTTTTGTTTGTTTGTTTTTTTCTGAGATGGAGTCTTGCTGTGTCGCCCAGGCTGGAATGCAGTGGCGTGATCTCAGCTGACTTTAACCTCCCTCTCCTGGGTTCAAGCAATTATCTGCCTCAGCATCCCGAGTGGCTGGGATTACAGGCACCAGCCACTGCGCTAGGCTAATTTTTGTATTTTTAGTAGAGACAGGGTTTCACCATCTTGGCCAGGCTGGTCTTGAACTCCTGACCTCTTGATCCACCCACCTCGGCCTCCCAAAGTGCTGGGATTATAGGCGTGAGCCACCATGCCCAGCCAATTACTTGTTGTTTGTTAGTGAAAAGTATAATATTATTAATAATTATTAATATTACCATTTATAGAGTGTGTCCTCTGCCAAGCATTTTATACATCTTATCTCATGTGAGCCACCCAGCCCTGGGAAGTGAGTGTGCTTTTAGTATCTCCATTTTCAGACAAGAAAACCAAGGGTCAAGAGAAGTGAGGTAACCTATACAAGGTCACACAGTAGTATAGAGCAGAGCTGGGATTTAAGTCCAAGTCTGTGCTCTTGACCCTGACACTTCTTAAATAATACACTGTACTTTAAAAAGTAATAATATGGAATGCTAACAGTGCACTAGGCAAAATTATCTCCATTTTACAGCAGCTACTCAGAGAGGATACATGACTTGCCTAAAGTCACCAGCTAGTTAGAGGGCAGGCCAGCATCAGATATCATACCTGTCTGACTCCCCAGGGGCTGCTCCCAACCACCGCCCTACGCCGAGGGGCTGAGTGGCCAGCTGCACCCAGTATTATCCCTCTGCCTAAAGCAAGAGTGACCAAAATTTCAAATTCTGGAATTTAAGGACTCCTCAATGAGTTTGCATAATCCCCTGTCCAGGCCACTCTTACCAGAAGCACCAACGCTTTTTTGAGTGATCCTACTCTACCCTCCCCACCCTTCAGAAATACTGTTTAAGAGGAAGTCTAAGAAACAGCTTTGAGATAGGGACACGGGGGAAAATATTTGGTTCCCTGGATACAGCCTCAAGTGTTGGTTGAGATTTCCTCTCACAAGACACGTTCGTTCCTTCTGATGGAGGCAGAACGGAACTGAGATTAGAATAGAGCAGGAACAGAAGTGGGAGAAACTTGCCGACAGAGCATAATGACATGTGCTCAAATCTGCTTGTGAATGAAAAAGTTGGAAACATCTTCCACCGGTGCTTTAAGGTCATGGCAGCCTCCTTCAGCAGGGAAAAGATTCCAGAAAGATAGCAGCAACACAACTGGGAGGCATCTAGCAATTCAGCGGCAAAAGAGGCCGGGCGTGGTGGCACACGCCTGTAATCCCAGCACTTTGGGAGGCTGAGACAGGAGGATCACTTAAGCCCAGGAGTTCAAAACCAGCCTGGGCAACATAGTGAGACCCTGTCTCTATTATAAAATACATAGATAAGGAAAAAAAAAAGGCGGCCAGGCACAGTGGCTCACGTCTGTAATCCCAGAACTTTGGGAGGCTGAGGCGGGCAGATCACGAGGTCAGGAGTTCGAGACCAGCCTGACCAACATGATGAAACCCTGTCTCTACTAAAAATACAAAAATTAGCCAGGTATATTTCCGCACACCTGTAATCCCAGCTACTCAGGAGGCTAAGGCAGGAGAATCACTTGAACCCAGGAGGCAGAGGTTGCAGTAAGCCGAGATCACCCCATTGCACTCCCGCCTGGGTGACAGAGTAAGACTCCGTCTCAAAAAAAAAAAAAAAAAAAAAAAAGGCAAAAGAATCAAAATATAATGTTGTATACCTTGAATATATATAATATTAAAAAAAAAAAAAGACAAAGGAGTCACTCAGCTGCCAATGGGACCTTCAAAGTAGAAATGGGTAGAAAATTCAGAAGGAGAGCAGGAGATGGAAATGAAGGAAAATCAACTCATTTGTTCATTCCACAAATATTTGTCGAGCCCCAGGATGAGCTAAGCACTGTCTTAGGGGCTAGGAAAACACCAGGAAATGAAACAAATCTCTGCATTTGTGGAACTTACATTCCAGTGGCAAAAGAGCTGGAAAGGCAAATGACACAGAGGATCTGATATGAGAGTTGCCATCCAAGGTCAGGAGACCTTCATCAGTGAGCTATGCACTGTGGATTTCTTGAAGTATAATAATAAATTTATTTTTAACTTTTAGGTTTGGGAGGTTCATGTGAAGGTTTGTTACACAGGTAAACTCGTGTCATAGGGGTTTATTGTACAGATTATTTCATCACCCAGGTATAAAGCCCAGTACCCAATAATAAATTATAACAAATCCCGGCACTTTGGGAGGCTGAGGCAGGCAGATCACCTGAGGTCAGGAGTTTGAGACCAGCCTGGTCAACATAGTGAAACCCCGTCTCTACTAAAAATACAAAAAAAAATTAGCCAGGCCTGGTGGCGGGCGCCTGTAATCCCAGCTACTCGGGAGGCTGAGGCAGGAGAATTGCTTGAACCCAGGAGGCAGAGGCTGCAGTGAGCCAAGATCACACCATTGCACTCCAGCCCAGGTAACAGTGTGAGACTCCATCTCAAAAAAAAAAAAAAAAAAAAAAAAAAAAATTAGCTGGGCATGGTGGTGCATGCCTGTAGTCCCAGCTACTTGGGAGGCTGAGGTAGGAGAATTGCTTGAACCCGGGAGGGAGAAGTTGCAGTGAGCAGAGATTGCGCTACTGCACTCCAGCCTGGGTGACGGAATGAGACTCTGTCTCAAAACATAAAAATAAAAATAAAGAAATAAATTATAATAGTCACCTTTATGTTGGCCTCTGTTCGCCAAGTTCTATGCACAACAACCCTGGAAGGTATTAGTAAATCTATTTTAGAGATTTAAAATAGTAAGTCCTACTAAAGTTAAGTAAGCTGGGCTTCAAACAGAATTCTCTGTAAACCTGAAGCCTCTGTTTGTTCATCTTTATCACGTGGTCTCTCAACGGCCTCCACATCCTGAGTGTTCTGACCATCACTTTCTCCACTGGTATGCTGGTAAATGTTTCTCAGCTGTTACTGGAAAGTGGTCCTGATCCAGAGCCCAAGAGTTCTTAGATCTCGAGCAGGAAAGAATTTAGGATGAGTCCATAGAGTAAAGTGAAAGCAAGTTTATTAGAGAAGTAAAGAAACAAAAGAATGGCCACTCCATAGGCAGAGCAGCACCGAGAGCTGCTAGATGGCTATTTTTATGATTATTTCTTGATCATATGCTAAACAAGGGGTGGGTTATTCATGAATTTTCCAGGAAACAGGCAGGCAGTTCCCAGAAGTGAGGGTTCCTTCCCTTTTTAGACAATATAGGGTAACTTCTGGATGTTGCCATGGCATTTGTAAACTGTCATGGTGCTGGTGAGAGTGTCTTAAAGCATGCAATTGCATTATAATTAGTGTATAATGAGCAGTGAGGACTACCAGAGGTCTTTTTTCATCACCATCTTGGTTTTGGTGGGTTTTGGCTGGCTTCTTTGCTGTGTCCTGTTTTATCAGCTGAGTCTTTATGACCTGTATCTTGTGATACCAGCCCTGCTGACCTCCTATCTCATCCTGTGACTAAGAATGCCTGACCTCCTGTGAATGCAGCCCAGTAGGTCTCAGCCTTATTTTACCCAGGTCCTATTCAAGATGGAGTCACTCCAGTGCAAACACCTCTGACACAACCAGCTCTGGGGAAAAAGGGACACTGATTTGCAACACTTGCCATTTTCTGTGGTGTAAATACTCTCACCTTGACTGACTTACTGATCTGGGAAGAGACGAGCAGTAGCATATCATTAAATGGTGTTACTTCCATGCAGATTCAATAACCACAAGAGCAAAGGTCATAGTAAATGTAGTAAAACAATTGGAAAGTGAAGAGTTTTATTACCTTTGCTTTTAATGCGATTTATTTCATTGTAAGTTCATATTAGTTGTACCTAACAACCAGCTTGAAAATGGGACAGTGGGCTTTCGTGAGTGGCCAAGAGCCAGCTCTCCACCACCATTCTGTCTCTCAAAAGATCTTTCCTCCCAGTTATGTTCCCTGGTGCTTGCCAATAAATCTTTTTTTTCTTAACTCCTTTTTCATATTTCTATGTTCTCCTGACCTGTGGCTTCCAGTTTTGTTGTTTTGTTTTAATCGTTGAATCCCACATTGGCTTCAAAAAGAGTCTGAATCCCATTTAAAAACACAGCCTGCATTAGGTGACAAGGAAGCTTCATGACTAAATAATATAAGCCTGTAAGTTGAGAGGAAATATTTCTTCTGTGACAGTGAAACAAGTCCTGGATGTTAAGATTAAGAATTTTTCTATATGTCCCAAATGAGTTTGACTTTTCTGTTTTTACAATTTGGTGATGCTTTTCTAAAACCCTTACCCAAATATGATGTTTCTACCAACAAATCAGAGATAGGCTAGGACTCTGGACCTAATACAATCCGTTTGTTTTAATTATAAACTCCCTAAGGAGGACTTATTTCAGCCTCTACCTATACATGAGTCACAAAAAATAAAGAGACTTGGAAAAGCATAAATCAGAGACATTCTAACAGGGTTGACGAAAAATTGAAACATGAAAACCCTGAGAGTAAGCATGTACTCCATAATTAATGTAAAGTTGATTCTGATTTTCTAATTAATTTTTGCTAATTCTTAGGTTCTCAGGACGATGTATGTGATTTGTTTGCTTTGTGAGTGGCTTCCATTGAGCCCAGGATTTCCAAATGTATTATACCGTGAATAGGCAATACCTAGAATATCTTTAAATTACAAGTACTGCAGTTTATTTTCAATATCTCTTCACACAAGTTACACTTGAGACTTTTAAGTCTTTGAAAGACGCAGTACTTTTTTACTCCTTCCTACAGGTTGTTTTTCACGGGAAAAGAGAAAACTGACAGTTGGCAAAGCAAAAAGTTTCCAAACCACAGGGTGTCTGCTGCTTGCATACTCACTGAAGCCAAAATTTCCATTTTCTACAAGGCAACTGGAGAACTTTCATTTCTGGTTAACCTGAACTGCAGATGAAAATGAAAATCCCCCCACCCCCAACCCACAGGCTGTGCTCTCAGCTTTTCTTAGTTCCATTTTTGTGACTTTTCCTGTTTACAGTATCTGTGCCCTCCCATTTTTTTGTTTTTTTATTTTTGACTCATTGATACTGTACCATGACGTCTAAAAATACAGCCTAACAACTGGTTTTAAGCAACGAGGCTGTTTCTTTCTGGAGAGGAACAGCAGAAATATCCTGCATGTTTTTCTGAAAATAAACATTTGACAGTCTCTTCTTGGTGCCTAACATGAGTTTCTAATTGGAAAAGCACAGTCAGAATATAAAGAGAATCTTGCTTTTCACTGAAGTTTCTTCCATGTAGATATATACCCTGATTTTTCCCTCTCATGTTGTTTGTTGAGCACCTTTTTGAGCTTGGCCTAGCCCCTTATAAACTGTGGGACCTCAGACAAGTCATTCTCAACTTCGTGGAATCTCAGATTATGGAAACTATCTGCTTCACAGGTAGGTTTGAGAGCTCAATGGGGAAAATGTATGTAAAAGCAGATGGCATAGGCAAAGCCATGAACACATATTAACTTGCATTTTATGGAGATGAGAACAAAGGAATGATCTGGTCACAATCAGATAAGGTGTTAGAGTTTACCACCTTCCTTCCCCAGATTTGGACATATGGACAGCTAAAAATGGTGGTTGTAAGTTAGTCTGTTGATTATCACTAGAAAAAATCAGATTGAATGAATCCCCAGCTATTAGGTTTTTGGGTCTCTCCAGGGTTTAACTGGCGGGTTGATTGTCAACTTAAACATGACAGCTTAGTGTCTTAATAATGTAGAAGAGGCTGGGCATGGTGGCTTATGCCTATAATCCCAGCACTATGGGAGGCCGAGGCGGGAGGATCACTTGAGCCCAGGAGTTCAAGACTAGCCTAGGCAACATAGTGAGACCTTATCTCTACAAAAAAAAAAAAAAAAAATTGATTAGCCAGGCATGATGGTGTGCACCTGTAGTTCCATTTACTTGGGAGGCTGTGGTGGGAGGATTGCGTGAGCCCAGGAGGCTGAAGCTACAGTGAGCTATGGTCCACTCCAGCCTGGGTGATAGAGAGAGAGACCTTGTCTCAAATAATAATAATCTAGGAAAACTTTTTTCTTGAGAGAAGTACGCACTTAAGCAAATTAAAATAACCATTTCTGGAGAACAGGATAGTACTCAATAGCTTAGACATTATTTCCACTAATAATAGTACTCACGGCACTAGGGTAAGGATAAACTGGTAATACATGTCAAGCACTTAGCACAGACTCTAACACCTAACCTATACTCAATAAATGGTGTATTACTGATGATACAATTATCATCTGTGCTTTAAGGTAGAGTTTATAATCAGTTCAACCTGCCTTAATACAAGAGGCAAACCCAAATGAGACTGATTTTTTATCCTTTCCATTTCATAGGGGCAGAAACTGAGATTTAGAGAGATACCATGATATTCTCTTAGGTAAATAGCAGGGCTGGGACACAAACTCAAACCTCGTGACTCTAAATCCTGTGTGCTTCTCATTGACACTAGGCTGGTGTCTCCTGATGGCCTTCAGCTCCAGGCTTAATAAGTTGCTTTGCTTCTTTATTTTTCTTTCTTCCTTTAAAACCTGGCTTTTCTTTTCACCAGACTTATCAGATCAGGCTAGAATCTGATAAGGGATTGTCATTTATGAGAATGCCCTCCCCAGGGAATGTCTGCCCGAAGCTGGCTGGAATTGCCTGCCAGGTTGGCATTAGAGCTGCAGCAATGGCCGTCCATTGACTGGCCAGCCTTTCTTGTTTACTTTCTCCCAACCTCTGTAAGGCAGAAAGGAGCATGCAGTTAAATGTTTAGAAAACACCATCAGCCCTCCAGTCTCTACTGGGAGCCACTTGACCAAGAGCAGTGGTCCAATATAAGTTCTCTCCATCAATTAATTTCTTTTCTTTCTTTCTTTCTTTCTTTCTTTCTTTCTTTCTTTCTTTTTTTTTTTTTAGACAGTATCTCACTGTTGCCCAGGCTGGAGTACAGTGGCACAGTTATGGCTCACTGCAACTCGAAACACCTGGGCTCAAGTGATCTTCCTGCCTCAGCCTCTCAAGTACATAGGACTACAGGTACACGCCTGGCTAATTTTTTGTAGAGACAGGGTCTTACCCTGTTGCTCAGGCTGATCTCAGACTCCTGGGCTCAAGCAATCCCCCCCCGCCTCAGCCTTCCAAAACATTAGGGTTACAGGAGGGAACCACCACATCCGGCCTTCTCCATCAATTTCCTCATTTCTCGTGCTTCCTGGGTAAAGAGAAGTGAGTTTTGCACATGCTTAGAACTCAATTCCATTGCCAGTTTATCTACTTCAGAGCCCTTATTATCTGAAAATATCATATTTGTTTAATTGTTACTAGTTTCTTTTTTTCTCCTCACCTCTAAAGCAGTTGTTCTCAAAAGAGGTGATTTTGCGTCCCAGGGGACATTTGGCAAGGTCTGGAGACATATGGGGGAGGATCTACTGACATCTAGTGGGTAGAGGTCAGGGATGCTGTTTAGCACCCTATAGTGCCCAGGACTATGCTCCGCAATAATGAGTTATCTGGCTGCAAATACCAATGAAGTTGAGAACTGTAGGACAAGCTCCAGAGATAATGCCCTTTCAGTCTTATTGGCTGGTATATAATAGTGCCAAGAACAGTGCTTGCACTTAGAGAGTGCTCAGCACATATTGGTTAAGTGAATGAATGAACACATAATCCAGAGCTTTTCCACACTGAATTAATTACATGTGTGCTAGGCTACATCTTAAGCCCAGAGTAATATGGAGTCAGGTCCAGGAGGCCACATAACTGACAAATATCATCCTGTACCCTGAGTGTTCACATATGCATGACACAGCCATGGAAGCATCCCAACAGGTGGAGATTAATTCCATCCTGACTGCCCAAGGAAGATCAATAGCAAACATAGACACCATTTTTAGCAGCTGCCCATATTTCATCAGTGTGGGGCCAGGAAGTAGCCAAGGGATGGTGATTGTAAAACCTTTCTCTTCTTCTGGCCTTGCTTCGAGACAGTGGCCTGAACCAGCCAACTCTGGTTTGGTGAGTCTGGATCAAGCTTTTCAGAGCAGTGTTAGGCTTCGCAATCAAGGTGATACATTAAGTGCCTAAACTACATGTGATTTAATATATAGGATGTATGAGATAGGAAATACTTTGTACTGAAGTAATATAGCCCTTAAGAGCATGGATTCTGGAGTCAGAACACCTAGGTTTACATCCTACTCTGCCTCTTCCTGGCCCTATGACCTTGTAAGGTGGGTCAGCCATGTACCTTTTCTGAGCCTCAATTTTCTCATCCATAAAATGAAGCTAGTAATGGAATCCACCTTACAGAGTTCTTATGAAAATTCATTTAAAACGCATATATATATATATATATATATATATATATATATATATATATATACACAGAGAGAGAGAGAGAGAGTTGGGTTTTTGTTTTGTTTTTTTGAGACAGAGTCTCGCTGTGTCGCCCAGGCTGGAGTGCAGTGGTGCGACCTCAGCTCACTGCAACCTCCACCCACTGGGTTCAAGCAATTCTGCCTCAGCCTCCCAAGTAGCTGGGATTACAGCATGCGCTACCATGCCGAGCTAATTTTTTTGTATTTTTAGTAGAGAGGGGGTTTCACCATATTGGCCAGGCTGGTCTCAAATTCCTGACCTCAGGTGATCTGCCCACCTCAGCCTCCCAAAGTGCTGGGATTACAGGCATGAGCCACCACGCCCGGCCATAAAAGGCCCTTTGTATATAAATGAAAGGATTTGGGATAGTTATCAGGCACACAGTCAGCAGCTGTTATCTTTGTTAGCATTTCTCTTAAGGCATGTTACTCAATTACTCAATTTCAGCTTTGGCAAACTGAATTCTCCTCTTCTTTGTCATTCCTCCCCTCTTCCCTCATTTCATTTTCCTTTCCTCCTTTGCTTCTTTTACACTGCCTGCTTTTCTCCCTCCCTCATTGTCTTTTTCCTTCTCCACTTCCAGTGAACCTGCAAGAGATGTACAGGAGTCCTACTTTGGTACGACTGATGGAACCTGAGATTCTACCCAACTTTATCACTGTATGACCAGGCACCACTTAACCTCTGTGCACTTCAGTTTGGTCATCTATGAAATCTAAACAGAAATCTCATGCCCATAACCCCATCACTTCAAGAGGCCAACGTGGGAAAAAATTGCTTGAGTCCAGGAGTTCGAGACCAGCCTGGGCGATACAGCAAGACCCCATCTCTACAAAAAAATAGAAAAAGTTAGCCAGGTGTGGTGGCACATGCCTGTGGTCCCAGCTATTCAGGAGGCTGAGGTGGGAGGACTGCTTGAGCCCAGCAGGTCGAGGCTGCAGTGAGTCATGTTCATGCCACTGTACTCCAGCCTGGGCAACAGAGCAAGACCCTGTCTCAAAAAAAAAAAAAAAAAAAAGAGAGAGAGAAAAATCTAAACAATGACTCTCCCTGGTAGGGTTGTTAGCAACATGAAAGAAGTCACTACACATGTGAAGCACTCCATACTCGTGTGACATGTAGTAAGTGTTTGCTAGAAGCTAGGAGAATCATTTATTGACACTTAAAAAAGAAGTCTCCAGTGATTGCACATTGGGAGGGTAGGCACTGTCTTGAAAGAACTTGAGGGAAAATCACAGCTGACTCCATTTGGAGACATCTGTGTCAGTCTAGGCCATTCTCTGAACGGGAGTGTCAATAGCTCATATTCAGTCAACACCCAGAGATGATATAAAGGGGCCCTGTTCAGCTAGGGTTGACATCATTAGGGTGAAATATAAAACTCCATCCACTCAATAGATCCCAAAGTAAGAACGTCCTAGATACATCCTTCTCCCGCTCTCCAGTTCCTCCAGAATATCTCATCTGATGAGGAGTTTAATAACACACCTTGTTCTCTGGGTGGAAAGAGTGTTTTTTATGTGTGAGTTTTTCTGGGCCAGGGCTTGGGAGTTGCCTGGAAAATCCTCGCTTTGGATTGTGCTCTGTCTGTTTAAATCATTTGTGAGCCAGACGCAATGGCTCACAGCTGTAATCCCAGCACTTTGGGAAGCCAAGGCAGGAGGACTACTTGAGCCTGGGGGTTGAAGACAAGCCTGGGCAACATAGTGAGATCTCCATCTGTACAAAAAATTAGCCAGGTGTGGTGGCACTTGCCTATAGTCCCAGCTATTCGGGAGGCTGACGTGGAAGAATCACTCAAGTTGGGGAAGTCAAGACTGCAGTGAGTCATGGTTGTGCCACTGTACTCCAGCCTGGGTGACAGAGTGAGACCCTGTGTAGAAAAAAAAAAAATCATTTGTGAATGTATTTCAGTGTTAGCTGTGTCTGGGTTCTGAACAGTTAAGACATTTCTTAACTCAGCAGATATTTATATACCACGGTCTCACCGTGTGCCAGGCACTGTTCTAGGCCCTGCGGAGACAGTGGTGAACAAAGCAATAAAGCTCTTAGACAGTTTTGGACCACTGTAGGGCTCAATTGGAATTATGGAACCTGCCTAGATAGCTGGGTTTTCACCCTTCCAGATGGCAGATTTCACTCTAGAAGGTGACCGCACAGAAAATCCTGAGGAGGCATTTTTATGAAGCAGGCCCTTTCTCACTAGGCTTTCGAAAAGGTCAAAAGGAATAAGGGAGAGAGAGAGAAGAAAAATTTTTAAAAAGGCTTGCTGCTTCCTTACCAATTTCATATGTTTCTGTTCCAAAGAACAACTAAAGCAAAGCCGAAGTAGGCTACGATTTTGGTCTTTTTTTGTAGCTATTTCCTGTTGCCTTGTAAGACGACCCCGTTGTTATGAGTGGTTCCATACTGCCCTGTCTTGAATTGCCTTTTGGTTTCTTACCAACCCACTCTCCTCTCTCATCTCCTAAACCAGGCAGTGGGATTGGGGGCCAGGGTGGGGGAGTGTGTTCTCATAAAGACTTGAACCCCACTATGGGCTGCCGCATCAGGGCCCTCTTTGAAACCAGAGGTCTGGCTTATAGCCAATTCTTACTTCCCTTCTGATCTTCCTCATTTAACCACTGACCAGATGGACAAAGTCTTTCCACCAGTAATCAGCACTTGCACTCTGAGGACTGACTCTTACCAGCTGGGGAGCAAACAGGCCAGCTGGAGACCGAGGTGGGAGTTTTAATCCAACACATGTAATTTTTGCCTTCGAATTCCTGGGGTTCCATGAGGGGAGAAGGTAGCGGGAAGGGGATCAAGTCAGAGTAGATGTGAAGAGAAGCTTTCCAAAGAGATCGTTTTTTAAATATGTTTTTTATTTCATCTGAAGCATTGCTGCTATTAGCTGCCACTAGGTAGGGGTCAATTCTGAAACTATTCTGATGGTCTCTGGGGGTTCAGAAATGATCCTATATTTGTAAATATAATCATTGTGCTCCACATACAGCTCTTTTCAAATATAACTCCTGTTTTTTTGTTTTTTGGTTTTTGCTTTTAGAGACAGGGTCTTGCTGTATTGCCCAGGCTGGTCTTGAACTGCTGCTGGGCTCCAGCGATCCTCCTGCCTCAGCTTCCCGAGTAGCTGGGACTACAGGCACACACCACAATGCCCGGCTAATTTCTTAATTTTTTGTAGAGATGGTTTCTCACTATGTCGCCCAGGTGGGTCTCAAACTCCTGGGCTCAAACAATGCTCCTGCCTCAGCCTCCCAAGGTGTTGAGATTACAAGAGTGAGCCAACACACCTGGCCCAGGTCAGGTTTTAAGGTAAATTTAAAATTCCCAGTTGGGGTTTTATTTTTTTCTGTTTGTTGTTATAATTTTTAAAAAAAATTTTTTAATTGACACGTTGGGGAAAAAGTTCATTTGAATAATATGGTATTTATTACATGAGTAACCTTGTTCAGGTCACTTACGCTGTAGCCTGGGAGTCAGAGTCCTGACTTTTAAGCCCAGGTCTGGCATTAACTAGCTGTGTGGCTTTGGGCACATCCATTCCTTAGTTTCCCCATGTTTCAAATAAGCAGTGGTTAATAGATACCGTCTAAGATGCTTTCTATTTATAAATTCCGCAGTTCTAACTACTTCTATTCAAATTATGTTTTTCTGGAAGTGAAATGAGTTTTCATGCCTGCTTCATGATTCTTTGTTTTTGTTTTTCTACCCACTCATCTGATCCATCGAAAATGGGCTGCGTGGGAAGTTTTCTCACCATTTGTCACTTTACAGTGTGTGTAGTACCATCTGTATTGCTAAGTGGTTAAGTGCTTTGGGCTTTGAATTTGGATCTGGTTCTGCCACTTATGAATTTTGTTATTTATCATCTCTCTAACATCAGTTGGAGTGCTAAGAGTACCCACCTCATGTAAGCATCATGAGAATTGATTATGTAAAGTGCTTAGTGCAATACCTGGAATATAGAAAGTGCCTAGGAGTGATATTATTGATATAATTAAAGTGCCTCGCTGGGTGCCAGGCACACAGAAGACACTCAGAAACCAGTGGTTCCTTCTCTTTCTTTATTTCCCCTACAGCAGCTCTGGAGAATTTTTCTGCCATATGCTTGTTAAGTGACTTGTTAACTTTACCTGTTATTTATCTTCTTTAAAATGGGTCAGTAATATTCCTCCCATTAAAAATGTGTTTTTTTAAATAGGAAAATATATAGATTACAGAAAAGCGTAGCTGTCAGTTTTCAAACAAATGGGGACTACAATAATTGTGGGCCTCAGAAGTGGCTGATTTTATTCTGAGTTTCAGATTAAATGCTGTCAGGACATTTCTTATAAGGCTCAGAAAGGTCAAGTAATTTCTCTAAGGTAGCACAGCTAGTAAGAGATAAACTATGCTTTCGATCCAGAGTATAACTGCATTAGAACTCCTGTGCAAGTTACATCACTTGTCAGGCCTTAATTTCCTGGTGGTTAAAATGAGGATGCCCCCTTGATAGGTTTGTGTAGAGGTTGAAATTCTATACATTAATGAGTGTTAAATGTCAAGCACTTTGCCCGGTCCACAGCAGGGTTTGTGTTTGTTTTGGTTGTGTCTCTTCGCTGGCACCACTTCAATCAGGGTTTGCTCACTCAGATGACAGAACTCATCACACCTCCCAGGAGCCTGGCAGGTCATACATACATTTGGGTGAACCAGAGACCACAAAGCTCATCGGAATAGAGAACTACTCTGCCCTGCCCTTGCCAAATATTGCCATGGAAGAAATCAAGCCCAGAATTTCCAGGTCTTACCATTTGTCAAAAGAAGCTGTCAATCTGGATTTTTTAATTATGTGGCATTACCTGATTTCTAATATTATCAACTAATATTTATTCATAAGCACTGTTGTGGTGAACAAAATACATCCATCACTTTTCCACCTCCAATTTAAATAAGTGACAAGGGCAGGCCTTTCTGTTGCTAGCGAGCATCAAATCAGCCCCCTGACCTATCAGCAGAGCCATCTTTCCACATGCTGAACACCATGTGTGCTGCGCGGACATGTAACCCTGGTGTTTTTCTCTCTAGTTCATCTGTGCTACCCTCTCCAGCCTGCCCTGTGTGGTGTTCCACCAAACCCTCAGGTGTTTGTTCATGCCCCCTCCCCAGATGTCAGCCTCTCTTGGTTGTTGTATTGTCATCGATGGGCGCCTCAGTGATTATGAGTAGATGACTTTCTCGTATTAATGACATCATTTGGAGAGTCTATGCTTTGGAACTCTTTTGCTTTGGTTTTGGCATGGAAATTTGTGGAGTCTTATAAAGATGCTTTTAGTTGCAAGAAGCAGAATCCGGCTGGGTACTATCGCTCACATCTATAATCCCAATACTTTGGAAGTCCAAGGCGGGCAGGTTGCTTGAGCCCAGGAGATCCGTACCAGCATACGCAAGATAGTAAGATCCTGTCTCTGCAAAAAAATATATAAAAATTAGCCAGGCATGATGGCATGTACCCATAGTCCCAGCTACTCAGGAGGTGGAGGCAGGAGGATCACTTGAGCCCAGGAGGTCGAAGCTACAGTGAGCCACCTTTGTGCCTCTGCATTCCAGCCTGGGTGACAGAGTGAGACTATCTCAAAAATAAATAAATAAAGCAGAATCCTCCCTCTTAGCTTAAGAGAGGGAAAAAAATGGATTTGTTAAAGGAATACAGGGTGTTTCATGAAACTCAAGGACAAAAATTCACCCGGATCAGTGAAAAGGACTATAAGTGACTGGAAAACATTAGGAACCCTGACAACAAATCTGTTAAGCTTGTCTTCTTAGGCCGCATGATTTCTCTTGCCTCCTTTTTTTTTTTTTTTTTTTTTTTTGAGTTGGTGTCTTGCTCTGTCACCTAGGCTGGAGTGCAGTGGCACGATCTTGGCTCACTGCAATCTCCGCCTCCTGGGTTCAAGCAATTCTCCTGCCTCAGCCTCCCAAGTAGCTGGGATTACAGATGCACACCACCACACCCAGCTAATTTTTGTATTTTTTTAGTAGAGACAAGCTTTTACCATTACCATGTTGGCCAGGCTGGTTTAGAACTTCTGACCTCAAGTGATCCTCCTGCCTCGGCCTCCCAAAGTGCTGGGATTACAGGCGCTAGCCACTGCACCCAGGTCTTTTGCCTCCTTCTAGCTACTTGTCTCCCTCATTCTTTCTGCAGGTGGCTTTCCTTTTCTCCACACACACAAAATGGCTGCCCATAAACAACCAAGTTTTTATCCTCTCAGACCCAATTCCAGATTCCCTGGACTGAGGTTCTGATTGGCCCAGCTTGAGTCAAGTATCTATCCCTTGCCCAATCAACTGAGGACAAAGGGGCAGGACCAAGTAAAACCTAGCCACCAATGCCTAAGTTTGTCATGAAATGGTTAGGCACATCAAAAAGATATCTACAGTTGAATAGTCTAGAATAAAATTATCTGTTGCTAAAAGGAATATTGACTAATATGAGGGAGTTCCAAAGCAAAATGGAAAGGCAAAAAAAGATGATTTTTTTTTTGAGGCGGAGTTTCGCTCTTGTTGCCCAGGCTGGAGTGCAGTTATGCAATCTCACCTCAGCCTCCCAAGTAGCTGGGATTACAGGCAACTGCCACCACGCCTGGCTAATTTTTTGTACTTTTAGTAGAGACAGCGTTTCACCATGTTGGCCAGGCTGGCCTTGAACTCCTGACCTCAGGTCATCCACCAGCCTTGGCCTCTCAAAGTGCTGAGATTACAGGTGTGAGCCAACACACCCAGCCTGATTTTTTAAAGTCAGGAAATAAACTTATTTGGATTATGGGACAACAGAGTAGCTTTAAATATTTTCTCAATTATGACATATTCCTTAATGGATTAATACTGTGTGATCTTTTGAGCATTATTTTTTTATATCTTTCTGTAGGGCCTACACCTAGGATTAGCTTTTGAAGGTTGTTTTACAAAAGAAGTAAAGTGATTTAAACTGACACATTTATTTATTTCTCTCTTAATTATATCCTCCTCTGGTATAGAAATACTGACACATTTTATTTCTCTCTTAATTATTTCCTCCTCTGGTATAGAAAAGCAGAAAAAAAAGATGACTTTTTTTTTTTTTTAGTTAGACATTAATTCAAATCTTGACTTGGCTGTTTTCTTGCCTATGTAACTTTGAGTAAATTACCATAAACTCTGTACCTCAATTTCCTGTCTGTAAAATGGGGATGTTGCCATGTTGTAAACTTTTGCAGAGCTTTACTGAGATAATACATGTAAAAAGCCCAGCTCAGTGCCTAGAGCTAATAAAGACTTGCTCTGTTTCCCCTTGCCACCCAAGGTGTATATTTGACCTTGGCTTTGCCGAATTAAGGACATAGGCTTAGGCCATGAGACAAAGTAAAGCTTACTCACTTACCTCTTAGCACTACCTCAGTGGTTCCTGTGGGCCACATCTTCATAATACCATGATCTAACCAGCTGAGCTAGTTTTCAGACTCTTAAAGCAGAGTTCGATCAAAACTATAAATTCAATAATTAGTATTTTTCACATTGAAAACAGGTTACTTATCCCAGTCTGAGCCTCAATTTAGCTGTTAAATGGGGATAGTAATACTAATCCCAGAAGGTAACTGTGCCGCTCAGAAATAATGTATATAAAACACTTCATGCAATGCTGAATAGGTTGTTGGTACTCAGTAATGGAGGCTATTTTCTTTTTCAATTAGGTTTATATGTATCTGAGTTCCTAAAACTTATAGTTTTGTACAACGGCTTAGAGCCAAAATGTTGCCCCTGCTTTTCAAAAGTGACCTAGCAATTCCACATCCATGGACAAAGCTAGATGTGCAAAGTTCATGGTGACATTGCTTGTGATAGCAAAAGATTGGAAACAACCTGTTTCTCTTATTCAATTATCGTGTATCCACACAATAATTGATACTATAGAGTCTTTAAAAAGAATGAGGTCCATCTATATGTGCTGACATTGGAAAGATCAACAAGAATCATTGAATTTAAAAAGCAAAAGGCAAAACAGCAAGTGAAGCATAGTCCTACTGAAATTGAAAAAGAAAGAAACAACAACAAAAAATATGTATACACACACATACACGGATAAACACATATACACACATATATATCAAATTTCTGGATGGTTACACTCACACAGAAATATTAAGAGTACTTCATTTGCAAAACAATACATTCAATATAATATGTACTAAAGTAAAATAATATGAAATATTTTAATATGTAAATATATATCTGAAAATACATATAAAAGTGGTCTATGAGGATTCTTAAACTAATAGGATGGTGATTTCTGCAGATAAAATGGTTTGGAACATGAGTTAATCAAGGAGTATCTTGGCATTCTATGCATTGTTTAAGTATTTTACAAAGTTTTTTTAGTATTGCAATTCTGAATAATAAAAAACTAAATATAATTGAAAATGTATGTATCAAACTGTTCTTAACTATATATCTTAACTGTTCTTAACTATGGTGGTGATAGTAAACTATGTTGGTGGACTAAAAGTAGGGGGAGAGTTTCCAAAATGAAGACTTTTCATTTTTATTTTAAGAGATGAGGTCTATGTTGCCCACAGGCTTGGGTGCAGTGGCTATTCACAGGCATGATCCTGGCTCACTACCGTCTTGAACTCCTGGCCTCAACTGATCCTCCCACCTCAGCCTCTTGAGTAGCTGGGACTATAGGTGCATGCCACCATGCCCAGAGAGACGTTAAACACACCAATGAATAAATACTTTTTTTTTCTTTTTTTTGGAAAAGTGTCTCTCTGTGTCACCCAGGCTGGAGTGCAGTGGTACAATCTCAGCTTACTGCAACCTCAACCTCCCAGGCCAAAGGGTTTCTCCCAACTCAGCCTCCAGAGTAGCTGGAACTACAGGCACATACCACCATGCCAGGCTAATTTTTGTATTTTTTGTAGAAAGGGGGTTTCACCATGTTGACCAGGCTGGTCTCAAACTCCTGGCCTCAAGTGATCTACCCTGATTGGCCCCCCCAAAGTGTTGGGATTACAGGCGTGAGCCACTGTACCCAGCTGAATAAAGGCTTTTTTTTTTTTTTGAGACAGAGTCTCGCTGTGTCACTCAAACTGTAGTGTAGTGGTGTGATCTCAACTCACTGCAAACACCACTGCCCAGGTTCAAGCAAATTCTCATGCCTTAGCCTCCTGAATAGCTGGGATTACAAGTGTGCACCACATGCCTGGCTATTTTTTGTAGTTTTAGTAGAGACGGGGTTTCACTATGTTGTCCAGGCTGGTCTCAAACTCCTGGCCTCAAGTGATCTGCCTGCCTCTGCCTCCCAAAGTGCTAGGATTACAGGAGTGAGCCACTGTGCCTGGCTGGCTTTTTTTTTTTTTTTAATAAAACATTAATTCCAGGAAAAATATAGTAGTTTCCTCTGGGATGGAGAGGCTTTTTTTTTTTTTTTTTTTTTTTTTTTTTTTTTTTGAGACGGAGTCTCGCTCTGTCGCCCAGGCTGGAGTGCAGTGGCGCGATCTCGGCTCACTGCAAGCTCCGCCTCCCGGGTTCACGCCATTCTCCTGCCTCAGCCTCCCGAGTAGCTGGGACTACAGGCGCCCGCTACCACGCCCGGCTAATTTTTTGTATTTTTAGTAGAGACGGGGTTTCACCGTGTTAGCCAGGATGGTCTCGATCTCCTGACCTCGTGATCCGCCCGCCTCGGCCTCCCAAAGTGCTGGGATTACAGGCGTGAGCCACCGCGCCCGGCCTTTTTTTTTAAATAAAACATTAATTCCAGGAAAAATATAGTAGTTTCCTTTGGGATGGAGACCTACTTTTCATAGAATAATTTTGTGTGCATTGTTTGAAATTGGTGGACTGTATGGACATTATTTTTGCAATATATTGACTAGCCTGTGCTCTTTGTTCTTCTTTTAAATCCAGTTACTCCCATATAATAAATCTGTTTTTGGCCAAGCCTGTTTATTAACTCAACTAAAGCCATTTTTAGGCTGAGCCCATCTCATATAAAATAAATGATACAACGAGTCCAAAGGTTTGCTTGCCAGCCGTGGCCCTGACACCACTCTTGCTGTCTTGTTCCTGCAGATGACAGAAGGCAGGCACTGCCAGGTGCACCTCCTGGATGATAGGAGACTGGAGCTGCTGGTTCAGGTAGGTGTGGCCCACATGTGTGTTGCCCAGATAAGTCTTGCCCAGGTAGGTTTTACCCTCACGGGGACAGCTCATCCTGGTTCCCTCTCTGAGCCTCATAGTCTGTATTCAGGCTTCTCTGTTATCTTTGCCTCAAAGCCAATGACTCAGAATTGATCAAGGGGAAAAAAACATCTTCGAAGTCAGAAAACTTGGTCCATATGTTAGAGTAATTATAGCCTGGTGACATGGATTCAGAGACACTTGAGTTCCAGTCTCAGCTTGACACTTAATAGCTCTGTGACCCTGGGAAATTGACTTTACTTCTCTGAGTCTCTTGCCGGTAAATTGGGAACCGTAGTACTTCCTGAAAGGATTACTGTGAGGTGAGAATCTGTCTGCCACTGTCCAGCTACATGGCATTGTGCAAGTGAAATACCCAGTTTCATTAGCTGTGAACTGCCTAGGCTTCTCAGAAGAATTATGGTTAAAAATCAAGCTAGATTATATATGTGAGTGAAATCTCTTTGTAAAATATATGGCACTATATAAGTGATGATATAGATAGATATATTTTTTTTTTTCAGACGGAGTCTTGCTCTGTTGCCCAGGCTGGAATGCAGTAGCATAATCTCAGCTCACTGCAACCTCTGCCTCCCGGGTTCAAGTGATTCTCCTGACTCAACCTCTTGAGTACAGGCCACCACCACCTTGCCGGGGTAATTTTTGTATTTTTAGTAGAGACAGGGTTTCACCATGTTGGCCAGGCTGGCCTCGAACTCCTGACCTCAAGTGATCCACCCTCCTCAGCCTCCCAAAATGCTGGGATTACAGGCGTGAGCCTCTGCGCCCAGCCAAGCGATGATATTTTTATTGTTGATGCTTCTCTTTCTATTCACCCAACACTCTGGACCAAGAATCTTTAAAAATTGTGAAAGTCCCTGCGGACGGGCCACACCTACAGCTAGCCTAGAATTTTCTCCTCTAACCAAACCTAAATTCTTTTCTCTTCTGAGGCCTGTCCCTAGCCCACTATGCTTAGGCTTCAATTAGAGTGAAATAGTACAGTCAACAGTAGCTTTGCCCAAGTAGACCTTTAGTCTAGATGTCTGCCTGTTTCTTTTCTTTTTTTCTTTAAATCATGTCCATTTTTATCCCCAACAGCCATCGTAATATACCCTAAGCTGTTTTGCTCAAAGTTCAGAAAGAATCCATCCAGAGTGCCCTCCTGCAAGGATTCCCCTTTTCTTCCCCAGTCCCTCCAAATCCAGCATCAATTATCACTCCAGGCATTCTGGCTGGTTCCAAGCCCATGCTTCTTCTCAGCAGATCCAGAGCTTCCCAAAAGCTTATAGATTACATCCTTCTTCTAACTAGGTGCTCATTACTGTTGATGATGATGTGTGGAATGGGTACAATTTCTCTATCTCAGGAAGGAAAAGCTTAGGCTTTAGAAGGAGACAGACTAGGTTCAAATCCCTGCCCTTACTAACAATGTAACATCAAGCAAGGTGCTTAACTACTCTGGGCCTTGGTTGACTCATTTATAAAATGGAAATAAAAAGCCCTGCCTCATAGCTCATTATAAGGATTAAATGACAATGGGATATAAGTTCAGCATAATAAATAGTAACTATTATTATTATTATTATTAATATTTTCATCAGTAGCCCCACAGCTTTGAGTCTTGGGTTTCTTCAACTGGCCACCAACAAGCAAAATGTTTCCTGCAATCTTTTATATATCACAGATAACCAAGCAGCAAGGTGTTTAATATTCCTTGTCTTGGGCATTAGCACCACGTTACATATAAAAGAGTATTTTTTCCAAAACATCTTAGTAAGTGCACCTTAGAGGGAAAATGTAAGGTACTTGAGTGAATTGCAAATACATGAAAATGATAGTCTCATTGATATTCCTATTCCCATCTCTTCTCCTTCCCACAATTCTTAAAGAATTGTCTATAGTACATCAACCTAATCCACAAACAAGGGCAAGTAATAAAGAAACAAACAAATAAACAAAAGCTACTTTAAATTATTTAGGGCAGAGGAAGGTGGTAGCAGTAAGAGAGAGGCAACCAAATTGCTTCTAACCAGATTTTTATTTTGACAGCCCAAACTTCTAGCAAGAGAGTTGCTGGACCTAGTGGCTTCACATTTCAACCTGAAAGAAAAGGAGTATTTTGGAATAACATTCATAGATGACACGTAAGTCCTTTAATAGTTTTAGTTTCTTTACCTTTTGCCTGGGCTACCTACTTGCTGTCTTCCATAATTAACAAAAAAGGAAATAAGTCCTCCAGCATTCAGAACATGTCCTGCTTAGCTAAAGGTTTTTTAATATGCGATTTTTCTCCTAGGATTATGGCAAAGGGAGAAGAAAAGGGATACTGACCATTTTAGGAACTCAAAATATTGTTCTAAATGTTTTAGAAATGTGTAGTAATGAGTTTGTTATTCCCGATTACAGTGTATCTTCTCATGTCTTTGAATGTGATTGTGCTTGCTAATTTAGCTTATATGGTAGAAATATTAGATATTTACTCACATCTTGAAACTGAGTGGATGTGTTGGTGTTGGTGGCAAGAGAGCTTAAAGGCAAATTTGTGGCCCACTAAAAAACATGTATATAGTTTAATATGGAATGAACTTTTAAACTACCACTTAGGTCCATTTTATGTTGCCTTCTCAACTATCTTTTTCTTTTTTTTTTCACTTTTGCCTTTTATGCTAAGTTGTTGAATGTTGTATATATTTGTCAACAATATATATGCTCCCCAAAACAAGGCAGGTAAATAAAAATAAATTCATGAGAATTTAACACTCTAAGCAAATGTGTTTGGATTTACTAGCTCTTTTCTCTCTCTCTCTCTCTCTCTCTCTCTCTCTGTGTGTGTGTGTGTGTGTGTGTGTGTGTTTGTCTGTGTGTATCTGTCTGTCTTTTTTATGGCAGCCCAATTTGCCTACATTTTATGCAGCCCGATACATTATCAGAGGAATCCTTCCACTTTCTGCAGATAATTTCCAAAGAGCTCCTTAAATGTTAAAATGCAAGAAGATGTGTTCCAGACATAAAATATGTTGGCCAACCATCCAGCATTCTTTTCATAATGCTGCCAATTTAAATATTTTTCAGTTCTTTAGTTTAATCAGGTGGAAAATCATCTCAAGAAGGAGTTAATTTGCTTTTAACACCTTGTGGCTTCTGATTATTCCCAGCCTGGGTGGGCTGTGAGCCTAGGACCTCCAGAATATGCCAGCAGGCTCAGGACTTGCACTGGGCAAAAACCAAGCAGCTGAATTATCAGGAGGAATAGAAAAACCTGAAAACTTGATTCTGGACTGAGGATGTTTCCCAAAGAGGGCTCAACAAGGCAGAAGAAAGTACACTAGACATCTCTCACCTCACTCTGAATCACTCAACAGCTACCATTTGAGAGGCTCTGTATGACCTGTCCTCTACTGGATGAAATGGGAAATGCCGACATGCATAGCCAGCACCAGCTCCTGCGAATCAGTGATTGAACACGCACACACATAGGCTGAATCCAAATGTGGATGAAATCATAGCAAACAGTATAAGACATAAAGCCATAAATATACAATGGCTAGGTTATATGGTATAAACTGTAACTGCTATAAGCACTATAATTTAGGCAGAGGTCACATAGAATAGGGGTTAACAACATGAATATTGGAGTAATTTATTCATTGAAAAAATATTGGCCGGGTGTGATAGTTCACACTTGTAATCCCCGCACTTTGGAGGGCCGAGATGGGCAGATCCCTTGAGTACAGGAGTTTCAGAGCCACCTAGGTAACATAGGGAGACCCCATATCTACAAAAAAAAAAAAAAAAAAAATCAGCCAGGTATGGTGACACATCTGTAGTCCCAGCTACTCGGGAGGCTGAGGTGGGAGGACAACTTGAGCCCAGGAGGTTGAGGCTGCCGTGAGCTATGATGATGGCACTACTGCCATCCAGCCTGGGCGACAGAGTGAGACCTTGTCTCAAGTATATATATATATTTACATTAAGAGTGGCTCACACCTGTGATCCTAACACTTTTGGAGACCAAGGGAGGGAGTATTGCATGAGGCCAGGAGTTCAAGACCAGCCTAGGCAACATAGTGAGACCCCATCTCTACGAAAAAAAAAAAAAAAATTAAAAATCAGCCAGGTGTGGTGATGTGCAACTCCAGTCCTAGCCACTCAGGAGGCTGAGGCTGAGGTGGGAGGATTGCATGAGCCTAGGAGTTCAAGGCTACAGTGAGTTTATGATCATGCCACTGCACACCAGCCTAGGCAATAGAGCAAGAACCCATCTCTAAAAATAGAAAATAAAATATTTTTTGAATGCCCACTCAATGCCAGGTGTTGTTCTATATCACGAGGATTCAGCTAGGAGTAACACAGACAAGGCCCCTGCTTTTATGGAGCTCATATTGCAATGCTATAGTCTAGCATAACAAGTAAACAAACAGATAAATCAAAGGAATATCAGCAATTATAAGTGCATTGAAGAACATAAAAGGCCATGACCAAGAAAACTTGGGTTCAGTTTTAGACAGGGTGGGCTAGGACAGGATCTAGGAGGTGACATGTAATGAAAAGCAAGAGCCAGTTCTGCAAAAATTTGGGGAGACATTACAAACAAAAACCAGTGCAAAAGTCCTGAGGTGGGGCTAAGCATGACTTTTGTGATTTGTTTTTTGCGAGAAAAAAAACAAGGCCGGGCACAGTGGCTCACACCTCTAATCCCAGCACTTTGGGAGGCTGAGGCAGTCAGATCACTTGAGCCTAGGAATTCCAGACCAGCCTGGGCAACATGGTGAAACCCCATCTCTACTAAAAATGCAAAAACATTAAGGGGGCATGATGGTGCACACCTGTAGTCCCAGCTCCTCGGGAGGCTTAGGTGGGAGGATTGCATGAGCCCAGAAAGTGGAGGTTGCAGTGAGCCATGATCTCACCACTGCACTCCAGCCCAAGTGACAGAGTGAGATCCTGTCCCAAACAAAAAAAAAAAAAGCCAGTGTGATGAGAGTACAGAGATTAAGAGGGAAAGT
Organism: Homo sapiens; assembly: GCF_000001405.40. Classification (NCBI taxonomy): domain Eukaryota; kingdom Metazoa; phylum Chordata; class Mammalia; order Primates; family Hominidae; genus Homo; species Homo sapiens. The sequence goes on along the minus strand of NC_000003.12, from coordinate 69,308,400 downwards.
GGTACAGGAGGAGGGTTGAGAGGGAGGTAGGAGCAGGTATCAGAGAATCTTGATAGCTAGCTGTGTGACCTTAGAACAGTTACTTAACATCTCTGACACTCAAGTTTTCTCATCTGTACGCTGGACATAATAACAGTGCCTTATATAGTATGTACTACATAAGGCACCTGTAATAGGGTACTAGTATTCAATACTATTAAATCAGGTAAGGTAGGCAGAGCATATAGCACCGGCCCACAATAAAAGGGAGCTGTCATCCCAATGTACTGCAGTAAGGGAGTGTTAAGAAGGAAACTGAAGGAGGACTGGAGCAGGCGTCACACAGACGAGTAACTAAAATTGGATCTTGCAGGTAAGGTAGACTTTAAATAGATGGGAGGGGAGATGAGAGGTGACATCCTAGGCAAGAGTTATTTTGTGGGCAAATGCATGAACATGGCAACGAACAAGGTACATTTGCCCAAGGGTGAAGACGTTGGCCTGATCGTGGGGACAAGATCATAGGTGAGCCTTGTTAGTCACACAGATGGAGGAGGCACACCCAGTCCATGGAAGGATGTTATAGGGAGGAGGAATGCGGCTTTGACTTGCAGTGTCAGAGGTCCCTCAGACTGCAAGGTTTGTGGCAGACTGGAAAAGAGGGTCCTGGCCACATGGGAGGCTTCAGGAAAAGCTCCAAGCTCAGTTGAATATAAACCAGACAGTGCGTAAGTAAGGGGTTCAGACTGTAAGACCTTCTCTTCGGAAAGAAAAGAAATAGTAGGCCGGGTGTGGTGGCTCACGCCTGTAATCTCAACACTTTGGAGGCTGAGGAGGGTGGATCACCTGAGGTCAGGAGTTTGTGACCAGCCTGGGCAACACGGCAAAACCCCGTCTTACTAAAAATACAAAAATTAGCTGGGCGTGGTGGTGGGCGCCTGTAATCCCAGCTACTCAGGCACCTGAGGCATGAGGATCACTTAAACCCAGGAGGTGGAGGTTGCAGTGAACCGAGATTGTGCCACTCCAGCCTGGGTGACAAAGCGAGACACTGTCCAAAAAGGAAAAGAAAAGGAATAATGGGAATGACTTCCTTCAGTTATTTGGGCCACCCTTCTTGTTGTCTGCCCTGAGATTTCTTTCTCAAAACTACGCTGGGAGAAGAATGGTTCACACAGCCTTTTTCCCAGTTACCTCCTTTGGTTCAACCAAAGGAGGTAACTATAGTCATGGTCTTTCCAAGAACCCCGGCTCCACAATGTCCTCTGTGCACTCCCCGGCAAGTGACGGCAGAGTCTCTTTTTGAATTATGACCAGTTTGGGGAGGTGTCTCCTGGCTCTAGTCGTGTTTATTTTCAGAAGAAGTATGAGCGGGGCTGTTGAGGGGGTGGAAATTGGCCATTTCTACCTTTCTGGGGAGCGGGCCTGGAATATTGCTTATGTCTAAGGGTGTCTCCTTGGAATGTCTTGGTCACAAGCCTAGTTCTTTTTCTTTGGTAAATATTTTTGGAAAGTATTTTCTTTCAGCACTTTCCTCCTGCCTCCCTTCGCCCCCGTAAAACCACTGAGTGAGGGCCCTCCCAGGATGCCGTCTGAGTTTATTTTCCAGCCTAGATGCCACATGCGTCTTTTGTCTTTGGTAAAGCTGAAAGGAACATTTTGTCAATGAAAGTAGCTACTGTCTACAACTCATCCACAGGCCAAGAGGAGAAACGGAAAAATAGATGGCAATTACGCAATAAAAGCAGTGATGATGACCAACAACCACAGATTCAAGGTCACGTTACTGGGAGAGGGATAGCATTTCTGAGATTACGCTTGTTAGGGCCTTGCGCAGCTCTGTGTGCAAAGTTAGTCTTTCACCCCTAGAGGGCAGTCACGGCCCTCCTGAGGCACCAGTCCTTCAGGTCACCGTAGTGGTTCCATCTCTTCACCCATTTCACTTTTTGTTTTGCCTTCTCATGTTTTGAAAGGCTTTGCTAAATAAGCTTTGTTTACCAAGAAATAACAGATAGACTTTACAACACAACTGTGACTTTTGATCACTGTCCCTTCCAATGGGACTGTGACAATGGGCCTTCTGTTGATGCAATTCTAGCCAAAAATAAAACTTGCTTTGTGGTTGGTCTGCACTCCTGAGAGGGGTAGATATGATTGTCTTTTTAAGATATTGGTTAGATCTATTATATTTGCTGATGGGAAAATTTGACAAAAGCAAGTTATAAGCAATAAGTAACCTTTATATTTCAGTGGTAGAATTATGGGCATTTTTTAAAAAATTCTTCTAGACTTTTTCCTATTGATGAGATTGTGGGTGGATTTTTTAAAATCTAATTTGTAATTTATCCTTTTAAAAAACTATTTCTTATAATATATGCATGAATATCTTCTTTAATGTCATGGTTGAGTCCAGTCCCTTTTGATTACTTTCCCACTGCAACTGTAGTTTCTTCCACAGAGGTAACCAGTACTAGCAAGCTGCTGTGTGACTCTCCAGAAATATATCTAAAAATGTTCATCAATATTTAATAGTGTTTTGAATGTGCATCTGTGGTTAACATAATTGGTTTATGCTGTATATGCTATTGTACAACTTGCTTCATTCATTCATAGACACCATTCCATGCAAGTTCATACAAATATACATTATGCTTTCAATTTATTTTCAGAGACAGGGTCTCTCTCTGTTTCCCAGGCTGGAGTGCAGTGGCATGATCATAGCTCACTGTAGCCTTGAACTCCTGGGCTCCAGTGATCCTCCTGCCTCAACCTCCTGAAATGCTGAGATTACAGGTGTGAGCCACCATGTCTAGCCTATTTTGCTTTTAAAATGATGCATCTTTCCTAAGAAAACTTTTGAGATCTGATACTATCAAATATGTTATGTATTTTAAGACACACATTTAAACGTCTGTGAAATTGGGATGTGTCTTTATATCAGTGGCATCCTAAACTTGATGAAATAGAGTGTAAGACTCTCTTAACGTCAGTCTCCTATCTTATTTTGTTTTACACACAAAAGCAGTAGTTCTAAGGACCTTCCCTTGTGTTACTTAATCAGCTTATTTATCTTTATAATATTCTTGCAAGGAAAGCTGGAAACAGGTATCAGAAGCCTTGTCTTGTAACTATGGAAACAAAGACACACTCTTTCCGGCATTTAACCTGCTGAGTATCAGAGACTGAGTCAGAAGTCATTATAAAAGCTGATTCAACCCTCTAGTCTCATTTTCTCCAGTACTGAAAGTCCCGGGTACTTTTATATACAAGTCCACTGGGTAGGGTGGTGGGTGGAGGGAAGAAGAAAGGAAGCCCTGGATTCAAATCCCAGCTCTAGCACTTTCCTCACTGGCTTATTGTAAAATATAGCTTTAATGTATAAAGAGTTCCAGCTTGGTTGGCACAGAGTCATTACTCGATAGAGACTAGCTATTGTTATTATTACTACTACTCATATTATTATTTATGCTCATTTTTCCTGTCTACTTATAATGAATACAGCTTTGAATTTTCTGATTTTGTTTTTTAATTTTTTACTCAAGGACCAAAATAGGTTTGAAAATGTCTTCTGGCCCATTATATATTTTATTACATTTTGACACGCTATCCCACCACCATCAGCATGTTCTTAGATTGAATTTTATGTAAGCAAGTAAAAGAGGGTCTATGCCCTCTGGGAATTTACAGCCTAAAATGGATGGACTAGTTGGACAAGCTCGGAAAAGGCACGTAAACAGTTCTGAGCCCCAGTGTCATCAATCCTTTTGATCCCTCAGTGGTCAAAATCTAGAGAGAACTGTTTATGAACTTGGTGAGGCTCTTGAGTAAATAAAATAAACAAGTACGTGCTTAAATCTCAGTAAGCCCATAATATATATACAGAAGTGGCACTCAGAGAGTATTCAGCCCTGTACTGTTTTTTTTTTTTTTTTTTTTTTGAGATAGAATCTTGCTCTGTCGTGCAAGCTGGAGTGTAGTGGCATGACCTCGGCTCACTGCAACCTCCGCCTTCTGGCTTCAAGTGATTCTCCTGCCTCAGCCTCCCAAGTAGCTGGGATTAGAGGCACCCGCCACCATGCCCAGTGAATTTTTGTATGTTTAGTAGAGACAGGGTTTCACCATGTTGGCCAGGCTGATCTTAAACTCCTGACCTCAAGGGATCTGCCCACCTCGGCCTCCCAAAGTGCCAAAGTGCTGGGATTACAGGCATGAGCCACTGTGCCCGGCCTTTTTTTTTTTTTTTTTTGAGACAAGTTATCCCTCTGTTGTCCAGACTAGGGTGCAGTAGCACAATCATAGCTCACTGCAGCCTCAAACTCCTGGGCTCAAGCAATCCTCCCACTTTAGCCAATCCTCCCAACTCAGCCTCCTAAAGTGCTGGGATTAGAGGCATGAGCCACTGTGCCTAGCACCGACCCTGTACTTTTTTTAAAAGCTGTGGTATTGTTATGTGTCTGGTTTTTTGTTTTTGTTTTTGCTTTTGTTTTGAGACAGGGTCTCATTCTGTTGCCTAGGCTGGAATGCAGTGGCATGATCACGGCTCACTGCAGCCTTGACTTCCCTGGGCCCAAGTGATCCTCCCACTTCAGCCTCCATAGTAGCTGGGACAACAGGCATGCACCACCACACTAGGCTAATTTTTTTCTGTATTCTTTGTAGAAATCGGGTTTCACCATGTTGCCCAGGCTAGTCTCAAATTCCTGGGCTCAAGCAATCTGCCTGCCTTGGCCTCCCAAGTGCTAGGATTACAAGTGCTAGATGTGAGCCACCACACCCAGCCTGTGTGTTTTATTTCATTGAACCAGAAGTTTTCTCCTTCTTGATTATCTAAAATATTTCATATTTCATAAAAATTTAATATTAACATATGGCCTAGTTTTTTACCTCAAAAGTCAACTAGTGTTATCAGTTTTTTGTTTTTTCTCTCAGATATTTGTAATATATACATGCACATATGTATGTTTGTTCTTTGTTTAATTTTTAAAATCGCCATATACTTGCTGTTATGCATCTTGCTTTTTCATTTAATATCGTCTCTTGGAAATTGTTCAAAATAAGTTTATAAAGAGGCTCCCTGGCTTTTTTTTTTTTTTAAGATGGGGTCTGGTTATGTTGCCCAGGCTGGAGTACAGTGGCTGTTCACAGCCGTGATCATAGCACACTGCAGCCTCAAACACCTGGGCTCGAGCGATCATCCTGCGTCAGTTTCCCGAATAACTGGGACTACATGTGTCTGCCGCCACACCCGTGTTCTTCAGCCTATTTTATGGCTGCATTGTATTTCACTCTATAGTTTTTTTTGTTTGTTTGTTTTGGGGGGTTTTGTTTGTTTATTTTTTAGACAGAGTTTCACTCTAACAGGGGATGTTGCCCAGGCTGGAGTGCAATGGTGCAATCTCGGCTCACTGCAACCTCCGCCTCCCGGGTTCAAGCGATTCTCCTGCCTCAGCCTCCCAGGTAGCTGGGATTACAGGCACGTGCCACCATGCCTGGCTAATTTTTTTTTATTTTAGTAGAGACAGGGTTTTACCATGTTAGCCAGGCTGGTCTCAAACTCCTGACCTCAGGTGATCTGCCCGCCTCGGCCTCCCAAAGTGCTGGGATTACAGGCATGAGCCACTGTGCCTGCCCACTCTATAGTTTTAAATAATTTTTTTAAACAATATCCTCTTGGACATCGAAGTTATTTCCACCCCTTTTGCTATTTCAAATGTTGCTACAGTGAGTGATTTCATATACAAATTATTTCTCACATGTGCAAGTTTACCTTGATGTACTCCTGGAAATGGAAATGCTGGTTCAGAAGCAAGTGCTTTCATAGTTTTGAAAGAAATTGCTGAGTTGGTCTCATTACCAGTTGTAACAGGTTGTGCTCCTACCATCGGTGTATGAGAGCAACTATTTCGCCACAGCTTTGCCAACACTGTACGTTGTTGAACTTTTCTGACTTTCTGTTGAATCCTTTTTCTTTGCTTTGCTCTCACAGAGGTCAGCAGAACTGGCTGCAGTTAGATCACCGAGTTCTTGACCACGATTTGCCCAAGAAACCAGGCCCAACCATTTTGCACTTTGCTGTGAGGTATGTATCCACAGACCCAGTTAGCATCCCTCTTTTTTTGCTGTTATTTTTGGGTTTTTGTGTGTTTTCTTTGCTATTTTTTACATTTCTGGTGATTAGAGATAGCAAATAAAAAGAGAAGAGACCTATCAAAACATTATCATGTGAAGGAGATTCTCTACTGTCTTGGTCTGAGGACCAAGTTACCATAGATACCGTAGAGCTGTTTTCTTTGAAGATGAAGGATAGAGTTGCCTTCCTTTATTCCTCAAAGCCTCTTAGAAATCAATTTAAAGCTGAAAAACATGGGTAATATATTTTAATACATAAGACTGTTTCTCACTCATCAGATTCTTAAGATTCTCATTCTTTGAAATGTGACAAACATTTGCTATTACATTTTACGTGGCAATAATGTTTTCTACAGACTTAAAAATAATTGAATTCTGTACAATTTGATGCCTTAATTTGAATAGAGGATAAAATGCAAACAAATGCTCATGGAAAGAATTAACAGTACAGGGATCTGAGTTGCATTCACATGCAGACAGACTGCTGAAAATAATGCAGAGTCCTTGACTTGTTCTCTGAGGTTTGCTTGGGCAAGTCACTTAACTGTATCCTGAAATGGATGCATTCAGCTAAATCAGTAATTTCTCAAATCCATCTCATGATAGAACTATTTTTTTTAGTTCACATTCTAAGATAAATAAAATGTTATAAGATGTAATACCGGCCAGGCACAGTGGCTCATGACTGTAATTCCAGCACCTTGGGAGGCTGAGGCAGGTGGATCACTTGAGGTTAGGAGTTTGAGAACAGCCTGGCCAACATGGCAAAACCTCATCTCTACTAAAAATACACAAAAAAAATTAGCTGAACTTGGTGGTGTGTGCCTGTAATGCCAGCTACTCATGAGGCTGAGGCATAAGGATCGCTTGAACCCAGAGGCAGAGGTTGCAGTGAGCCAAGATCGTACCACTGCACTCCAGCCTGGACAATAGTGAGACTCCATCTCATAAACAAAACAAAACAAAAAAAACAAGAAGTAATACCTATATTTCTCTACCTAGCTTGAGGTGAAATCATTACTGATTGAGCTGAAAGCCCTCCTTATGTACTGACCCCCTCTCCCCACTTTCCTAAGTTTGATGAAAAATTTTATGATAAACTTTGCTCCCCTTCTTAGAAAAATAGGGTAAGTTGTTTGATGAATTAAATTTTTTTTCTTTGCAACCTGGGTGGAGATCTTTCCTTGGGTGTGTAAAAATCTATTTATTTAAGCATTTAGGCTATTTCTAGTTGTTATTAAAATTTGGGTTGCAGCTAGCCAGGCGCGGTGGCTCACGCCTGTAATCCCAGCACTTTGGGAGGCCGAGGTAGGCAGATCACTTGAGGTCAGGAGTATGAGACCAGCCTGGCCAACATGGGGAAACCCCATCTCTACTAAAAATACAAAAATTAGCCAGGCTTGGTGGTGGGCATCTGTAATCCCAGCTACTCCAGAGGCTGAGGCAGAATAGCTTGAACCCTGGAGGCGGAGGCTGCAGTGAGCCAAGATCACACTATTGCACTCCAGCATGGAGAACAGAGTGAGACTCCATCGCCAAAAAACAAAAACAAAAACAAAAAAAACCAATAGGTTGCACCTAACATCCTTGCACTTTCATCTTTTGTGCATGTGGTGTAGTGTTTATGTAGTGTTCCCTACTCAATGAAAGCGTTATGTCTTCAGAACATCTAACAAGTACCATCTAGGTAGTAACCAGATTTGTGCAGATTATTTGACAGCTAATATCTGGTCTGTTTTGGGTCACAGAATACCAAAGGAGTAAACCCTATCTCCCTTTCTGTACAGTCATTCATAAGGCACTCTATCTTCTCCAAGCAGGTTCCTGAAATTCCAGAGTGGCCTGCTGCTTGTTCATGAGTTTCAGCACTTACTTGGAGTGTTATCTCAAGAGTGTCCCCTAATCACTTCGCATTACTTTCCCCTAACTACTTGCATGTTTAAACCCTTATCAAGTTTTTAATTATTCACTTAGTTCTTCCTCCCAACAGTATAGTGAGAATCATAATAGTCTTTGTTATTATTCCAATTAAGTAGTTGTTTTTACTCCAATTTAATTAAGGAAATGATAAAGGAAAAGCACACGCCAAAGAATTTTGTGAACTGACCGAGGTCACTGTGGAATGTAGCTGGTTCTATGGAGGTCTTGCAAATGGGGTTGTCTTGTGCTCCAGTGAAGTGAGTTGCTCCTCAGAGGGTCTCTAGCCTCCTATTTGGAGAAAACAGAACTATTGGTAAGATTTCTATCCCAGTAGACACCATCAACAAATCTCCAGGTTGCCTGTTTGACTGAAGAATAGAGAGCCAAAGATAGCATTTGGTTCTGTCTTGATGTTCGCTCATTTTAGGAGCCTCTGGAAGTGCAGGGGACCTCTTTTGAGATTGGGTACCTCACCTCTTGTGTCAGCACAGTACTGCTGCATGCACTGGAACATGGAGCACAGAAGCCCCTCATTCATGGACACCGAGATGTGTAGTCACCAAATAGTTAATGCACAATGAAAAAGAATTCCCTTCAGTGATAGCACATTAAAGCATGTGTACCGCTGTTATTTTCGGTGCAAACAATTAGAAATATCCTAATGCCAACAATGAAGATAGGTTCAGTAGGTTATGGTGGCACTTTTATAGTAAACAATGAATCACTTTAACAAAAGAGATTAGATGAAAAAGTACATTGCAATTCAGAGCTTCTCCAGAAGGAGAGGCAGGGCATATCTGAATCATCTTGGGACATTTTTCAAACTACACAATTATTCCCCTCCAACTCCACGTTCCTGGCCCAGATTCTGATATAATGCCATGGAGGGAGGGGTGCATTGTTGAGCCCTCTCTCCACCCCTCCTCTCATAAATCATTACTTTAATAAGTCACTGTTACCAGGGATGTTGTCATGTATCTCATCGCTCATGCATCTTAGGAGATAAGATACATTATATCTGAAAAAGATAGGGAATGAGTGTCCTTCTGTAAAACAGAGATTACTGTTTATGCCATGGAAAGTTCAGGTGATCACATTGAGGTTTTTTGAAGTTGGTATGTTTTATAAACCTATATAGATCTGTAAATGCTGAGAAAATTCCTGGAAGGAGCTACACCAAGCTATGAAGAAACATTTCTTCCTTCCTTCATTCATTATGTATTGGAGTTTTGCTACGTTGTGTTCTGCCCCATTCTAGGTCTGAGGACCCGATAGTGAAGAAGGCAAAAATCTCTACCATCATAGTCAGCATACACATAAACAAATGCATTCATTATATAATAACAGTTTGTCCATTCATCTGATAAATAGTTGCTGATTTCCTGCTATGTGTCTGGCCCTATACTAGATGCTGGGAATATAGCAGTGGTAGAAGAAAATGACAAAATCCTGCAGCCATAAAGCACACAGCCTAATGGAAAGAGACTGACACTAAGTAAAGTAAACCTGCAAAGTATCTTATGTGAGGGGTTATGGAGAAAACTCCATTAGGGAGGAGGAAAAGGGAATATTAGCAAAGCCGGGGCTGCATTTCTAAAAACAGTGGTCAGGGAAGGCCTCTCAAAGAAGGTGGCATTGAGCAAAGGCATGCAGGAGATGAGACAAGGACCCAGGACCCAGGCCCATTTCTGAGGAAGTTTCTTCCAGGCCAGGGGAACAGCAGGTGCACAGAAAGGTTGGCAAGAGCATGCCTGGTGTGTACCAGCCCCTGGAAGGAAGTCATGTATCTGGAGAGAACCTATAAAAGGGAGGTGAGTAGGAGTTGGCATGGGGTTGGCCTGTAGAGCATTGGGGCCTGTGGGTTTTGAGCTTGAGAGCATAACCAATTTCCATTTTAAACAGACTCACTCTGGCTGCTGGGTTGAGGACAGATCGGAACAGGGCAGGAGGGCACAGCAAGACCAGTTAGTAAGCTGTTGCAATGGCCCAGGCCAGAGATGAGTGGGGTGAACCAGACTGAGTCTCACTCACTACACATTCACTGGAGATGGTGCAAGTTGGTTATGAGAATTGAGGAGAGAGCAGGGGATACAAAATGATTTTGCAAAACATTATGCAAATGTAAGAAAATATTTTATTTATTGTAGCATTTATGAAAAAGAAAAATTCCACGAGAACTTGCTCTCAAGAAGTTTTCTCTCTACTGAAATGTAGCATAAACTCTGCAGCAGGCCCTAGGCTATTTGAAAAGTATTGTCTCATTTACTCCTGAGCTAAACCCTGAGGTCCTACAGATTTGAAGGGTTAATAAATATCTGGTTTATATCCCCCAGGATAGAGGGAGCAGCTCAGAAACATATGCTGCTTCTGCACAGAGAAAAGAAAATATTTAAAGCAAAGGCATGTAGTGTTCCCTTTATGACTTCAAGATTAAACCTTTGTCTTCTTTTTTCCAGTTATAAAATCTCAAAGAGGTGTGCTAAATATGTGTGTGACCTCTGTGTGTATAGACGCACCATAATTTATTTAGGTACCATAATTTATTTAACCAGTTCTCTATTTCCATGGGAGTCCAAACTCCCCCAGGTTTCTGGGGGACTTCCCCAGGCTGGGGGTTGTTATCTGGCTGCCATAAATTATATTCCACAAACATATGAGCCTCTTGGTAATGCAGCCCAGATGTGAACATTTGAAAGGCTTGACAGTGAGGAGCAAGCAAGCATTTAAATAGGAGTGCAGGGCCTTGGCGTGACCTCACTGGAAATGCTCATATTCCCTCAGAGGAGGGCAACCTGAGGTGCCTCAGGCTGGTACCACCCTGTTCCAGTCAAAGCCAGAATCTTGGCATCTTTCATCCCCTTTATTATTTTTTGTTGTTGTTGTTTTTCATTTCATTTGGTCTTCCCTCTTCTCCCTTCTTTTCCTCCTCCTCTTTCCAAGTCACTTTTGCTGGGTCCTAGGACTGCATGTGTCCACTCAGTGGTACCCTAAAGCATTGTCTGCCACACTCAGGGCTGAGAAGAACTCACTTTCCTACTGTAGTAGGAAACCCGGAGGCAGACTGCTACCTCTGGGTGAAAATTGCTGCAAACATGGAGCCCTTGAAGTCAAGACTGCTGACTGCCTTCTCATCGCTCCTGGCCTGGTCTTTGGAACATTAGATCTTTAGAAAGAGCTTAACTCGAGGAAGCATCATGACTACAACCCGTGAGTCCTCGTCATTCCACCAGAATTTTTTTAAAGAGAGCCAAATACACGTGACACATAAAGACAGACTGTAGTAAAGGGTGAGACTTATTGATATAGAAAGATGCTCCCAATATATTCTAGGTGAAAGAAGTAGACCACAAAAAGTCCATGCAATATGATAACACTCTTTGTAAAATATTTTACAAAAACGTCTGTACAGATGGAAACTAAGTTTAAAATGTTAACAACAGTTAATCTCTAGGTAGAATGATTGTAGGGATGATTTTCATTTTCTTCTTTTTTGGTCATCTGTATTTTTTCTTACAATGAACATATTACTTGAGCAAATTTTTTTAATGCAGTTGTGAAAAGCGATAAGAGGAAGAAAGGATAAAATGTTTGTGACCAGATAACCATGCATTTGTTTAAAGCCATCAGATGGTAGGTGATTTACAATAATGAGAGGACTGGAAATTCATCTTTTCATGGAGGAATGTGATTTAAAGGCCCTGAGAAACAACTGATTCTCCTACTTAGGCTGAGCTGAGGTTACTTGAGGGAGGTGTGCAAGTTAGCCAGAGGTCTTTGCCCATCTGTCACACTCGCATCTGAATGCACAATACCCCAGACCATGGGTAATACAAAGGCCAGTTGCCTCAGTATCACCCATGACCCCTAACTGGCCCAGCCTATTCTGAACTTCCAGGCAGGCGTTTAATGGCCTTCCTCTTTGAGGATCCAACATCCTAATTCACACAAGAGCTCAAGAAAGACACGGAATCCTCAGAAGCACATGCTCGATCATGATATTAGTTTCTTACAGGATTCTATTTCTCGGTGTATTCCCTGGGCAAGTATCAGAAATTATTTTTAGAAATCTGCTCACTCCCCTTGCAAACCTTTCAGTCCTGTCTTTTGGTGGGTGTGCCTGTGTTTCCACAGTTTTAAAAAACAGATGGGCCATGAATGCTTAAAGGATGTGTGCGTTTGTCTGTCTGTGTGTGTGTGTCTCAGGACAATGAAGAGGCAACATCAAAAGTAAAGAAATCGTATTGTGGGGCTGGGTGCCACTCACGAGCAGTGACTCATGCTTGTAATCTCAGCACTTTGGGAGGCCAAGATGGGTGGATCACAAGGTCAGGAGTTCGAGAACAGCCTGGCCAACATGACAAAACCCCATCTCTACTAAAAGTACAAAAATTAGCCAGGTGTGGTGGTGCACACCTGTAGTCCCAGCTACGCGGGAGGCTGAGGCAGGAGAATCACTTGAATCTGGGAGGCAGAGGTTGTAGTGAGCCAAGATCACGCCATTGCACTGCAGCCTGGGCAACAGAGCAAGACCCTGTCTCCAAAAGAAAAAAAGAAAGAAAGAAACCATATTGTGAAGGGGGAAAGAAGCTAGAGAACACGGAAATTAGAAGCTCAGTTTTCAGTGCAAGGTTTCACTGCAGCAGCACTATTGACACTGAGGACCAGGCCATTCTTTGTAGTAGGGAGCTAAGCTGTGCTGTAGGATCTTTAGCAGCATCCCTGGTCTCCACTTACTGACGTCAATGATGCTCCCAGGCCAGCCACCGTGGCTCACACCTGTAATCCCAGCACTTGGGGAGGCCAAGGCAGGTGGAGCACTTGAGTCCAGTTCAAGTCCAGCCTGGGCATCATGGCGAAACTCTGTCTCTACAAAAAATACAATAATTAGCCTTGCATGGTAGTGCGTGCCTGCAGTCACAGCTACTCAGGAGGCTGAGGCAGGAGGATTGCTTCAGCCCAGGACATTGAGGCTGCAGTGAGCGGTGATCAGGCCACTGCACTCTAGCCCGGGCAGCAGAGCAAGACCCTGTCTCAAAATAAACAATAACACTCCCCAAGTGCTGACAGTCAAATAATGTCTTCAGCATTGGTAAACACCCCCACCCAAACATTGAGAACAGAGCTTTAGCATCATTCTTAGGTTCATATTCCAGCTCTTCCACTTACTCACTATGTAGCTTCTGGCACCCTCTTGGGCCTGTTTCATCACCTATGAAATGAAGCTGGTGGTAGCCCCCACCTACTTTGGGGGTTGTTGGAGGATTACAAGTGCTAACAGCTAATGTAGACCCTATATAAATGTTAACTATTTTGTATGTCCTAAATAACAGGCTGCCTCAACCACATGTTCAGTGGGCGAAACATTCTATCAAGTTTCTGTCACAGCCTTTGAATATGAAAGATTTGGGATTGTCTGGCTTGGGTCTGACCCATTCCCCTTTGCACTGGGTGAAAGATCTTATCATTTATCTTCATTATTCACCGTGCCCAGATGTTACTTCCCCACTTTTCTCCGCTGCCTCCCCTCCCCACTCCCTCTCAAAGCATCTGTCCCTGCTTTCCTGTGGAGGACTAGAGCAGGCTGTTTTAAAGCAGAGGAGAGGCAAGCACTTGGAATTCACATGCCCCTGACACTTCAGGTTGCCTAGGGGAGAAGACTCTCTCCCCTTCCTGGCAGGTCACAGCAAGGCCCTGACTCTTTTGGGCCTCCAGCTCTTCTAGATAACTCAGAAAGAGTCATGCTGTGGGAAAGGAGCAAGAGGGCAGGTTTCTACAGGCTTACCAGGAGGCCCTCTCTGGTTCTAGCCATGTCTGGAAATTCAGAAATGAGGAAGAGCATTCCTGGCAGAGAAGCACATTGTAGAAGCAAACAGTGCTTCCCCTGGGAATTCTCCAAGACTGTTCCCCTCCCACAGATGAAAGGGAACATATTGGACTCCCATAAGCACTGCATAATATCTTGCAGAAAGTGATGTGTTTGGAGAAAGTGAAATACACTTAAATTACACTTCAGCCTTCAGCATTATAAAGTGAGATATGACTACCTTGCAGGGTCATTACAAGCAATAAACAGAGATCTCCCCGCTCAGAATGTGGATGAGGATCTGATAGAAATCTACCTAGGCGTGTGGCTGCAGTTAAATGCCTAAAATTACTCATGGTGACTAAAAGAAACCCAGAATGAGGTGTTTTGATTTAGCCCTCACTGGACGCCAGTCACAAACTCAGCATTGTTCAGAATGCAAAATAATTGAGCAGTTCTTGCCCAATTCACCTTCTTTGAAGATACCACTGGGACCTCGCAAAGGCCCTGGGAAACAAAGAAACCATGCTCAGTTGAGGGAGAAAAGTTGAAACTGATTAGAAAAGCATTGGTTTCACACTATTTTCTCATTTTATGTTAAAACAGACATTTTTGTAGCATTTGTTTCTTTGAGAGAAAGAACTTAGGAAAGATACTTGGATTTTTTTTTTTTTTTTTTTTTTTTTTTTGAGGCAGAATCTAGCTCTGTCACCCAGGCTAGAGTGCAGTGGCAGGATCTCAACTCACTGCAACCTCCTCCTCCCAGGTTCAAGCGATTCTCCTGCCTCAGCCTCCTGAGTAGCTAGGACTAAAGGCATGTGCCACCAAACCCAGCTAATTTTTGTATTTTTAGTAGAAATGAGTTTTTACCATGATGGCCAGGCTGGTCTCGAACTCCTGGCCTCAAGTGATCTGCCTGCCTTGGCCTCCCAAAATGTTGGGATTACTGGCATGAGCCGCGCCTGGCCAGATACTTGGAATTTTTATTCTGGTTGTTACAGTTAAAGCTTTAAAGATGTTCCCAACTAAGTCAGTGCCTTTTATTACAGTCACATCGGTAGAGAGATAATAATATTCTAATAGTCACCGCCACTCATTGGCTGCTAAACTACATGCCACCTGCTATGTTAAGCACATTTCAAACCCTCTCATTTCTCCAGTGTGTGAGGCAAGAGAGGTAAGAGGCACTGAGAGCGGAGCAGCTACCCCAAGACCTCAAGACTGATCAGCACTGGAGCTAGGATTCAAACTAATGTCTCTCCCACTCCCTAGTGTTGACTTGTGACCACTAGAAATAAATACCACAAGACGAAAATATTGGCCACATAAATTTAAGCGACTCTTCAAAGGACAGCCACTTCCAAACAACTGGGTGTTGTGCTCTTTGACATCCATGTGTTGCCATCTGGCTGGCAGGGCTGTGTCCCTTCCAGCCGTCTTTGTCATGTCACAGTGGTGTAATGTTCTGTCATCACTAATGAGTGGTTAAGCCAACCAAGAAAGGAAAAAGAAATGCTAATGGGAGGAGCCCAAATAACAGTGACAAAACCTTCCTGAGCAAATTCTCTTCTCAAGAAATTACACTTGTGAAGCCGAGGTTTGTCTCCAAAATGTGTGCCTATTCAAAAAGCCTGGGTTCTTTCCGAAGCTGAAAAATTAACCATGGGCTTCAACTTAAGAAAACCTTAGTGAAATCGCTCACAGTAAGCATGCAAAAAGGAAACAGTATCCTTTTGCAAAAAAAAAAAAAAAAAGGCTGAAAAAAAGGTCTTTATGAATCTGGGATAGTCCATTTCATGTCATTAAGAAGCCCTAGATTTTGTTTTCAGTTCATGGTTTGTGTTGATAGGTGTGCCTGAAGAGCCATTTTCCCCAAAGCCCATATGTATTTTTCATACACTCCATAAATATGAAGCCATTACAATGGCCCCCTTGAGGGAGAGATGGAATTGTGGATTCAGAAAGCTGGTAATCTGATGCCTAGGCAGGAGGCACCAGGGCTGGTCGCCAGAAAGTAGTGGGAAATAAGATAGGGACCTGTTTACTGGGACTAGGATGTAGTCAGGGGCCTGGACTCCAAAAACAAGGTGAACCCAGTTTCTAATACAAAGGTATCTGTTCAAAGTTGGATGCGCTACAAATTGATTTGGTGCCAAGCTACCCAGCAACCTGTATGCGGTTTCTTCAGGGCTCAAAGACTAGCAGGAGGATTAGTTTGGCTAATATGCTATCCGCCTGAGTGCCCTTCCTACCTTTGTTACCTGGTGAACTCATGCATTCTTTAAGACTCAGCTCAACTGTCCCCTCTCCTGTGGTGCTTAGTTCTATGGATTTCAGTTTGGCAGCATTCTCCCCTTAATTCATAAGCTGAGTTAATTGCCTCAGGCTGGTGGGCCCCCACAGCATTCTGTACATGTTATATTTCATTTTGATTGTTATTGTAGGAAAGCATTATATCATATTGACTTGGAATATGAACTTAGAAGTCTAACAGACCTCAGTTTGAGTCATGGCTCCACTACTTGCTAGCTGTATGGCCTAAAGAAGAAGACTTGACATCTCTGTATCTAAGCTTTCTCATCTGTAAAATGGGCTCATAATTTGTTGCCTACTGCATCTGGTGGTACCAAAGATGGAAAAAAAAAAAAAAAAAAAAAAAGAGATTCCTGTAGAGCACTTTGTATTATCCCTAGCATGGAAGAAGCCCTCTATTAACTTGGGTTCTTTAGTTGCCAGCAACAGAACTACCTGTGGCTAACAAACAAAACGGAAGGAAAACTGAATTGACAAAGACTCAGAAAACACAGGGATGAGGGCTTCTGCAGGGATCTAGGGAGCAGAAACCAAGGGACAATTTCATCAGAGTGCTGTTAGCAGAATAAATAGGCTCCAACCATCTTTGATCTTTAGGTCATTCTAATCAAGTTTATTCTCCAGGGTGAGAAGCTGACTGGCCTAGCTTGGGTCACCTACCCACACCATGATGAAGGAGTTTTAGTAGAGCAGAAAAAATGTGTCCCAGTGTCCCCCAAGCAGGTCTCACCCATCTGGTCAGCATCACTCATTTATATCCAGCCAGTGATCCTTACGACTTTTGCATATGTGACTGTTGCCATAGGCCAGTGCAGCTTTACTTATTAAATGTCACAATCACAGAACTCTTTTTTTTATAAGTTTTGGAGGCAATGGGAAAATACAAGTGAAGACTAAATTTTAAATAATATTAAGAAATTCTTATGAGCTTTGTTGTGTGTGAAAATTCATTGACCCCGTGTTTTTAATACAGTCCCTGTTAGAGAAGTCTATTGAAGTAATTAAAAGTGAAGGAAAAAAATAATCTTAGAAATTTCAAGTAGAAGGCAGATGTTGAGTTCTACTAATCTGACCTAGGATTTTTTTAGGGCAGGGAGATCTCTTCCTCTGGAAAGGGCTTCCCCTTCTGAGACTACTCTAACTTTTAAAAAGGTGTTTCATAGGTTAATCAAAATCCTTCAACGTAAGTCTTTTGCCATGGTTTTGCTTATTGAAGCAATAGAGAACACACGTACTTCTATATATGTTAACATTTTGGTGAAAACGTCACACTTGTCTTATTTTTCTGCTATTTTTTACATGGTTGAGACGCCCACAATTACTAAGGGTTCAGCTTCCTGCTGAGTGCTAGTTGAGTGAACTGGGAGCGGCAGCCCAGGAGGAGATGTTGGTTAAGAGCACTGTCCACAGAGTCAAAGTCATTGTCCCAGACCAAGACCTAGCCCCACCAGGTAGGCAGATCTCTAAAACTCAGAGTCTGCGTCTGTGAAATCAGGGTCATCATAGGTCCCTCCCCAAGGCAGTTGTGATAATTAAATGAGAGAACAATCGGGAAGCACTTAGCACATTGCAGGCACCTCAGTAAGAGCTCAGGGAAATGTTAGCTGGGATCCTGCTGCCGCCCTTAATTAGGCTGCCCACTGGAAGCCTGCTCATATTATCTTCATTGATAGGGATACAAATGCATGGGAAAGCCAAGAAAGCAGGAAACAGCCACCACCAAGTAGCTGAACTGGAAGGTTCTTGGAAATGCACAGAAACTTGTATAACATGGGTCATCTCAGCCCTGTAGCAGCAGCCAACCTCTGGTCTGCCTCACTTTGGTGTCTGCCATCACAAGTGACTCGGCTACCCTGCTTCAGTCCATCAACTCCTGCTGTGGACTCTTGTCCCTCTCTACTTCATGGCTTCTGCTGCCTCGTAATTTCTGCTTAGTGCCTTTCTCTGCCTCCACTGAATCCCTCCTCACCCGCCCCTCAAGTCTCTAAGAGACCATGTGCAATTGGTTGACTCATTCATCATGCAGTATAAAAAGCATCTGTTGAGTGGCACTTGCTCCTTTCCAGGCCACCTCACCGCCTGACATCTTGGCTGCCTTTGAGTCAGGTGACTCGCCTAGTCCACGCAGCAGGGCTCAGGGTAGAAGACACTAGACTGATGGGAGAGGAGAATACTGTCTACCCAAAAGGAAAAGCTGAGACAAAATTAATATAAAAAGCTTATTTGGGACAAGGTTGAGGACTGCAGCCTAGGACACACTTCCAAGTTGCCTTAGGAAGTGCTCTGGAGAAGTAAGGAGAGGTCCAAGTGTTTAAAGAAAAAAAGGACAAATCAAGAAAGGGGACAGTTACAAAAGTTGTTCGTCAGGAATTAATTCTCCTTGGTTTACAGAAATAACATTGATCAGTGATTGGCTATACGTTGTTTTTTGGGTTTTTTTTGTTTTGTTTTATTTTTGAGACAGAGTCTCCCTCTGTTGCCCAGGCTGCAGTTGTAGTGGCATAATCTTGGCTCACTGCAGCCTCCACCTTCCAGGCTCAAGTGATTCTCCTCCCCCAGCCTCCGGAGTAGCTGAGATTACAGGTGCCCGCCCGCCACCACGCCCAGCTAATTTTTGTATTTTTAGTAAGAGACAGTTTCACCATGGTGGCCAGGATGGTCTGGAACTCCTGACTTCAAGTGATCTGCCCGCCTCGGCCTCCCAAAGTGCTGGGATTACAGGCGTGAGCCACTGCGTCTGGCCTGGCTATCCATTGTTGAGCTACAGGTTGTGGGTTACAGTGTCCGGGGCAGTGGACACTAATGTGCCCAGTGCAGCTAGTTTTGGCAGTAGCAAGCAGTTTCCGGAGAAAAATACATAGCTCAAGGAGGGAAGTAAGACTTGATTGTTGTCTATTTTAATGCCTCTCTAGACCTGATAAATTGAAAGAACTGGAATTCCTCAGATAAAAGTTCTGTTCTTTCCTCAGAGATAAGTACAGTCACGACATTCAATTTAAAAAAGACACAAAGAAACTAAATAATTTGCCCAAGGCCATACAGCGAATAAATGGTGGACATGAAACACTACATCTTGATCTTTTGGATTCCAAAACCTATTTTTCCCCCAACTCCTCATTTCCTTCACCACCTTTGTACTTAACTTTCTCTTCTCATAAATCTGACACTCCTCCATCTTCATTAACCTCACTTACAAGTGAGATAAAAGCTTGTAAGTAAAAATACAAAGGATTTGTTCTCTTTCTGGAACTTCCGTTGATGACTCAACATTAAAGGGTGGAATGTTTCGAATGATTTTACCATCTCAGTGATAAAATCTTTCACAGCCCTTTCAGCTGCATTTATTTATCAAAGGTATCATCACTGTGGAAAGGGAGAAAAAGAGAAGCAAAGGCTCAAGCACTCAGGATTCCGCAGAGCTAAGGATAGGTTCACCTGGCCACTTCCTAGCCCTGGTTTACCTTCACTCTCACTGATCTGAGAGTAAATTCCCTTTCGGACTCAAAGCAGTGAGCTGTCTTGGGGCTTGATGGCTCTTCATGATTATTAATCAAGCAATGCTCCAGAACTTGAGGAAAACTTCGGGGCCCCAGCTTGCCCACTCGCACACCACAGAGTGCCAGCCTTTGCAAGCCGGCCTCATCAGTACAGGATTATGAAAACAGAGTTGTTAAAGACTCAGCCTCCTCCCCACCCGGGAGCTGTCAGAGCGCTCCTGAGAGGGGCCTGCCTGCAACCTGTGGTTTCACAGATTGAACAAGCAAAATCCTAGAAAGGGAGTGGGGCAGTGAGGCCCAGAATACCCTGATTTGCATGAGAAAAGACCAAGATTGATGGCTGCTGAGAGCCTGGCTTTGAGCCAAAGGAAAACCCAGGGCCTGGAAGGATGGGAAGGAAGAAAGGAGTGATTGAAAAGTGTGATGGAAACTCACCCAGTGAATGGGGGTCAGGTAGGCATGGGGCCCTCAGGCCCCTCCGTCTAAAAACCCCCGAGCCTCAAGCAGGCTTTGGGGTTCGGTTAGGTAGTGCTTGCTCAGCCGACTTCAGCTTTCAACTCCTAGTTCATCTGCGCTTTGTTTTGAAGCTGTCTGAGGTATTATGAACTCCCAGAACATGTTTCAAAGAATAAGCAACACAGATAAACGTTTGTTTTTGTTTGTTTTTGGTTGAATACCATTTGGGGTTTCTCTTTAACTCACCTTCCAAGACACAAAAACATCCTGAAAGAGATTTTAGGTATACATACACATACATCCATCACATAAATACGTGCGGTGCATATTTCTTTTAAAACGGAAAAGAAAGCACAACCTTCCTCAGGTTTCTCAAAATTCTTGCCCTGCTTTTGGGGAACACTGAATGAGGAATGCTGAGAGGTGAAAATAAATCTGAAGGAACAAACTCCTCTGCTGTTTTTCAGGTTTTACATTGAGAGCATATCGTTTTTAAAGGATAAAACCACCGTGGAGCTGTTTTTCCTGAATGCAAAGGCCTGTGTGCACAAGGTAGGTGCCCCGTTTGTCATGTTCACTGGATGCCTCCAGAGCGACTGGGATGACAGGAAGAAATGGTTTTGCCTCTCTTCTTGCATTCAAACTAAGAAAAAAAAAAAGGCCACAATCTTTTCCATGAATATGTCCTACCCCCCAACTACACACATACACAAATGGTATCTTTTCTCAAATTCTGAGTGGGAAAGACAACCATCTGCACGGGAATCCTGCATATGCACAATCACTACTACTTTAAATCCAGCAAATAATCGACACAGAGTGACCCAGAAAGACAGAAAGATGGATCAATCAGATCATAATCAAAACGTCTAGGCCAGAAATCTTTTTAAATAAGGTATGCCCTACACTTACAGTAATTCAAAACCAGCCTTATTATTTCGGTTCAATTTCTGCCTTCTGATCCCTGCACACATGTGCCACCTTAAATCTAGGCAAGGAAAGCTGCTCACAGCCACATATTTTCAAGCAGTATCTCAGTTATCTGTGGTAAGGGACAGGGTTTTTCTTTTATTGTTTTTTATTTCTATCTAATGAATCAAGGACAGATCACTTTTATAAAATTCAATAAACATGCATTGCTAGAAAAATAATCCCATGCTGGGATGTTACAGCCATGTCAAATTGCTATAAACGTTTTTACGGCCGAGCATGGCAGCTCATGCTTGTAATCCCAGCACTTTTGGAGGCCAAGACAGGTGGATCACGAGGTCAGTAGTTCGAGACCAGCCTGGCCAACACAGTGAAACCCCATCTCTACTAAAAATACAAAAATTAGCTAGGCGTGGTGGTGTGCCCCTGTAATCCCAGCTACTCGGGAGGCTGAGGCAGGAGAATCACTTGGACCCTGGAGGCAGAGGTTGCAGTGAGCCTAGATTGTGCCACTGCACTCCAGCCTGGGCGACAGAGTTAGACTTTGTCTCAAAAACAAGAATAAAACAAAAAAAGTTTTTAAACACTCTCAGTTTTTTGTTTTTTCTCTTTGCAGACTAGCATAGCTTTAAAAGCCTTCACTGTGGTCTTCTCAAGCAACTTCCTGAGGAAGGGAAGGGAAGCCATGGGCCAAGAGATGCCCAGTGGAGCCTGGCTCCTCCCTTGTACGTTCTGATCTCAATGCCTGGGAATCTCAGAATTCCCTATCCAGACTGTATACCTGTTTCCAGGCCTTCTTTTAGGGTTATTGAGCATGTTATGTGTTCATTTTACCTCTTTTGTTGGATTATTAGCTATAACTCTTTGTTGTTTCCATGGTTACTTTAGGGTTTATAGTATACACATTTTTAACTTATCAAGTCTACCTTCAAGATGATATTATACCACTTCACATGTAGCATAAGAATCTTACAGTAGTATACTTCCATTTCTCTCCTCTCAGCCTTTATGCGATTGATGTCATACAATTTACTTTTAGATAAGTTACAGATGCACATGACATTATTATTTTTGTGTAAATATTCAATTAACTTTAAAGAGATTTAAACAGTACCAAAAGTCTTACATATTTACCCATGGAGTTAGCATTTCTGTTGCTCTTCATTCACTTGTGTAGGTTAATATTTCTGTCTGTTATGATTCTTTCTGCCTGGAGGACTTCCTTTAGCATTTCTTATAGTGTGGGCATACTAGTGGTGAATTCCTTCAGCTTGTACCTGAAGACATCTTTATTTGCCTTTGGTTTTAGAAGATAATTCACATGATATAGGATTCTTGTTGGCAGTTTTTCTCTCTCCGTACTTTAGAAATACTGATTCACTATCTTCTTGCTTGCATTGTTTCTGATGAGAAGTCTGCTGTCATCTTTATCTTTGTGTTTCTGTATGGAATATCTTTTTCTTTAGCTGCTTTTAAATTTTTCTCTTTTTTCTTTTTTCTGCTTTGAGCAATTATTTTTTTTTTCTTTTTGAGATGGAGTCTCGCTTTGTTGCCCAGGGTGAAGTGCAGTGGTGCCATCTCAGATCACCGCAACTTCTGCCTGCCAGGTTCAAGCAATTCGCCTGCCTCAGCCTCCCGAGTAGCTGGGACTATAGGTGTGCACCACCGCACCCGGCTAATTTTTGTATTTTTTGTAGCAATGGGGTTTCGCCATATTGGCCAGGCTGGTCTCAAACTCCTGACCTCAGGTGATCCACCTGCCTCGAGCCTCCCAAAGTGCTGGGATTATAGGCATGAGCCACTGTGCCTGGCCTGCTTTGAGGATTTTTATTATGAGGTGCCTTGGTATAGCTTTCTTCATGTGTTTGTGTATGTGTGTGTGTCATTGGCATTTATTGAGCATCTTGGCTTATAGTTGTCATCAAATTCGGAAACATTTTAGCCGTTATTTCTTCAGGTTTTTTTTTTTTTTTTTTGGCCTCATGTATGCCTCATTTGCAAAGCCCAATTACACATACGCTTGGCCACTTGAACTTGTCACATAGTAATGCTTTGCATTTGTGGGGATTTGGGGGAATATGATATCTTGTATAGTTTCTCTTGCTTTGTCTTCAGTTTCCCTCATCTGTTTTTTGCAATCTAATCTGCCATTAATCCCATTTTGTATATTAGAGTTTTTGTTTTTGTTTTTTTGTTTTGTTTTATTTTTTGAGACAGAGTCTCACTCTTGTTGCCCAGGCTGGAGTGCGGTGGCACAGTCTTGGCTCACCACAACCTCCACCTCCTGGATTGAAGTGATTCTCCTGCCTCAGCCTCCCGAGTAGCTGGGATTACAGGCATGTGCCAACACACCTGGCTAATTTTTTGTATTTTTAGTAGAGATGGTGTTTCACCATGTTGGCCAGACTGGTCTCAACCTCCTGACCTCAGGTGATCCTCCCACCTCAGCCTCCCAAAGTGCTGGGATTTACAGGCATGAGCCACCATGCTCGGCCTTAGAGTTTCTATCTTTAGAGGTTTGATTTGGATCCTTTTTACATCTTGCATGTGACTATTTAACTTTTTAAGCATATTAAATATAGTTATAATAATTGTTTTAATGCCTTTGTCTGTTTATCCTAATGTCTGTGTCAGTTCCGGGTATTTTTGATTGATTTTTGTCTTTGTTATGGGTCATGTTTCTCTGCCTATTTGCATGCCTGGCAATATTTGGTAGGATGGTAGGCATTATTAATTGTATCTTTTTGAATGCTATATATTTTTTGTGTTCCTATAAATATTCTTGATGTTTGGTTTTGGGATGCAGTTTAGTTGATTGAATATGGTTTGGTTTTTTTCAGGTCTTGCTTTTATGATTTGTTAGTCTAGCCCAGAGCAGTGCACATTCTATAGCTAATTGTTCTGCATACTGATCTTCCTGAGTACTCTATTCAATGCCCCATGAATTATGAGTTTTTTATTCTGGCTGGTGGGAATAGGCACCACCTCCAGCCCTGTAAGGATGAGGCACTCTTCCCTCTTATCCTTTCAGATGGTCTCCAACTTTGGGTAGTTTCTTTTCATGCATGGAATGATGAGTGCTCTACCGAATCCTCAGAGGAGACCCTCTATAGATTTTCAGGGGTTCTCTCTCTTCGCAGCTCTCTTTTCTCTGGCAGACTGTTCTGCAAATTCTATTCATTTTGATCTCCCAGACTAAGGAGTTGCTGCATCTCCTTAGCTCAGGGAGTTCACTGTGTTCTGCTGTGTTTCTCCCTCCACAGCCTGGAGCCCTCTCTTGACAGTACTGGGGGCAGTCATAGGGCTCGCCTTGTTCAAGGTTCACTATCTTCGTTGCTGGATATTCAGTGTTATGAAAACTGTTGTTTTATATATTTTGTCTGTTTTTTGTTTTTTTTGTTTTGTTTTGTTTTGTTTTTTCAGTTAAGAGGATAAATTCAGTCCCTGTTACTCCATCTTGGCTGGAAGTGTAAATATTCGAAGCAGAGTTTTTGGCTGAGTCTATCGGGAAAGTAAAATGTTCCCAGCATCAAAGGCTTTACTACAGCCCTCTTTTCTGAGATTCAGGTTTTCCTAAGAACTCTAAGGGTTGACTGATGAGTAGACACCTATATAACAAACACAGCTTTTCAAACACAGCATTTACTGAGTCAGGAACACGTTTCATAAACCACAGTTGGCTATCCTCTCCTATGTGGAGACATACAATCGCTCCTTGTAATATTTTTCACTGCCTAGTTGGCATTGATCAAGTGTTTTCTCTGTTGCTAATGCAAAGGTGGTTAGAATGAAGATTTTCAACTCATGACGTTTCTCTTGTACCTCTGCATGCTAAATTCTGTTTGTCTTGAGAAAGCAAGGAAAAGCAGAATTCCTTTAAATGCTACTGCATTTCATGAATGTCAGTTGCTAGGAGCACCTTTCTTTCTTTTTTTTTTTTTTTTGTTGTTGTTGCTTTTTTGTTTTTTGTTTGTTGTTGTTGTTGTTTTGAGATGGAGTTTCACTCTTGTTGCCCAGGCTGGAGTGCAATGGTGCAATCTCAGCTCACTGCAACCCCTGCCTCCTGGGCTCAAGCGATTCTCTGCCTCAGCTTCCCGAGTAGCTGAGATTACAGGCGCCTGACACCACGTCCAGCTAATGTTTTGTATTTTTAGTAGAGATGGGGTTTCACCATGTTGGCCAGACTGTTCTCAAACTCCTGACCTCAAGTGATTCACCCACCTCGGCCTCCCAAAGTGCTGGGATTACAGGTGTGAGCCACAGCGCCTGGCCTGGGAGCTCCTTTCTAAATGGGAGTGTTTCATGACTTGTCAAATAATTTAGAACTTTTACAGAACATAATATTGTAAGGCACTATGACTGTTATTGAGATAATTTTTTAAATTTTATTTGTAGGAATTTAGAGTGGGATATTTTCTATCTAATTATTATGCAGATGGCTGGGTGTGGTAGCTCACACCTGTAATCCCAACACTTTGGGAAGCCAAGGCGGGTGGATCACTTGAGGTCAGGAGTTCGTGACCAGCCTGGCCAACATGGTGAAACCCTGTTTCTACAAAAATACAACAATTAGCTGGGTGTGGTGGTGGGCGCCTGTAATTCCACCTACTCCGGAGGCTGAGGCAGGAGAATCGCTTGAACCTGGAAGGCAGAGGTTGCAGTGAGCCAAGATCACACTACTGCACTCCAACCTGGCAACAGAATGAGACTCCATCTCCAAATATACGTATATAAAATGTAGATGGCTGGTAACAAATTCTAAGAGATGTTCCAGGATCAGGTAGCTGTTTGGATAAAGCAGCTTTCAAGCAATTTCTTAAGATGTATGATTGTTTGAGAACATTCCACATAAGGAATATCAGCTGAACCATGGCCACAGAGACAAATAAGTTTTATGAGAACATAGTTTCAGCTGTAGAACACTCGTAGGTGGATTTATTGATTGGCAAAAGTGAGTCACTGATGGTTGGTAGCTGCTGTTAACTCAGGACTCACAGCTAGATCTGAAAGTGAACGGGCCCCCCCTCCACACTGCACAGAGGGCATTCTTCTCTCCAGTGAGATGTTTGACACCTCTGATCACACCCTACACACATTTCTTCTCTGCCAGACAGCTTTCGCCTACAGCTACTTCCTTCCTTCCACTGAGAACAGAAATACACAGGCAAGAAAAGAGAGCTCTTATTTGCAAATACTGATAAAACCACAATGTCTTCTTACATACTTGTTTAGTAAGAAATATGACTTATGATAAGATTTGATACAGTTGCTGAAGCTCTGCACAGCTACATAAATACGGATTTATAAAATTCAGCCTCATGAGTATGTCATTTGAAAAACTGGGTGGCTCTCAATGGGTTCTGTAAATATCATTGCCCATACGGCATAGAGAATAAGCCATTGGTGACACTTCAATGTGTTGAAAGAAACAATTGTGCCTCGTTTCTGAGTTTGGGTATCCAGCATGGTCTGAAAAAGGAATAAAGATTTTTCACTTTTGTGAAAAATACTGTAAGCAAAAATATATATATATATTTTTTTTTTTTTTTTGAGACGGAGTCTTACTCTGTCACCCAGGCTGGAGTGCAGTGGTGCGATCTCAGCTCACTACAACCTCCGCCTTCTGGGTTCAAGCGATTCTCCTGCTTTAGCCTCCTGAGTAGCTGGGATTACAGGCACGCATCACCACACCCAGTTAATTTTTGTATTTTTAGTAGAGACGGGATTTCACCATGTTGGTCAGGCTGGTCTCGAACTCCTGACCTGGTGATCCACCCGCCTCAGCCTCCCAAAGTGCTGGGATTACAGGCGTGAGCTGCCGCACCCAACAAGCAAAATTTTATGTATGAAATGTGGCACACATTGGGCATTCAGTAAATTGTGGTTGACTAACACAACAAATGAATGAGTATTGCTGATAACACTTGTTTCCCAAGAAGTCAAGCAAGAAGCAAAAATGTATAATTTGACTAGGGGGAAACACATGAAAACACCTACATTTACTAAGAAATTAAACATCTACAAAGTTAATTTCATTTTCCAGGTATTACTGAATAACACTTAACAATACTATAGTCAACACTAATTACAACCTTCATCAAAAAATGAGTGAGAATTATATGTTAAGAGGAAAATTTCAGGCCGGGCACAGTGGCTCACACCTGTAATCCCGGCACTTTTGGGAGGCTGAGGTGGGCGGGTCCCCTGAGGTCAGAAGTTCGAGACCAGCCTGACCAACATGGAGAAACCCCGTCTCTACTAAAAATACAAAAAACATTAGCCGGGCATAGTGGTGCATGGCTGTAATCCCAGCTACTTGGGAGGCTGAGGCAGGAGAATCGCTTGAACTCAGGAGGCAGAGGTTGTGGTGAGCTGAGATCGCACCATCGCACTCCAGCATGGGCAACAAGAGTGAAACTCTGTCTCACAAAAAAAAAGAAGAAGAAGAAAATTTCAGCCAGGTGTGATGTCTCATGCCTGTAATCCCAGCACTTCGGGAGGCCAGGGTGGGCAGATTGCTTGAACTCAGGAGTTCAAAACCAGTCTGGGCAACATAGTGAACTCCATCTCTACAAAAAATACAAAAATTAGCCAGGCTTGGTGACATGTACCTATGGTCCAGCTACTTGGGAGGCTGAGGTGGGAGGATCGCTTGAGCCCAGGAGGCAGAGGTTGCAGTGGTTAATGTCATGGACATGCTCAATGACAGGCAGCAAGTGTGGTGGTTAACGTCATGGACTCTGGCATCACGTGTCTATTCATGGGGGAGGCATATCCATGACATCCTGAGTTTAAACTCCCTCTTTCCTTTAATTCTGAACGTTGTTGTACATGGTGATGCTCTTAGCCCATGGTAGTTAATAAGGTGCTTCTGTACATTAGGGGCCAGATGACTTTTATGGGCTGGACTCGGGACAAAGCAACACTTCTAGAGGGATATTTCAGGAGTGCACTAGCACTCATGCTGGAAGAGAACCTGTAAGAAAACTAGGTAGGAACTGCCCCTAGGTAGGAACTGTGGGTCAAGCATTTCAGAGGAGAGTGCATGCTGCTGTCTGGATTGTTGTTCAAGCGAGGGCCCCTGAACCTGTTTGGCTTCCTCAGTGAGAATGCAGAGGGGCCCACCTTGCCTTCACAAAACAACCACCTGTGCCAGGTGTGGTGATGTGGAAATGCCGAAACTGATACTGGGGAACCCGGGAAGCATTCAACATGGCTGTGGTCTACCTTGGGCAACCTGCTCCTGCTAGAAAAAGCCTAAATGCATGAAGCAGGACTGTAGGCTTGCCCCAGGTTATTATTCTTGGAGGTGCCCTTGACCATATCTGTGATTTTAGTAATCAGCCAACATGGACCACCACACCCCCTTTTTTTTAAATCAGCAATCTGAAGACAGGCTTGGCAAATTAAAATAGTATTGGCCATCTTTTCTCTTTTGATGTGTATATAAATATGGTAATAATGAAAAGACAGAAAATGTGGAAAAGCAAGTAGGGCTTATGAGGTGCTCTGTGGTAGAGACCACAGACAGCCTCAGCTCCCTTTTCTGCAGAAGTGGGAAGGAAGAGGAGGAGGAGGAGGAGGAGGAGGAGAGGAGGAGGGGAGGAGGAGAAGGAGGAGGGGAGGAGGAGGGGAAGAGGAGAAGGAGGAGGGGAGGAGGAGGGGAAGAGGAGAAGGAGGAGGGGAGGAGGAGGAGGAGGAGGAGAAGGAGGAGGAGGATAGCAACTCAACTCTTAAGAGCTCACCCTTAGCTGGGCATGGTGGCATGTGCCTGTGGTTCTAGCTACTCAGGAGGCTGGGGCAAGAAGATCACTTGAGCACAGGAGTTTGAGGTTACAGTAAGCCATGATCATGTCACTGCACCCCAGCCTGGACAACAGAGCAAGACCCTGTCTCTAAAAGAAACAATAAAGAACTCAACACATAGAAAGCACTGATTTTTGTGTGTGTTATTAGCTCATTTAACACCCACAGCAACTTACACAGTTATTTATTACTACTTCAACAAATAAGGAACTGGCGGCATAAATAGGTTAAACAATTTGGCCAAGCTTGAATAGTTTATTAGTACTGGAGTGATCAGATCTATGTAGTCTGGCCCCAGAAACCGTATTTGTCTGTCTTCATTCATTCAATTAAAACATCATTGCATTCCTATTAAGGGTCAGGGTCTGTGATGAGTGCTGCATTATCGTAAAATACTTAGCAAATATACCTTCCTGTGGCCTAAAAGTCCTAAGTCTTAAGGATTTTTTCATTTGTATGTGTGTAGTATGTGTTGTGTTTATTTATTTGTTTATTTATTACCCTTATCCTTTATGTGATGGTATGTGTTGTGTTTAATTTAAAGGTAATGTGTCTGATGATACTTTGTAAGACATAATATTTCTAAAAGATGTCAGGGACCTTGGAGAGACTGAGCATGCCTTAAATCCCTTGATGTTACTTATTACTGTTTCCTAAAGTACTATAAAAAGCAATTTGGAGCAGGGCATGGTGGCTCATGCTTCTAATCCCAGCACTTTGGGAGGCTGAGATGCGCAGATCGCTTGATCCCAGGAGTTCCAGACCAGCCTGGACAACGTGGTGAAACCCCGTCTCTACAAAAAATAAAAAAAAATTAGCCAGGTGCAGTGGCGCATGCCTGTAGTCCCAGCTACTTCAGAGGCTGAGGTGGGAGGATCGCTTGAACCCAGGAGGTGGAGGTTGCAGTAAGCCGAGATTGCGCTGCTGCACTCCTGCCTGAGCGGCAGGGCAAAAAAAAAAAAAGCAATTTGGGGCCACTGGGGTGACTCACACCTGTAATCGCAACACTTTGGGAGGCCCAGTAAGAGGATCACTTGAGGGCAGGTGTTCAAGATCAGCATGGGCAACATAGCAAGACCCTGTGCCTACAGAAAATTTTTAAAATAGCCAATAAGTTAGTGTGTGCCTGTAGTCCTAGCTGCTCAGGAGGCAGAGGTGGGAGGATCACTTGAGCCCAGGAGTTTGAGGCTGCAGTGAGCAATCATCATGCCACCGCACTCCCACCTGGATGACAGAGCGAGACCTGCCTCTAAAAAGAAAAACAAATAATAAAGGCTTCAAGAAGTCCTGCAATAAATTAACTTATTTGATTTGGTTTAACCTAATACTTTCCAAACTTATCTGTATGTGAAATTCTTTTTTAAAGCAATACTTATTAATGGACTGCCTACCACACTTTTGAAAATGCTGTTCAGGCCAGGCACAGTGGCTCAAGCCTGTAATCCCAGCACTTTGGGAGGCCAAGGCAGGCGGATCACAAGGACAGGAGTTCGAGACCAGCCTG
This sequence comes from Homo sapiens, assembly GCF_000001405.40. Lineage (NCBI taxonomy): Eukaryota > Metazoa > Chordata > Mammalia > Primates > Hominidae > Homo > Homo sapiens. Next base: position 69,278,063 of record NC_000003.12, on the reverse strand, counting down.
GCCAATATGGTGAAACTCCATCTCTACTAAAAATACAAAAATTAGCCAGGCAAGGTGGCAGACACCTGTAGTCCCAGCTACTTGGGAGGCTGAGGCAGGAGAATCTCTTGAACCCGGGAGGCAGAGGTTGTAGTGAGCCGAGATCGGGCCACTGTACTCCAGCCTGGGAGACAGAGCGAGACTCTGTCTCAAGAAAAAAAAAAAGAAAGAAAGAAAAAGAAAATGCTGTTCAATGGACGGGCGCTGTGGCTCACGCCTGTAATCCCATCACTTTGGGAGGCCAAGGCAGGTGGATCACAAGGTTAGGAGATTGATACCATCCTGGCCAATATGGTGAAACCCGGTCTCTACTAAAAATACAAAAATTAGCTGGGCGTGGTGGTGCGTGCCTGTAGTCCCAGCTACTCGGGACGGGGAGGCTGAGGCAGGAGAATTGCCTTGGGAACTTGGGAGGCGGAGGTTGCAGTGAGCTGAGATTGCGCAACTGCACTCCAGCCTGGCGACAACAACACTCCATCTCAAAAAAAAAAAAAAAAAAAAAAAAAAAGCAGAAAGAAAGCAAGAAAATGCTGTTCAAGACATATACCATATCATTAAATAATAAAGCCAAAAAAGATGACCATAAGCCTCCTGGGTGTTGCTCTATATTAGATCTGGCCCCACGATAAAACCTAGGTTTATTTTGATTCTTTAAATAAAACATCTTTGGAATTAGTCAAGAGATACTGACCTGAGTACCAAATCAGTTAGGACCTCCCCTGCTCCAGCTTATCAGGAGTAGATAACATAACAAACATAACAAAATGGAGAAGAAAATGGCTCTGTAAGGCTTTAGTAGGCTTCATGGGGCTCCCTTTTCTGTTCTAGTAAGTACTCATGTCTTTGTACTTTAAATAAATGTGGAAAGACAAGTGAGCCAAACATTAGTAATCCTATTAAAAAATAGGGTTATTGCAAGACTATGCAATCATGTTTATTTTTATCTTCCCTCTTACCCCATTTCTTAACCAAGACCTTATTAGGTGTGCCCTTTCATTAGCCAACTTCGTGACAGTCTCAGCCTATCATCTGAAAACATGCTCTTAACGTATCAATACCCTTGGAATCTTTTTGTTCTGTCGCCCAGGCTGGAGTGCAGTGGCACAATCTCGGCTCACTGCAACCTCTGCCTCTCAGGTTCATGCGATTCTCCTGCCTCAGCCTCCCAGGTAGCTGGGACTACAGGCACGTGCCGCCATGCCCGGCTAATTTTTGTATTTTTAGTAGAGATGGGGTTTCACCATATTGGCCAGGCTGGTCTAGAACTCCTGACCTCAGGTGATCTGCCCACCTCAGCCCCCCAAATTGTTGGAATTACAGGCATGAGCCACTGTGTCCAGCCCGATCCCTGGAATCTTAATGCCATTTACATTTCTGAGCGTGAACCTGGAGGTATCAAAGTTCTCTTGAAAGCCAATGCAGTTTAGGAAGGCAATTTGGCCATTTCCATTAAAATGAAGGGTACACCTAAAGGTCGGGCATGGTACTTTGGGAGGCTGAGGACAGGTGGATTGCTTGAGCCCAGGAGATTGAGACCAGCCTGGGCAACATGGTGAAACCCTGTTCCTACAAACCATAAAAAAAATTAGCCAGGCATGATGGTGCACGCCTGTAGTCCCAGCTACTCAGGAGGCTGAGGTGGGCGGATCACTTGAGCCCAGGAATTTCAGGCTGCAGCGAACCATGACTGTGCCACTGCACTCCAGCCTGGGCGACAGAGTAAGACCCTGTCTGTCTCAAAAAAAGAGAGTACATCTTGTCATCCAGGACTCTACCAACTGTAGGGATCTATTCTTTGGAAGATTTTATTGAAATAGGAAAAGATATCTATAAAAACATATTTTACATCATTATTTCCAATAGTAGGAAACTGGAAACTGCCCAAATATACTTGAATAGGAATTCATTATATAAATTACAAATCATTCATATGATAGGATATTGTACAGCCATTGACAAGAATAGGCTAGCCTTCCTTAGCTAACATGAAAACAGTCTAATGTTGTTAAATGTTAAAAGAAGGCACAGAACAGTCAATATAGTATTATTGTTTCTAACTTTATTATGTGCTTATGTATATGAAATGTACTCATAGGAAGAAATATAAAAATATAGCATAGTATAAATATTTATTATTTCTGAGAGTGAGATTGGAAAAGCTTTTGCTTTCTAAGTTATACTTTTCCAATTTTTTAACAGGAAGCTTGAATTAGTTTTAAATCAGAAAAATAAAGAAAAAATCAGTATATTCATTAAAATTTACCTCTTCAAAACTGCATCAAGATAATAAAAATGGCTGGGCATGGTAGATGACACCTGTAATCCTGGCATTTGGGGAGGCTGAGACAGGTGGATCACTTGAGCCTAGGAGTTCGAGACCACCCCGGGCAATGTAGAGACCCTATCTCTACAAAAAATTAAAAAAACTAGCTGGGTACATGCCTGTGGTCCTAGCTACTTGGAATGGCAAGGCAGGAGGATCACTGGAACCCATGAGGTCAAGGCTGCAGTGAGCCATGATTGTGCCACTGTATTCCAGCCTGGATAACAGAGTGAGAACTTGTCTCAAAAAAAAAAAAAAAGAGAGAGAGAGAGAGAATAAAAACATTTTGCTGATCACTTTTCATCCATTACAAAAACACTTGGGCATTTTTCCCACTGGATAAAGCTCAGTGAATGTTGAAAATTTCTAATTGCCTTATCTAGAACAGCAAAGGCTTGCTACTAAAGACAACGACGTTTTTTTTCCTGTTGTTAAAGGTAATGCTTATTAATTGTAGAAAATTTAGAAAATGCATACAAGTACAACAAATCAAAAAGATCCATAATCTCAATATTAGAGCATAAATTGTATTATTTTGACATATTTCTTTTGTGCATACATTTTTGTTTGGTTGAGATCAAGTGCTTGGTTGAAATCAGTTTTGTTACACTTTTAGCATTTTATATATTTCAGCTACTTTGACCTCTTGTCCACTCTTCATCCTCATGCCATATGTTCTTCTGTTTTAAGAATCAGTATGCAGCCTGGGGAAAGAGCATAGGAAGGCCTTGAAAATTCACATTTTAATTTCATTAAATATAAACTAGCACAGTGAGGCTAGGACCAGGTTTCCTTTATGTGGGAATCCCTAGGACCTAGATGTTAGATAAAACGTTATTGAATGGGTAAATGAAGGAGTGAATGATTAAAGAATCAACAAATAGGCTGGGTGCAGTGGCTCATGCCTGTAATCCAAGAACTTTGGAAGGCTAAAGCAAGTGGATCACTTGAGGCCAGGAGTACGAGACCAGCCTGGCCAACATGGTAAAACCCCGTCTCTACTAAAAATACAAAAATTAGCCAGGCCTGGTGGCATGCACCTGTAGTCCCAGCTACTTGGGAGATTGAGGCACGAGAATTGCTTGAACTGGGGAAGCAGAGGTTGCAGTGAGCTGAGATGGTGCCACTGCACTCCAGCCTGGGTGACAGAGTGAGACTCCATCTCAAAAAAATAAAAATAAAAATAAAAAAATAAAGAATCAACAAATAGATGGCAAAATGGAAACATTTTAGAATGTGAAATCAACAAGACTTAGCCATCTCCCCTGCTTAACATCTTAGCCAGCCCCCTGCCAGCTACGGAGGAGGTGCATAATGGGGTGGTGGGGAGTCTGGCCTTAGCTCTATACTGGGCATCGTACTTACATTTTTAAGCCTTTGTTTCATCAACTTTAAAGTGGAAATAAGAAGTTTCTACCTCAATGGATGAGTTAATATATATGCAAACTATATAAAAGAGTGTCTGACAGACTCCATTTTGCTATTTATATTTTTGCTATTGTTACCACTGCTATTGTATAGTAAGCCCCTTGACAGGACATGCAAGCCCTGGCTTATCACTCTAGGCTCTTTGCACACTCACCCTGCGGTCATACTGAAATAACTCCTCCTTCCCTGATGATGCATCCTAGTCTTTCTCAAGCCTCCATGCCTTTTTGATATACTTGTCTTTCTGCTGAATGCCTTCCTATCTCCCTTTACTTTCCTTTGGCAAATTTCCACTCATCCTTTTGAATTCAGCTCTAGTCTCTGCCCCTTAAGAAATTCTTTTTTTTTTTTTTCCTTGTCTACCACCACCATTTCCTACAGGGAGTTAAATTCTTTCAACCTCCAAAACACCCTTTAAATACTTCTTCTAATTCTTCCTATTATGTTGAATTCTTCCTTTATGCATCAGTCACTCCTCGCAACTGCACTACCTCTTAAGACCCAGGTTCATCTTTATCTCCCCAAACACTGGCACAGAACCTGGCATGCACTATAGGCCCTTAGTAAATACTTGTCAAGTGAGCAAAATAAATGTAGTTTACACTGGTAACTAAATTGATCAAATTTTGCAAAATAGACTTGTGAAAAGATCAAGCCAAATTAAAAATCAATTCTGAGTAACAATCATAAAATTAGACATTTTCAGCTTTCAGTCTTACTCTGTTTTCTCTCCCTAAGGTGGAGCTACTGTTTCTAAATTCAATTTTCCAGAGTTGATACTTTACTTATAACCTTGAAATTTAATATGCTTAACCTATCAGAATACAATTTCAGCATTGCATGATCAGATTTTAAAGCACAGGAGTCTCAGCATATCTGTTATAACCTCTGCTGCCATCCTTGCTCTAAGTGTCTTTTGGAGACATAGGAGAATCACTGTAAAGTCAGCTGCAATGATAGGTTGACATACTTCTCTGCTCTTAGATTCAAACACTTTTTCTTAGAGCTCCAAAGAAATAAGTCATCAAATTTTGATTGCCTCCAGGAGAGAGGGACACTGAGCATATACTACATTGAGGGAATTCAGTTAATCCTGAAACCTCATTCTAGCCAAGTCTGCCAGTATAGGCTCCCATCCCAACCATTCAACCAAAGTGCCCTGAATGTAATTGACTTTCCTTCTTTCTTTTTCCTAGAGCTAAAATTACCATGTAGGCAGCACCAAAGAAAGAATGGAAGAAAAATTGGAAAAATGAATCCCCAAAAGTCAATAATGAGCTTCTGAATAATCAAAATGTGACTGTTTCTGAGAAGGGTTCTCCTAAAACTTAGAAAGATATTTTCATACTTTTGTAGAGTTCTAGCTGCCTGTTTATGGCAAAGAGACTTTTTTAAAGTACACATTCATGGAAAGACCCATTACTATCCATATTTATAATGCCTTGAGATAAGAGGATTAGTCTCAGTGCAATTTAACTGAACAGAACATGAAGCATATCTTTCTGTAACTGGTCCATTACTGTTAGCATCACATTTATGGTTCTTGTCCTGGAATTATTCCATGTAGTTCAGCAACCAACAATTTTAGTCGTACCAAGAACTAAAATACATTCAGAATATCTGCTAACCTGGCTGAGTTTTAGCATTTGGGATTTCAGAGTGTTTGCATATGTGAATGTGTGTGTGTGTGTACACACATACGAGTGTATGTGTTTTAATCCTCAACTCATTTCAAGATTTAGAAATAATTTAAAGGATTAGTAACAGAAATCGAATGTTGTAAGCTGTAAATTCTGTATTAAGACTTGTGAATGGGCTGGGCGCAGTGGCTTATGCCTGTAATCCCAGCACTTTGGGAGGCCGAGGCAGGCGGATCACCTGAGGCCAGGAGTTCAAGACCAGCCTGGCCAACATGCTAAAACCTAGAAATACAAAATTTAACCATCTCTACTAAAAACAATAAATTAACTGAGCATGGTGGTGCACACCTGTAGTTCCAATACTCAGGAGGCTGAGAGACAGGAGAATCACTTGAACCCAGGTGGTAGAGGTTGCAGTTAGCCAAGATCATACCACTGCACTCCAGCCTGGGCAACAGAGCGAAATTCTGTCTCAAAATAAATAAATAAATAAAAGACTTGTGAATGTACCTTCTTGTGATAACTAATCATCAGAAGACTGATATTGATCAAGTAGTCACTAAACTAAACATCAGAGCTGGTTTGAAGACTAGCCAGTCCACAAAGAAGAAGAAATCATTACTATATTTTATTTATTTTATTTTATTTTTTATTTTTTTGAGACAGAGTCTCACTCTGTCACCCAGGCTGGAGTGCAGTGGCACAATCTCGGCTCACTGCAACCTCCGCCTCCCAGATTCAAGCAATTCTCCTGCCTCAGCCTCCCGAGCAGCTGGGATTATAGGCGTCCGCCACCATGCCCAGCTAATTTTTTTGTACTTTTGGTAGAGATGGGGTTTCACCATGTTGGCCAGGCTAGTGTTGAACTCCTGACCTCTGGTGATCCACCTGCCTTGGCCTCTCAAAGTGCTGGGATTACAGGCATGAGCCACTGTGCCTGGCCTATTATTATATTTTAAAGGACTATTGAAAGTTTTATAATGAATATTTCACCTATCTCTATTTCACTGGTTTTCCACATGTTTTTCTGACATTCAAATTATGTTTGTCTTTAATATGAGCATTAAGATATATACTGCCTTGTGCATTTGTGAAAATCAAAGTTTTCCTAATAATAGCTCGTTATACCTGTCATCTTTAACCCCATGTCCTCAGGACCTTTTCATCGTGCTGTGATCTTTGGCTGTCACCTCCCTAAGAGGGTAAAGGAGAAGATCATTGTTCCTCCTTTTCATAGATAAAAAACTGAGGCCCAAAGATGTACAAGGACATAGTCATAAAGCAGAGGACAAGGAAAATGCCCTCCAGTTGGCACTAGCCAGGGTAAATTTACAAAGGCTGAATTATTTGTTCACTGGTATATCGCCAGCCCAAGTAGACACTCAAATATTTGTGGAATACGTCAAGACAAGCTACTAAAAATCCAGTTGGAAGACTTGTATTTCATAATGGTGTGATTTAATATGAATTATCCTAAAACATTTAAGCCTACTACTGATATTTTTGGTACACCATGGTCTCAGAAATGGGCTACAAGAATTGCATTACAGCTAAATTGTGACTCAAAAAAAGTCATATAAAAATACTACGATAAATGCTTGAAAGGAAAGTGGAGGAGGCAGATGGTCCATTCAGCTGAAAATACAACATTTTATAAACTAGGAATTTGAGCACCAGTGAATGAAAATGTTTCATAATATATATTTTTCAGTTTTTTAAAATAAATCAAATTTATTTGTATGTTTCCTGCTTTTGAAAATGCTTGGTTGGGGCTGGGCACGGTGGCTCACACCTGTAATCCCAGCACTTTGAGAGGCCGAGGCGGGCGGATCACGAGGTCAAGAGATCGAGACCATCCTGGCCAACATGGTGAAAGCCTGTCTCTACTAAAAATACAAAAATTAGCCGGGCATGATGGCGGGCGCCTGTAGTCCCAGCTACTCGGGAGGCTGAGGCAGGAGAATCACCTGAACCTGGGAGATGGAGGTTGCAGTGAGCCGAGATTCTGCCACTGCACTATAGCCTGGAGAGAGAGCGAGACTCCGTCTCAAAAAAAAAAAAAAAGAAAAAAAGAAAAAAAGAAAATGCTTGGTTGATCTCCTTAAAGACACAAATCTTGTATTTCAAAAGAAATATGGCAAAGAAACTTACAAAACCAAACTTATCCATACCAACTATTTCTGTCCATCTTTCTACCTATTTACCTGTACATCTGTCATCTATCTGTCATCTATTTTTCTCACACACAGTAGAAGCAGATGTCATTTTCCTTCCTGCAGTGCTTCACATGCCTAAGAGCCCTAAGGAGGAGGTTTGAAGGGCTATCTTTATATTTTTCAGAAAGAAGAAATTGAATGAATAGAAGACTTCCATTTCATGATTAAGTCAGCCTAAGATGAATGCTATTTTGGGGAACCTTTGCAAGGTCAATTTGTTGAGAAATAGACTGAGAGAGCTGGGTTTGGTGACATGCACCTGTAGTCCTGGCTACGCCGTAGGCCAAGGCAGGAGGATTGCTTGAGCCTGCAGGTTGAGGCTGCAGTGAGCTATGATCATGCCACTGCACTCCAGCCTGGGTGACAGAGCAAGAACCCGTCTCTAAAAAAAAAAGAAAGAAAGAAGAGAAAAAGAAATAGATAAAGATATCCATTTCAGGGAAACTTGTTAAATGAGCCACAAATGGTTACAACTTTAAATTTATAAAGAAGACATGAGGCCGGGCACAGTGGTTCACGCCTGTAATCCCAGCACTTTGGGAGGCTGAGGCGGGCAGATCGCTTTAGGTCAGGAGTTCAAGACCAGGCTGGCCAACATGGCGAAACCCTGTCTCTACTAAAAATACAAAAATTAGCCAGGTGTGATGGTGCATGCCTGTAGTCCCAGCTACTTGGGAGGCTGAGGCACGAGAATCGCTTGAGCCGAGATCGTGCCACTGCACTCCAGCCTAAGCGACAGAGCAAGACCCTGTCTCAAAACAAACAAACAAAAAAGAATACAGTTTACTCTTGGTTGAAGTGAAGTCAGTAATTCAGGGGTGTTGGACACCAGCCAAGATTGTTTATACACCCCTTGGAGAGACCGTCCATAGTTTGGCTTGATGCATGACATGGGGGAAGCGGGTATCAGAGGTAGGGGATTCCTAACTGTCCAGCTTTAAATCTCAGCTCCATCACCTACAGGCTGGGTGGCTTTAAGCAACAGCCTATTCTATCTTCCTAAGCTTCAGTCTCCCCACCTATGAAGGGGGAGGGTGATAACATTACCTCCTCACAGGACCCATGGATTAATATATATCCAAAGCTCTTGGAACAGATAATAAGCACTTAATAAATGTTTCTTGTTTTTGTAGTTATTGATGATATTATTCCAAAATTCCCAGGAGGACGGTTATAAAATGTTCTCATCTGCCAGGCACAGTGGCTAACGCCTGTAATCCCAACACTCTGAGAGGCCGAGGCAGGTGGGTCACCTGAGGTTAGGAGTTCAAGACCAGCCTGACCAACATGGAGAAAGCTCATCTCTACTAAAAATACAAAAATTAGCCGGGTGTGGTGGTGCATGTCTGTAATCCCAGCTACTCGTGAGGCTAAGGCAGGAGAATTGCTTGAACCTGGGAGGCAGAGATTGCAGTGAGCCAAGATCGCCCCATTGCACTCCATCCTGGGCAACAAGAGCGAAATTTCATCTCAAAAAAAAAAAAAAAAATTCTCATCTATAAGAAGTACTTGATCATATATAACCACAATTATACAAGAAGAATGTTGGTGAAAATATTTTAAACATGGTATTCCCTATAGCAAAAATAGTAATAAATGAGCAGTTCAATTAGATGGAAGATGTTATCCTGAAAATGAAAGTATCTCTGCATATTTATTCATGCAAAACAGCCAGATAGGATACCTACTTTACCAGGGCTTCTTTAGTCAAAGGCTTACTTTTAACATCATGACTGTAATTTTCTTCCTCCTGATTCATCCTTTCTTCCTCTAAAATCCTTGATTATCTTTTAAGCACCTTGCATTTTTTCTTTTTTCTAAATAGAGAAAAAATAGTTTTGCATCAGAACGCCCTGCTGCTACTAATTCAAATTGTCATTGTACATTGGTGCCAGGGTGCGTTTAAGCAATTAGAATGCTGTAATTAAAATCTGTTGTGTATGTAATCTTATAATGTGGAAGGGTAAGTACAGAAGTTGAGAGCTTGGTTCTAAGTGTTTGTTTAATACTGGTTATTCATCTGTTCTCCAATTGTCTCCCTGTATATGTATCAGATGTGGGTGCCCTGGAACCTCCATGCCTATTGGCAGAGCCTGACCTATTTAGGCTGCCTGCCTGTCTTGCATCGCCTAACAATTTAGCCATAGATCGCCACACCTCTCATTTCCAGGGCAGTCTCATAAACACTCACTCCCTTACTTTGAAAATATGTTGGCACAAAAGTTTATAAGGAGGATTCAGATATTGGCAGAATGGTGGAGCCAGTCTCTGATATTTGACCTTGTGACAGCCTCATTCTTCCTGGGCTTAGAGGGAATGAAGTAGAGACTCAAGACTTCAGAATAGGAGAGAAGTAAAAATAAGAATTGGGAGGAAAGTTCATAGTCCTGATGATATGTTTTGCAGCATCTTCTGGTAGAACATTGTCATCAAAAGGTTTAGTTTTTTAAAAGGTATAGATTAATTCACTTAAAAATATGTATTAGGCCAGGCACAGTGGCCCACACCTGTAATCCCAGCACTTTGGGAGGCCAAGGCAGGAGGATCACTTGAGGCCACGAGTGTGAGACCAGCCTGGCCAACATGATGAAATCTCATCTCTACTAAAAGTACAAAAATTAGCCAGGCATGGTGGTGCATGCCTGTAATTCAAGCTACCTGGGAGGCTAAGGCACAAGAATCACTTGAACCCGGGAGGCAGAGATAGACTGGGGGGACAGACAGACACTCTCTCTCTCTCTCTCTCTCTCTCTCTCTCTCTCTCTCTCTCTCTCTCTCTCTATATATATATATATATATATATATATATATATATATATATACACACACACACACACACATATATATATATGTACTAAATATTTTCTATGTGCTAGGCCTATATAGGTGCTGGGTGTGCAGTAGTGAGTTAAAGATATCTCTGCCCATGTGGAGGTTACAGTTTTATGAAATTAATAACCATAGTTCACAAATTGTGTTTAATATACAGTCTTTATTCAAATTGCTCTGATAGCTAATGTTGTTTCTAGTCTTTCCCACCCTTTTCTGGTCCTAGAGCCAATTCAGGGTCACACATTGCATTTAGTGGGTATAACTCTAAAGTCTCCTTTATAATCAAGAGCAGGCCAGTCTTCCTTTGGCTTGTATTACACTGGTATTTCTGAAGAGTATAGGGCAGCTGCCTTAGAAGATCTCTCAATTTGTGAAATATGGATTTCTCTAACTCACTGGTTCCAAACACATGTCATGTTGGACATGAATCAGAAACATCTGGGAACATGGTGAAAACACAGAAACCTACACCCTGTCCTATCTCTTTCTATCCTATTAATACTTTGATGAGCCTGGGGCTCTGTATTCTTTATTAGTTCTCCAGGTATCTGCAATACACCAAAGTTTTAGAATCACTAGTCTAATAATTTTCTCATGGCACGAACACTCTATAGATGATGAAATGGCCTCAGTTGCATCTCACAAGGAGGTATGCAATGTTAGTCTGTCTTGTTTGAGTTGAGGTGGTATCTGCCAGATTATTCTGAAGTCACCTTTTCCTTTGTAATTAAGTTTTCTGGAATTGACACTTTGAGGCTACTTGACTATCCTGTTTCTTAACAGTCTTTGACCCAATGATCTTGGCCTCCAGTGGTGATCTTACCTAAGTCAGTTAGTACTATGGTCATTGCAAAATCTAAGTTTCTAATTGAATCACCTTCAACATTTCTTAGTTAGCATTCATACGTAAAGAATAATTTTTCCTTCTTCTCCATCTTCATTTTTAAAAACTATTTTTCAGGCCAGTCACGGTGGCTCATGCCTGTAATCCCAGCACTTTGGGAGGCCGAGGTGGGTGGGTCACCTGAGGTCAGGAGTTCGAGACCAGCCTGGCCAAAGTGGCAAAACCCCATCTCTACTAAAAATACAAAAATTAGCCAGGCGTGGTGGCAGGTGCCTGTAATCCCAGCTGCTTAGGAGGCTGAGGCAGGAGAATCACATGAACCTGGGAGGCAGAGGTTGCAGTGAGCCAAGATTGTGCCACCACACTCCAGCCTGGGCGGCAGGCTGCTCCATCTCACACGCACACACAAAAAATCCTTTCTGTCATTCATTTTGATGCTCTTTAATGGTTCTCACTTTGCCCAACAGAATCCTCTTTAAGTCACATCCTGTGTTCTTATGGCTTGTCCTCACCACTTTTGAGCTTTTTTTTTTCTTTTTTGAGACAAGGTCTCACTCTGTCACCCAGGCTGGAGTGCAGTGATGGAATCACAGCTCACTGTAGCCTCAACTTCCCAGGCTCAAATGATTCTCCCTCATCAGCCTCCCAAGTAGCTGGGACTACAGGTGCATGCCATCACATCTGGATAATTTAAAGTTTTTTTTTTTTGTAGCAAGAGGGTCTCACTATGTTGCCCAGACTGGTCTAGAACTACTGTGCTCAAGCAATCCTCCTGCCTAGGCCTCCCAAAGTGCTAGGATTACAGGCGTGAACCACAATGCCTGGCCTCACTTCTTTATTTTATGACATGATAAGACAGTCCAGGCTTTCTCTAAACTTTTGCTGCCATAGCCTTGGAATCAACCATTTTTCCTTTTAGTGGAGAATGGTATCTAGAAACAAAGATCTGGTTTCTATTTAAACTACTTGGAACTTCATCTCAAGAACAAATATGTGGCCAGGCGCTGTGGCTCACGCCTGTAATCACAGCACTCTAGGAGGCCAAGGTGGGTGGATCACGATGTCAGGAGATCGAGACCATCCTGGCTAACACAGTGAAACCCCGTCACTACTAAAAATACAAAAAATTAGCCGGGCTTGGTGGTGGGCGCCTATAGTCCCAGCTACTCGGGAGGCTGAGGCAGGAGAATGGCGTGAACCGGGCGGCGGAGCTTGCAGTGAGCCGAGATCGCGCCACTGCACTCCAGCCTGGGTGACAGAGCGAGACTTCATCTCAAAAAAAAAAAAAAAAAAGGACAAATAAATGTGCCACCTAGCCATCTAGCCATCTAAAAATAAAAGTGCATTGCACAAACCATACCTGGGCTGCTACCTGGGGAAAGTATGGTCTGGCTAGTTTTCTCTCCTTTCTCATTTTCATATCTGCATATATATATATATATATATATATATATATATATATATATATATATTTTTTTTTTTTTTTTGAGATGGAGTCTCGCTGTGTTGCCCAGGCTGGAGTGCAGTGGCGCAATCTCGGCTCACTGCAAGCTCCACCTCCTGGGTTCAAGCAATTCTCCTGCCTCAGCCTCCCGAGTAGCTGGGACTACAGGCGCCCACCACTGCCCCCGGCTAATTTTTTTGTATTTTTAGTAGAGAGGGGTTTCACCGTGTTAGCCAGGATGGTCTCGATCTCCTGACCTCATGATCCGCCTGCCTCTGCCTCCCAAAGTGTTGGGATTACAGGCGTGAGCCACCGCGCCCGACCTCATATCTGTATATTTGTATTATCCTCCCACGGCTGAGCATTAATTCACATATGACAAACTTTCTCTGTCTCCGTTTATTCCTATCTTCATCGTGATCAAGTTTCTGAGAAGCGGTCTGCCCAGATACTTTGGTCATAATGCTCATGTCTTTGAAACTGTGATACACACCCACAAAAATACCTGTATTTGTTTGTTTTTTTGTAATGTCTTTTACTTTTTCAAAGCATCTTTATGTCTCATCTTTGTTTGTCCTCAAAACTCCATGAAGTATTACATAGATATTATTTATTTTCCTGCTACTTTTGTAGAAAGTAAAGCCAGAAGAGTAAATGATATTTTGACATCTAACACCTCTTTGTGTGTAGTGTAAATTTGCTTATCTAGAATTGCTGTCTAGGTATGCTTACAGTTCTTATAGATGGTGAAGCCTGGGCTATGTCCTCACAGTTCAAAAACCTGGGATCCCTTACTCTGAGCTGAAAATCAGGGCAAATCAAATCTATAGTGAATCACGAAACACAAGAAGCATTCCCTTTTTAAAAAGAAAGATATAAATACCCCCACCAACTTTTTACTTCATTACTCTTTCAGTTGCTATTCTACAAATACTGAACACCTGCTGTGTGCCAGGGAGTGTTCTAGCTTCTGGAGCTACAACTGTGGCAAAAACAGATAACAATTCCTGCCCTTAAGAATTATACCTACTAGGCAGGGGTGACAGCAGGTAGGGCATCAGACAATAAAGAAAATAAATAATGTGTATAGTGTATTAGGAGATGTAAACAGAGTCATCAAATACAGTTGTGCAGATTGCTCACTGCCCAACTCTGTGTCCAGTAATGCCAATGGAGGTCTTGGATCTAAGCAATTAAGAATGGGGTTGACACTTTGAGAGGCCAAGGTGGGCGGATCACTTGAGGCCAGGAGTTTGAGACCAGCCTGGCCAACATGGCAAAACCCAGTCTCTAAAAATACAAAAATTAGCAGGGCTTGGGGGTGTGTGCCTGTAATCCCAGCTACTCAGGAGGCTGAGACATGAGAATTGCTTGAACCTAGGAGGCAGAGGTTGCAGCGAGCCAAGATCACACCACTGCACCTCCAGCCTGGGCAACAGAGCGAGACTCTGTCTCAAAAAAAAAAAAAAAAAAAAAAAAAGGAATGGGGTTGCCATTCAGTCAGATGGAAAAGGATACAAGTAAGATCAGGAGTTGTTTCTTAACTTTGTATTGAAGAATAATATACATATTAAAAAGTGCATATAGGCTGGGTACTATGGCTCATGTCTGTAATCCTAGCACTTTGGGAGGCCAAGGTGGGTGGATTGCTTAAGCCCAAGAGTTCAAGACCAGCCTGGGCAACATAGCAAGATCCTGTCTCTACAAAATATAAAAATGGAAAATTAGCCAGGCATGGTGGCACACACCTTTAGTCCCAGCTATTTGGAAGACTGAGGTGGGAAGATCACTTGAGCCCAGGAGTTCGAGGCTGCAGTAAGCCATGATAGTACCACTGCACTCCTGGGTGACAGAGCAAGAGAGCAAGACCCTGTCTCAAAAAAAAAAAAAAAAAAAAAAAAGTGCATGTAACTAGCAAACTAGCATCAACGTCAAGGAAACAGAAGATTACTGGCACCCAAGAAGCCCCTCACATTTTCTCTTACAGTCCTTATTCTGTCTGCTACCATTTGCTTTTTTATTTATTTATTTATTTATTTTTGAGACGGAGTCTTGCTCTGTCACCCAGGTTGGAGTGCAGTGGCACAAACTCGGCTCACTGCAACCTCCACCTCCCGGGTTCAAGCAGTTCTCCTGTCTCAGCCTCCTGAGTAGCTGGGACTACAGCTGCCTGCCACCATGCCTGGCTAATTTGTATTTTTAGTAGAGACGGGGTTTCACCATATTGGTCAGGCCGGTCTCGAACTCCCGACCTCAGGTGATCTGCCCACCTTGGCCTCCCAAAGTGCTGGGATGACAGGCGTGAGCCACCGTGCCCAGCCTACAATTGCTTTTAACAGCATTTCTTAGTTTGGGCTGACTTTGAACTTTGTATGACAGGAGTCATACAGTATGTATTCTTTTATTGTCTGGCTGTTTTTACTCAAATTATGTTTTTGAGATTCATCCATATTCTTGTATGTAGCTATGCCCAGCTTGTTCATTTTCACTGCTGAATAGTAGTATATAGTATGAATATACTTCATTTACTTATTTGTGGACCGGGCGCGGTGGCTCACGCCTGTAATCCCAGCACTTTGGGAGGCCAAGGCGGGCGGATCACCTGAGGTCTGGGAGTTCAAGAACAGCCTGACCAACATGGAGACACCCCAGCTCTACTAAAAATACAAAATTAGCCAGGCGCGGTGGCACATGCCTGTAATCCCAGCTACTAGGGAGGCTGAGGCAGGAGAATCACTTGAACCTGGGAGGCGATGATGAGTGGAGATCGAGCCATTGCACTCCAGCCTGGACAAAAGCGAAACTCCATCTCAAAAAAAAAAAAAAAAAAAAAAAAAAGTCATTTGTGTACCTTGCAGTATTTGATTATTACAAATAGCACTGCTTTGAAGATCCTAGTGCCTGTCTTTGAGTGGACATATGCAAACATGTCTGCTAGGTGTATACTTAGGAGAAAATTGCTGAGCCATAGTGTATATGTATGTTATGCTTTAGTAGACTCTGCCAAAACATTGATCCAAACCAACTTATAAGCCTGGCATGGTGGTTCGTGCCTGTAATCCTAGCATTTCGGGAGGCTGAGGTGGGTGGATCACTTGAAGCCAGGAGTTCAAGACTAGCCTGGCCAACATGGTGAAACCCCATCTCTACTAAAAATACAAAAATTAGCTGGGCATGGTGGCGGGAGCCTGAAATTCCAGCTACTCAAGAGGCTGAGGCATGAGAATCGCTTGCACCTGGGAGGCAGTGGTTGCAGTGAGCCAGTATTGCACCACTGCACTCCAGCCTGGGTGACAGAGTGAGACTCTGTCTTAAAAAAATAAAAATAGGGCAGGCACGGTGGCTCAGCCTGTAATCCCAGCACTTTGGGAGGCCAAGGAGGGCTGATCACAAGGTCAAGAGTTTGAGACCAGCCTGGCCAACATAGTGAAACCCCATCTCTACTAAAAATACAAAAATTAGCCAGGCATGGTGGCACACGCCTGTATTCCAAGCTATTCAGGAGGCTGAGGCAGGAGAATTGCTTGATCCCGGGAGGTGGAGGTTGTGGTGAGCTGAGATCGTGCCACTGCACTCCAGCCTGGGCAACAGAGGGAGACTCCATCTCAAATAAATAAATAAAATGAAAATTTAAAAATGTCTGCTTTCAAAGAAAACAAAAACAATACCAACTTAGAGTCCACCAGCCACGTATGAAGTGTGCAGTAAGATATAAAGTCTGTTTCATGTAATGCAACCAGATATACCACGGACATTGCAAAGAACTACACAAAAATATTACTTGGAGACAATTTTACTATAAGCCTAGAAAATGGAAATAAATTAGCTAAAAGTTAACATTATTAGCTTTGGTGAGACATTGGTTATAAGTTAAATACACTAAAAGCAGTCATAATCCTGCATGTTAATAATCAGATAATAGTGTGTCCAGAATTGGTGAGTTCTTGGTCTCACTGACTTAAAGAATGAAGCCGTGGACCCTCGTGATAAGTGTTACAGTTCTTAAAGATGGTGTGTCCAAAGTCCATTCCTTCTGATGTTCGGAGTTTCTTTCTTCTGGTGGATTCATGATCTCACTGGCTTCATAAATGAAAATGCAGACCTTCGCCAGCAGTGTTACAGCTCTTAAAGGTGGTGTGGACCCAAAGAGTGAGCAGCAGCAAGATTTATTGCAAAGACCAAAAAGAACAACCCTTCCACAGTGTGAAAAGTGACCCAAGCAGGTTGCGAAATCTGGCTCTGGCAACCTGCTTTTATTCCCTTATCTGACCCCACCCACATCCTGCTGATTGGCCCATTTTACAGAGAGCTAATTGGTCCATTTTACAGAGAGCTGATTGGTCCGTTTTGACAGGGTACTGATTAGTGCGATTACAGTCCCTGAGCTAGACACAGAGTGCTGATTGGTGTATTTACAATCCTCTAGCTAGATATAAAAGTTCTCCAAGTGCCTACTAGGTTAGCTAGACACAGAGCACTGACTGGTGCATTTACAAACCTTTACCTAGACACAGAGTGCTGATTGTTGCTTTTACAATCCTCCAGCTAGACATAAAAGTTCTCCAAGTTCCTACTTAACTCAGGGGCCCATCTGGCTTCGCCTAGTGGATCCCGTGCTGGGGCTGCGGGCAGAGTTTCCCGCCAGTCCCGCACCACGCGCCTGCACTCCTCAGCCCTTAGGCGGTCGATGGGACCAGGCGGCGCCCATTGGGGAGGTTCGGGCCATGTGGAAGCCCACCAAGGGGGGGCTCAGGCATGGCGGGCTGCAGGTCCCAAGCCCTGCCCCATGGGGAGGTGGCTGAGGCTGGGCTAGAATTCGAGCGCGACGCAGGTGGGCCAGCAGTGCTGGGGGACCCGGTGCACCCTCCGCAGCTGCTGGCTGGGTGCTAAGCCCCTCACTGCCCAGGGCTGGCGGCGACGACCAGCCGCTCCGGGTGCAGAGGCTGCCGAGCCCACGCCCACCCGGAACTCGTGCTGACTCGCCAACTCGCGAACACGGTGCACAGCCCTGGTTCCCGCTGGCGCCTCTCCCTCCACACCTCCCCGCAAGCAGAGGGAGCCAGCTCTGGCCTCAGCCAACCCAGAGAGGGGCTCCTACAGTGCAGCGGTGGGCTTAAGGGCTCCTCAAGCGAGACCAGAGTGGACACCGAGGCCAAGGAGGCACCGAGAGCGAGCGAGGGCTGCTAGCACGTTGTCACCTCTCAATAGGATGAAAAAAAAGCGTTTGCTATACATTTGTGTAGCAAAATGTAAAATACTGAATATTAATCTTCACATAGGACGAGTGTGATATTTGTAGGTATATCACAAAACTTTATGATCACTATAAAGCGATTTCATTAGCCAGGCATGGTGGCCAGTGCCTGTAGTCCCACCTACTCAGGAGGCTGTGGCCAAAGGATCTCTTGAGCACATGAATTTGATGTTACAGTAAGTAGTGATTGCACCACTCCACATTAGCCTGGGTGACCCCATTTCTAAAACAAATTTTAAAAAGTGATTTCAATAGAAATGTGCTATGGTTGCAAAGAGGAAGACAAATTATTATTTCTTTTTTAAACCTGACAAGATCAATTTAAAATTTCTTTGAAAATAAGAGGATGTCAAAGATTCATATGGAAAATTAAAGCACTTATCCTATCAGATATTGACACATATTGTAATGAACAGTGATTAAATGTTATGGAACTATATAAAACTTGAACAGTGACCCAGAGCAAAGGAGAGAATCTAAAAACAGACATATGAATTTAAGAAGCAACATGGCGAACATTAGTGTGGAGAATAACATTAAGAGAGTCTTTGGATGCTAGGCTTTGTGACAAATGCTTTACATTCATCCTTTATTGAATGCTTTTATACCAGGGGTCCCCAACCCCCAGGCCACAGGCTGCTACCAGTCCATGGCCTGTTAGGAACCGGGCCACACAGCAGGAGATGAGCAGCGGGTGGGTGAACGAGAGAAGCTTCATCTGTATTTACAGCCGCTCCCAATCACTCGCATCAATGCCTGAGCTCTGCCTCCTGTCAGATCAGCAGCAGCATTAGATTCTCGTAGGGGCATAAACCCTATTGTGAACTGCACATGCACGGAATCTAGGTTGCCTACTCCTTTTGAGAATCTAGTGCCAGATGATCCGTCGCTGTCTCCCATCACCCCCAGGTGGGATGGTCTAGTTACGGGAAAACAAGCTCAGGGCTCCCACTGATTCTACATTATGGTGAATTGTATGATTATTTCATTAATGTAAAAATAATAGAAATAAGGTGTACAATAAATGTAATGTACTTGAATTATCCCGAAACCATCCCCCAACCCTGGTCCGTGGGAAAATTGTCTTCTACAAAACTGGTCCCTGGTGCCAAAAAGGCTGAGGACTGCTGCTCCAAACAACTTGGTAAAGTTAACATTATCTTCTATTTTGCAGATGAGGAGCTGAGTTTCAGAAAAAATAACTTTCTCATGGCCCCACAGGTTCTTCCAGTGGGGAGATAGGTCCCAGTCCAATCAGACTTCACAGACTAGGAGAAGGGCATGTCAAAGGAGAACAGATTGAAGGACATAATTTGTACCTAGTAGATAAGACAGAGAGTTAATAATATTAGTAATGTATACGCAACTCAGATCAAACAGAGGTTCTCAAATAGGCAAGTAAACAAAGGCTCATTTCACATATGGGTAATAGTAAATAATATGCATTTGCAAGGGAAATATTCAAATTGGTTAGTAATTTTTAAATTGCTCAAACCAGTAAAGGTGATATTGAAAAAAAAACTGCAAATTGAAATTGTTTTTCAGGATTTATACTTTTTTAACTAGCAAAATAATTGTATTGATTTGATATAGTTTATAGAAATATATATGTTTCCCTAAGATGAAAACATTAGTGAAAATGTTTGATTTTGCTATCTTGTTCTGGGTGATGATTACATGAGTAACAAACACATGTCAAAATGTATTGAGCTGTACACTGAGACTTGTGCATTTTATTGTATGTACCTCAATAAAAAAAATTAAATACTGAATATACTGGCTGGGCGCAGTGGCTCACGCCTGTAACCCCAGCACTTTGGGAAGCTGAGGGAGGAGGATTGCTTGAGCCCAGGAGTTCAAGACCAACCTGGGCAACATGGCAAAACCCTGTCTCTATAAAAAATACAATAATTATGGCCAGGCACGGTGGCTCACACCTGTAATCCCAGCACTTTGGGAGGCTGAGGCAAGCAGATCACTTGAGGTCAGGAGTTTGAGACCAGCCTGGCCACATGGCAAAACTCTGTCTCTACTAAAAATACAAAAAAAAATAGCCTGGTGTGGTGGCACGCACCTGTAGTCCCAGTTATTAGGGAGGCTGAGGCAGGATAATTGCTTGAACCCAGGAGGCAGAGGCTGCAGTGAGCTGAGATCGCACCATTGCACTCCAGCCTGGGTGACAGAGTGAGACTCCATCTCAAAAACAAAACAAAAATTAGCCAGGCATGGTGATACACACCTGTAGTCCCGGCTACTCAGGAGGCTGAGGTGGGAGAATTGCTTGAGCCTGGGAAGTCGAGACTGCAGTGAGCCAGGACAGCACCACTGCATTCCAGCCTGGGTGACAGAGAGAGACTCTGTCTCAAGAAAAAAAAAAGCCAATCCTGAACATATTAAAATATAGTAAGTGATGAAATTAGTGTTATTTATAAATAAGAAAATAAAGGTAGAAATAACTAGATGCTGCCAAGATTAAGGTTAGTATAAAATATTTAGCATGGTTAGTATAAAGCATTTAGCCCACAAATTTATAATTCAACTTCTCTTAAGAGCCACAGTAAAGAGGGAGTTACAATCACTTACATAACTCAGAGTGGTCATTAAGGTAAAAAGAAAGGAGCTGCTCAGAAGGGGCACAGTCAATATCGATATGAAAAATCAGAAACTTCTTCCATGGGTCCTCCCAATGGGATATCATATTGTGTAATAAACAGTGTTCTCAACAACACACTGGAAGTATTAAAATAATGAGTTCTGAGGGTTGTTACTTATATTGTTTTTCAACATAAGCCAGTGGAGTAATGCCAGAATACAGTTCCAAAAAGGCAATTTTACCTGGATGAGCCCTTATGCTTTATATAGGTTTCTGATTATTCTAGCCTAACCCAAGAATAAAACTTAGAGAACCTAGAGAAGTGGTTCTCAAGTAGGGGCCATTCTGAGGACATCTGGTGGTGTCTACAGATGTTTTTAGTTGTCACAGCCAGGGGTAGGCTGCTATTGGCACCTAGTGAGTAGAGGCCAGGGATGCTGCCTACCACCTTATAATGCCCAGGGCAGCCTCACAATAAAGAATTCTCTCACTCAAAATATCAGTTGTGCTGAGGTTATAAAACCCTGATCTAGAAGAATGAATGGGCATTATATCACTGAGACCATCCCCCATAAAGATTACCTCTAACAACTAGCTTGGACAAAAAGGGAGAAAATGATGTACCCAAAGGATGTGAGTAGGAGTGGGGTGCAAATGTAGTAGCTATGGCCTGGCTTTCTAGGGGGCAGAGTAACTCCTGGAAAATAGGCATCAGCACAGAGGAATATGTTTCTATGGCTTAGGAATAATTGCCTTGTAGGGTAGTAGAGGTCTTCAGTGTTGGCATGGCTCCTCCACCACCAGCCTAATTGCATAAAAACCAGTGCGGGTGGCCAGGGGCCATGGCTCACACCTGTAATCCCAGCACTTTGGGAGGCCAAGGCAGGCGAATCACTTGAAGTCAGGAGTTCGAGACCAGCCTGGCCAACATGGTGAAACCCCATCTCTACTAAAAATACGAAAATCAACTGGGTGTGGTAGCGTGTGCTTGTAATCCCAGTTGATCAGGAGGCTGAGGTGAGAGGATCACTTGAACCCGGGCAGCAGAGGTTGCAGTGAGCTGAAATTATGCCACTGCACTCCAGCCTGTGAGGCAGAGTGAGACTCCATCTCAAAAACAAACAAACAAAAACAGTGTGGATTTGTCTGACCCAGCATATTCCTACCTCCATGTAGATCTATCCTCAGGAGAAATGAGATGTGAGTTAAACTCCAGGCAGCTGCATGCACTCACTCATTTCTGTCCTTATCACATCTGCTCTTTGCACTGTTTGTTGGCTTGGCAGTAAACCAAAGTGAGAGCATCCTAGACAGCATCCAAATAGTCCCTCCCCCCCAACCTTTTATTTTTTTTAAGGACAGGTCTCACCGTGTCACCCAGGCTGGAGTCCAGTGGCGCAATCACAGCTCACAGCAGCCTCGGACTCCTTGGCTCAAGCAATCCTCCCACCTCAGTCTTCTGAGTAGCTGGGACTACAGGTGCAAGCCAGAGCACCCTGCTTGAGTATCATTCTTGTCAATTTTTGAACTGTAAAAGCTTTGAAGTCTGACTCTGCTCAGCAGTGGATACAGTTGACTACCAACATCAAGTAGCTCCTTTCCATCTGTGGTCATCGATTTCCTCTAGATCACATCTTCCCAACTTTGCCCCCAGAGAAAGAGAGAGAGAACTTTCTTCCCTTTGGTCTAATTCAGAAAATCCTGGAGTGGGTCCTTGGAGCAGTTTCCATCCTCCCCCAAAAAATTGATGATGTGTTTCTACTAGAGCCATAGGGAAAGAAGTAATTATCCAAGATAATGGAATTGTCTGCTCAAAAAAAGAGAAGGGTACTTGCCAGTCAAAACAGATATCCACCACTCCAGGAATATATGTCTATATTTTTCTTTTTGCAAACTTTTTTTTTAAGAGATGGGGTCTTGCTTTGTCACCCAAGCTGGAGTGCAGTGGCACAATCACAGCTCACTGCAGCCTTGAATTCCTGGGCTCAAGCGATCCTCCCCACTCCACCTCCTGAGTAGCTAGGACTACAGGCATATACCACTCACTGGACCCGGCTTCAAACTTTTATTATGAGACAATTTCAAACTTACAGAAGAGTTGAAAGAATAGTACCAAAAGCTGTTAGTATGTCTGCCAAGCCAAATTTACCAGTTTTTAACATTTGGCTCCATTTGCACTTTCTCCTTTCATATGTAAATTTTTTGACCCACTTGAGAGTAAGTTACAGACATCATACCTGTTTATCCCTAAATATTTTCATTGTATATTTCCTAAAATCAAGGACATCCCATATATGACCTAATTATAATGATCACATTCAGAAAATTTAACATTGAACCTCTACTATTTATTTAATATACAGTCCAGTTGTCCCAGTAACGTCCTTGTAATATTTCCTCCTGATCTGGGATAGCATGCTGCACTTAGTTGTTACGATTCTTCAGTCTCCTGTACGTTGGAACCTCTTTTTTCATATTCATCATATTGGCATTTTGGAAGAGCATGAGCCAGATGTTTTACAGAATATCCCTCAGATTGGATCTGTCTCATGGTTCCTCATGACTGGATCTAGTAATGCATTTTTGACAGGAATGCCACACCATGGTGTGCTGGAGCTAGCTTGTACCATCTCTTGAGAGCTAATTCTCACATCTCTTTCCACCTCTGTGTTCTGTGATGTTATATTGGTAACCTGAAATCAGCCATGGTGGGAGTATTTACACTGCCGACATCAACTAATGCTACAAATCAGACCTTTCCCAGCCCCCAGTTTCCAGTTGTGAAACATTTTCATTTCTTGGATAGGTGGGGTTGTGTAATCCTCCATGCATACCTTATGATCAGGAGGCTCATGAAGCTGATCTATCCCATTATTGGCAATATCTCATCACAGGGTTAAGATGGTATGTGTCAGCTTCCCCTTGGAAGAGTTACTGTTTTCCCTTTTGTGATTAATAAGTAATCTATGGAGAGGTATTTGTGATTACATTAATATCCTGTCCTGTTTCTCATCAAACTTTCACTCAAAAGTTGTGGGTTTTGGCTGGGTACGGTGGCTCACGCCTGTAATCTAAGCACTTCGGGAGGCTGAGGTAGATGGATCACCTGAGGTCAGGAGTTTGAGACCAGCCTGGCCAACATGGTGAAACCTCATCTCTACTAAAAAAAAATACAAAAATTAGCCGGGCATGGTAGTGGGCCCCTGTAATCCCAGCTACTTGGGAGGCTGAGGCAGGAGAATCGCTTGAACTCGGGAGGCGGAGGTTGTGGTGAGCCAAGATCATACCACTGCACTCCAGCCTGGGCAACAGTATGAGACTCCGTCTAAAAAAGAAAAAAAAAAGGTGTGAGTTTTTTACTTTTTGTTTTTGAGACAGGGTCTTGCTCTGTTGCCCAGGTTGAAGTGCAGTGGCATGATCATGGCACACTGCAGCTTCGACATCCCAGGCTCAAGCCATCCTCCCACCTCAGCCTCCCTAGTAGTGGGAATATAGACATGAGCCACCACACCTGGCTAATTTTTGATATTTTGTAGAGCAGGGTTTCGCTATGGTGCGTGATCTCAAACTCCTGAGCTCAAGCAGTGCCCCCACCTCAGCCTCCCAAAGTGCTGGGATTATGGGTGTGAGCCCCTGAGCCAGACTTCAATAAACTGTTTTTATTTATTGAAGATTATTGCCTGAATCAATTAGTACTAGAGAGGTGCAAGGGTAATTTTCTTTCTTTTTCATTTCTTCTACATTTATTTGTTGGTGTTCTACAAGTTAATTTTAAAGACTTCTACTTAAAATAGATAATTAGCAGTAGGCTTGGAAACAAACTGAGGTGTCCCAGTAGTTTCTCAAGTATGTCTAAATCCTAAGTATTTATGACCACAGTATTAATATTCATTGCTGTAGCACAGATAAGTTTCCATGAAGTACTGATCCATATGGGAAGAGCAGAATCAGTCTTAAGAAATATTTTCCCACTCTACTTTGAGAGTGTATGTTGATAACATACAGTCCCAGCAACAGTGGAGATAGCCTTTGGATTCATTTTTCCACAGCCTCACCTGTTTCCAGTTTTTACCAAAAACATACCTTTGGAGGATTCCTGATAAGAATTTGCACTGCAGTCATAAAAAGTTAACTAGTGCATGGTAGAGTGGAAAGAGCACTGGACAGGGAGTCCAGAGTTGCCATGTTCAAGGGGATTGGACATTACACTTCATCTTCCTGATCCTCATTGCCTCCCATCATCTGCAAAAAAAAAAAAAAAAAAAAATAGGAATCATATTTTCACTAATTTCCCTTGCGAGCCCCAAAACTATCTTTGATTCTGTTCTCCTACTTGGTAATCAAAACCTAGAATTCACCTCATTAGCCTGGTGTCTTGGTCAACTGAGCCAAGAAGCCAAAGACAAAAATGAGATGTCCTGTGTGGCACCTGAACCCGGTGACCTATTGATTGAATTTATAACCCAGTTAAATTAGCCATGAGGGTGTGGCACCAGGACTTGATACTGTTCATATTACCTTTGTGCATTCAGCCACATCATCTGACTCACTTCTCTGGTTCTCTTTTTTTATCCATGACAGTCATGGAAACTCACTGAAGTGTCCCGTTACCTCTCTCTTTGAGGAGATCCTTCTCTCAAGTGTTGGCTTGCCCGGTACCTATAATGTTACCTCTGTTGCCATGGTTGAGAGTAAAAGCAATGTTCTGTCCTGGGCAGACGGCACTTCCAAAACAGCTTTTACACTTCAGGCTTGAAATCCTGGAGTTCTTTTTAAGTCTTAATTAAATTTCATCAAATGAAATTGCAGAGAACTGGGCAAATAGTGTTACACCTGAATAATGTATTGTTTAGTAAACTCCGTGAATGAGTCAAAGAACTTTGGCAGTCAGTATTAGGACTCAAAATTTGTTGCCCGGGATTTCTAGAACAGTGATTGTTCAATGGAAGGTGAGGTAGGGGCTGAGGGTTTTAAAAGAATATGGGCCTTTGCCAAAGCATGCGTTCTCTTCTCTTCCTGGAACAAGATTTTGCTAGAGCCCACTCCTTCACCGCACCGTCACCCTCCTCCACCAGAACTGTATTGGGGCCACTTGTGTAGGTGGAAAAGTCCACAGGTGAGTTGGATATTTGCTCCCCACTCTTCTGGAGCTGTCTGAGCCTGGTACTTGTCTTGCTCAGTTCCTCATTTCAGCATTTTTAATACTTAATAACCCTTCTAAAGTAGAAAGTTATTTAGCTGCTTCCCTAAGAATATCTGCTGTAGGTTTTTCTGTCTGCTGAACTTCCATTTAATAAATTGAAAAGTTGGTGTCTGAAATATTTTTCAGGTGACTTGTCTGAGGTTCTGATGATGCAAAGGTGGGTCGTGGGATGTCAGAGGAGTTGGCAGTAATTTTCAATTTACTTTATTCATCTTTAGCGTTTTTAACATCTTAAGTAATTTTTTCTTCTCTAAGATTTTAAGACACATTTGACTTTAACTTTGAGTTCCTGCCTAATTTCAAACCCAGTGATGTTTTTGAGTTCTCCTGTTAGCCCTCCTCCCTTGCCGTGAGTTTCTTTTTCTTTGAACTAAGGAATGTAGCCTTTCTAAAATTTAATCTTTATCAACACCCACCTCACCTGTTGGATGAACCGCCTCATCATCTTTCACCAGATTGGAAAACCATCGTCTCCTGCCTGAAAGGCAGAGGGCAGTTGATTTCTGCAATCAACCTGGCTTCCCTTTGATTTTGTAATCTGTTTCTAGAGATTATGGGCGAGCTTTGAATTCCAAGGCTCTGGGCCTGTCAGCTTTTGAGGCAATAAACTTTGAAGCAGATCCTCTCCTCAGGTTTCAGAAGGGCGGCCTGTGTGTTAGAGGATGAAATTAACTTGTTTTCATCTTGTAATATAAGGGAAACATGAATAATTATCACTGCTGGCATTGTAACACCCTGGGGTTTTTATTTGTTCATTTTATTTTATGGGTTTTAAAATAATTATTGTTTGTTTTTTGAGAACCCTCTTCAAATCACGTGGAAACCTGAAAGAAAAGCACAATCCTTTCAGAAATCCTCACTGAGCCTAACTACCTCTGTGAACCTGTCTATTGTATATTTACTTTAAAAAGACTTAATCTCCCCATTGATGCACTTGGTATAACTAGGAAACACTCCAGCTCAGATTCAAGAGGTGGAAGGGAGGAAGAAAGAATGCAGGGCAATTTCCAGGAATTCCATGTTCTTAAATACTGTGCCCTTTCAAGTACTAATTATACAGGACTTAGGCAATAATGGAGTTACGTGGAATTTTTTTGCATTTGTTAAAACTTACAAGCTAACGTTACCACTAAAACCTTTTTTTAAAATAAAGATACCTCTATACCATTCATTGTTATAATATGGTTTAGTAATAATATTTCATGTATCATCGCAATTTAAAAAATATAAAGGTGCATATGAATATTATTGATAGAGCTATACCCTTTCTGCACATATCTATGCATCCCTACTGGTCTACTGAAAAAGCTTTTTTCTTTTTTGGTAGAGATGAGGTCTCTCTATGTTGCCCAAGCTGGTCTCAAACTCCTGGCCTCAAGTGATCCTTCTCCCTCAGCCTCCCAGAGTACTGGGATTATGGGCATGAGCCACTGTGCCAGGCCCTGAAAAAGCATTCTTTACCAAGGCCCAGAGCTCCAATTTTTCTTTGGGGTTTTGAATGATAAAAAAAAAAAAAAAAAAGGAAAACTGATAAATTAGAGTTCCTCGAACTTCAATATAAATCAACAGAATTTTAGTCTTCAAAGCATTTGCTGTAACTGATTTTTAAGGCCTCACATTTTATCTGTAATAGTACAAATATGAACTCAACAATGTGTCATTGACACAGAAGTGAATTTATATTTTTAATAATATTTACATTGTGTGTATACTGAAATAACCATGCTGTAACACAGGGGAAAAAAATTATCCCAGGAAAACACTCAACAAATGAATCTAGGAAATTCTGCAGAGTGCTTAAAAATGAACTTGCAGAGATAAAAATTTTTCATTTAGAAGTTTTCTGAATGTTTAGCCTCAAAGTCATTCCCGTTTCTTCCTGAATACTGCTCTCTACACATAATCCGTCACCACAGCTATTTAAAATAGACACACACACACACACACACACACACACGCACACACAGTGGTTTCGCCTTAACCCTCAATGAGTCTCTCCACACCCCCCACTTTCCCCTGCAATGGTATGATCTGCATTTGATCGTAAACTGGAGGTGCCAAGCTGTGACAGCTTCCTCAACTTCAGAGCCATTTGCTACAATCTAGGACAGCCCCATGTTCAATGATGCTTTCCTTTTCCATCAACAGGGGCAAATCGAAGTAGAGAGCGAAACCATCTTCAAGTTAGCAGCGTTTATTTTACAGGTAAGATTGGACAAACTGCCTCTTAGCAGCTCCCTTGTGTTTGTTCGTTTTTGTTAACTGCCTGCAACTCTGAAACTTTTGCATGGGCCAGTGTTTGTTGGATTTTTAAGCCAGTTAGTTGTTTGCCGATGAAAAATGTGCGCCACCGTCTTCTGCTTTAGAATAGTTTGCATGAGCTACAATGTGATATTGTGAGTCTCAAAGAAAAATGAAATTTAGACTGCTCTGAAGGAGAAGAATTAAACCCATATTCCTGGAAGAGAGCTCTGGGATACTTGAATTTGGGAGGCAGCAGTTGTTACAACAGCTGTAATTTTCATTTAAATTTAGTAACTTTTGTATACATTTTCTTGTGGTCCAGTAAAAGAGCCCTTTAGTTCTTAAAGGCATTAGTCTGTTTCCATGCTGGTTTAAAAAGTAAAGGGAAAACAAATAGTATGTGTTGGTTTACCTGTATTGTGGTTTAAAAGGTCTTCCTCCAGTCTAAAAAGTGTGCCACTTGAATGAAAAGCATTTATCATGTGATCTTAAAAACGTACAGTGAGAAATAATTATCTGTGCTTTTTCACATACATATGTTTCTTTTGTTAAGAATAAGGAATATTCCTAACAGGACAGTCAGGGTTTTCTTATCAATGCCTAATTCTTCTTATGCCTATAGGGAGAGCATTCCTGAGAAACACTCTTCAAAACAAAACTCAGGAACTTTAAGAGGGGAAAGTAATCAAGATAAAACTCATTTAGCTTAACAAAGATACATATTGATCAACTCTGTTTTTGTTTGTTGTTTTTAGGAAGCCAAGGGAGATTATACCAGGTAATGCTTTTCTTTTCTGATATTACTATGCAAAATAACCCTAAAGAATCATTTTATGTGGTTATTTTAAATAACAATGGATACAAAATCAAAGGAAAGTAGATCTGTAAGGCAGGAGACTGAGATCTCTTCGCTCTTCAAATAGAGACCTATTCTTTTTGTGAATGAATCAGGGAATGATGCTTTCTTACAGTTTTTGAAGCCAGAATGACAGCGATGGAACCAGAAGCTCTCCAAAGTTCTGTTTTCTGTCATCTGTTAATTAGTGAGATGAAGAAATCTATAAAAAGCTTTGATAGCTTATGCTGATAAAAAAAAACCTTACAATAATCTTGTGTTCGAAGAGTTATAATGTATGCACAAAAAGATTAAATCCATCAGCTGCTTAGTTAAGGGATTAATAGGGGCTTTCTTTCACAGCTGCCCCGAAGGGGCCTCACCCTTCATACACTTGACCTAACAGTTGTATTGTTGCTGCGGAGACACTTAATGGTTCTAACTGCCTCACTGGCCACATCCACAGAGGGTGTTTATATTTGAATTCACCCTCTACCTGCTCCATTCTGTCCTTTTAATGCAATCGTTGGAGTTGTAGAGAAACAGTTAAAGGGTGGAGGCAATGCTTCCCTTTGTAGGCCAATGACCCCTTTGAAAGCCTGGCCTCTACGATGTTAATGTTCGACTCCTGGTAGACGTTACTCGTAGATTATTTACAGATCACCTAGCACTCATTCCCAGCCAAGTCTTTGAATAATGTGCCCCTTAACGGACTAACAAAATAATGCCTTCCAACCTTGAAAACTTCCAGTTACGGAGTTGTACTTCAGTTCGGAAACTCCCAACACTCTCCTCATCTTCCCATTCGGCTTTGGTAGAATGTTCAAGGATGCCACTTAAAACACCATGATTCCTCACCACAATCTCCCACCAGTTCTGTTTTGTGCTCTCTCTATATATATATATTTGTGTGTGTGTGTGTGTATTTACATTTTTCTAGGTTAAGAAATTTGAAGAAATCATGAAAATCAAACACCAGTTGTTTTTAATGGAAAGAAAGGGGCAGGAGTTTAAAAAAAAAAACAAGAGTATAAGGTAGTTTACAGACCATTAGTATCATTAAAGGCTCACGCCTGAGGCCGGGCATGGTGGCTCACGCCTGTAATCCCAGCACTTTGGGAGGCCGAGGAGGGAGGATCACTTGAGGCCAGGAGTTCCAGACCAGCGTGGCCAACATGGTGAAACCCTGTCTCTACTACAAATATAAAAATTAGCTGGGTGGCCGGGCACGGTGGCTCACGCCTGTAATCCCAGCACTTTGAGAGGCTGAGGCGGGCAGATCACAAGGTCAGGAGATCGAGACCATCTTGACTAACACGGTGAAACCCTGTCTCTATTAAAAATACAAAAAAATTAGCTGGGTGCGGTGGCGGGTGCCTGTAGTCCCAGCTACTTGGGAAGCTGTGGCAGGAGAATGGCGTGAACCCGGGAGGTGGAGCTTGCAGTGAGCCGAGATAGTGCCACTGCAGTCCGGCCTGGGCAAAAGAGCGAGACTCCGTCTCAAAAAAAAGAAAATTAGCTGGGCATGGTGGCAGGCACCTGTAATCCCAGCTACTCAGGAGGCTAAGGCAGGAGAATTGCTTGAACCTGGGAGGCGAAGGTTGCAGTGAGCCAAGATCGCGCCACTGCACTCCAGCCTGGGTGACGGAGTGAGACTCAGAAAAAAGCTGCTGTGTCTCTACTGTTGTCTTCTCCAGAAAAGCCACGTTTCCTGGGAATATCAGATATGCAAGGAACACAGTCATTTATGGGGGTGATTTTTAAAAAACAACCCTGGATAAGAAATCATACGGGAGGTGATTCTAAAGTCAATTTGTAAATGAGGGTTTCAGGGCCCAAAAGCTCACACTCAATGGATTGCTAACCCACCTTCCCCACTTAGCCCCAGTCAAGGCTGTGACTGACACCCTCTGAGCCTCAGTTTCCTCATCGGTAAAATGGTACCTTTCCCATAAAACTGTCATGAGAATCAAATGTATGTAAACGTTGCCCAGGGCAACATCTGGCTTATAGCAAGTAATCTACACCCTTGGGCTATTATTATTAATTTAGTTATTATTATCCTCATTATTACTATCATCCTATCTGGTCTCTTATCTACCTCTGATGAGACTTTTGAGACTAAGGTTGGTCTGAAGAAGCTGTAATAACCTATAGTTATGGGGGAGGTGGAGAATAGAAAAAGAAAGGGTAATTTCACAAACCTTCCTTAGGGAAGATCCCTTGCCTGAGGCAAAGGAAGGCCTAAAAGGGACAGTCCTTCAGTTGTTCAAACATTTGAGCCCTAGGACATCAAGGTTGGCGAGTTAATTCTGGGCAAGCCCAGTCCAGACCTTTGCCTTCACTCGAGCTTGTTCCTGGTGGTTTTCCTGAGTGATCACGAGGTTGAAGTGGCGCACACTGTTTTGAAATTGTCCAAACTACACTAAGTAGTGGAGAGAGCGTGGGACTGGAAATCACGCAGACTGGCAACATCCCTCTGAGTGGCCACTTATCCTGTCTGAGCCTCGGTTCCCTCATCTGTAAATTGGGGTTAATCAAAACAATGGCTTTGCAGGTTGGTTTTCAGGACATGTGGGAGCATTTTGCAAATTACCATGCTCTCCCTATCTGATCTTCTCCCCTGAATAGAGAGGATATGTTTTTCCTCCAAAGTTTTGTTCTAAAACTCCTCTTTGTTTTTCTTTTGTTTTATTTTGTTTTTGTTTATTTTTGAGATAGAGCATTGTTCTCTCACCCAGGCTGGTGTGCAGTGGCATGATCTTAGTTCACTATAACCTCCACCTCCTGGCTCAATCAGTTCTTTCATCTCAGCCTCCTGAGTGGCTGGGACTACAGGTACACACCATCACACCTGGCTAATTTTTGTATTTTTTGTAGAAACAGGGATTCACCATGTTACCCAGGCTGGTCTCAAATTCCTGGGCCCAGCTGATCTGCCTATGTTGGCCTCCCAAAGCGCCGAGATTACAGGTGCAAGCCATCGCACCCTGCCTTGTTACAAAACTCTTCTGAGAAAATCAGGCGCCGGGTGCCGAGCACAGTGGCTCACGCCTATAATCCCAGCACTTTGGGAGGCCGAGGCAGGTGGATCACCTGAGGTCGGGAATTCGAGACCAGCCTGGCCAACATGGAGAAACCCTGTTTCTACTAAAAATACAAAATTAGCTGGGCATGGTGGCACATGCCTGTAATCCCAGCTACTTGGGAGGCTGAGGAAGGAGAATCTCTTGAACCCAGGAGGCAGAGGTTGTGGTGAGCCGAGATCACACCATTGCACTCCAGCCTGGGCAACAAGAGTGAAACTGTCTCAAAAAAAAAAAAAAAAAAAAAACAAATTAGCCTGGCACGTTCGCAGACGCCTGTAGTCCCAGCTACTTGGAAGGCTGAAGCGAGATAATTGCTTGAACCCAGGAGGTGGAGGTTGCAGTGAGCCAAGGTGGTGCCACTGCACTCCATCCTGGATGACAGAGTGGGACTCTGTCACAAAAAAAAAAAAAAAAAGAAAAGAAAATCAGCCAAGGCCAGGTGCAATGGCTCACTTCTGTAATCCCAGCATTTTAGGAGGCCGAGATAGGCGGATCACTCGAGGCCAGGAGTTTGAGACTAGCCTGGCCAACATGGCAAAACCTTGTCTCTACTAAAAATACAAAAGTTATCTGTGCATGGCAGCACACATCTGTAATAACAGCTCCTGAGGAGGCTGAGACACAAGAATCGCTTGAACCTGGAGGTGGAGGTGGAGGTTTGCACTGAGCTAGAGATCGTTCCACTGCACTCCAGCCTGGGCAACAGAGCAAGACTCTGTCTAAAAACACACACACACACACACACACACACACACACACACAAAGAAAGTCAGGCAAAATAAAATACCATGAGGCAATGTTGTAGTGGTTAGAGCAAAGACTGTGGAACCAGACAGCCTGATTCAAATGCCAGCTTGGCTACTTATTACCTGTGTAATCTTGAACAAATTACTTAAAATCTCCAAGCCTCAGTTTCCTCATCTGTAAAATGGGACTTACAATTATAATACACACTCCATAGGATTGCTGTGAGGATTAAATGAATTAATATTGCATTTGTAAAGTATTTAAAACAGTTCCTGTAATCCATCTTATTTTACCAAATTGATGGACATGATGGACTCCCCTATTGTTACAAATATTACTTGTTTCCCATATAAATAATGGGAAAAAAGATGTTCATCATGGCCTTATTTATATTAGCTTTTTTTCCCCATAAAGCTAATATAAATAATGCTGTGATGAACATCTGTGTGTATTTATTTTTAGTCTTGCTCTGTTATCCAGACTGGAGTGCAGCTCATTGCAACCTCCACCTCCTGGGTTCAAGCAGTTCTCCTGCCTCAGCCTCCCAAGTAACTGGGATTACAGGCACATACAACCATGCCCGGCTAATTTTTGTATTTTTAGTAGAGACAAGTTTTCACCATGTTGTCCAGGCTGGTCTCAGACTCTTGACCTCAGTGATCCGCCCACGTCAGCCTCCCAAAATGCTGGGATTTTTGTTTAAACAGAGTCTCGCTCTGTCGCCCAGGCTGAAGTGCAATGGTGCCATCTTGGCTCACTGCAACCTCCACCTCCTGGGTTCAAGAGATTCTCCTGCTTCAACCTCCCAAGCAGCTGGGACTACAGGCATTGAGACTGTGTCTCAAAAAACATGATAAACAAACAAACATTGACCAAAATATGTCCCCAAATACCTTCCTAGGCAAAGTGGCTTTTTCAGTAAAAACAATGACTGACCACCTAATTCTTAAGGCTGCTCTGGTCCACTCCTTGTGAATATCCACCTCTTTCTTGAATTCAGCATTTCCGAAGCTGACCTCACCAACAGCCCAGCCTCCAAACCAGCTCCTCTTCCATTGTCTCCCTTTGAATTACAGCTCCATTCTCTCTTGCATGCTGTCTGAGGATTTCCCCTTTCCTTTCCCATCTTTTTCCCACCTGTCAGACAGATTTCCTTCTGCTGATCAGCACCGCAACTTTCTCAGCCCTCATTCCTTCCCACTCAGCCTGACTGTAAAAGTGTGTGTGTGTGAATTATGTGTTGAGCTAATAATTGGGTATTACAGTGTTATTTTATATATTATTTTTTGAGATGGAATCTCACTCTGTCGCCCAGGCTAGAGTGCAGTGGTGTGAGGTTGCTCACAGCAACCTCCGCCTCCCGGGTTCAAGCAATTCTCCTACCTCAGCCTCCCAAGTAGCTGGAATTACAGATGAGCACCACCATGCCCAGCTATTGTTTGTGTTTTTAGTAGAGACGGGGTTTCACCACGTTGGCCAGGCTGGTCTCGAACTCCTGGCCTCAGGTGATCTGCCCGTCTAGGCCTCCCAAAGTGCTGGGATTACAAGCGTGAGCCACCGTACCTGGCCTACAGCATTATTTTAAATGTACATGTCTGATTTCATTCAGTCTTACCACATTAGCTATTATCTCCATTGAACAAAGTAATAAATGTAAAATTTAAGCCCAAAGAGATTGTTACATTGCTGGTGAGTTCTCAGATCTGTTCTGATTCCACCACACACTACTGCCTGTGCGTAACTTCCAGCTACCTTCCTACGACATAGATTTGATCATTGTTTATTTCTAAAAATCTCTTAATTTCTCATTGCACACAGACACCTGCCCACCAACACCAGCACAACCTGGCATTCAAGGCCATATTTGGTTGGCATTACACATTTAGTCTCCCATTCTCTGCTGTGCATACTCCTTAGTATCTGCTCATGCCTCTCTTCATTTTTTCTCCGCATGGCCCATGCTATCTGCCTTCATGGCTTTGTTCAAACTCTTCTTCCTAGAATACCTTTAAAAACAGCAATCCTCCCTTTTTATTTTGTTTCCTGCCGTGTTCCCTTCAGAGTATTTTAAGTTAACATTATCATAACCAGTAGGAAACCCTGCTCTCTGAAAGTTAATTAAAATAGTGGAGTGGGGACTTCCATTTTCTTTAAATAGATGACAGTCTGAATTTCCAAGTCAGCCCTTAAACCGCAAAGATAACAGGCTACTTGGGTAACACAACACAGACAAACAGAGAATTCCTGAAAGCTGACACGGCAAGGAGGCAAGGCTTTATCACCCAGCTGCCAGCCACAAATGAGTTTGTAAAAGCAAAGCTTTTTTTTTTTTTTTTTTGAGACAGAGTTTCACTCTCGTTGCCCAGGCTGGAGTGCAGTAGTGCGATCTCGGCTCACTGCACCCTCTGCTATCCGGGTTCAAGCGATTCTCCTGCCTCAGCCTCCCGAGTAACTGGGATTACATGTGCCCACCACCACGCCCGGCTAATTTTTGTATTTTTTAGTAGAGACGGGGTTTCACCATGTTGGCCAGGCTGGTGTTGAACTCCTGACCTCATGATCCACCATCCTCGGCCTCCCAAAGTGCTGGGATTACAGATTACAGGTGAGCAACGAGCCCGGCCTTTTTTTTTTTTTCCTAAGATTTTGAGAGGTGAAAATTACCAAGTAACTATGTGATTAGGGTGCTTCTACTTGTAAGAAAAAGTGAGTGACTACATTTTGCAATTCAGTGCTGGGTCAGAATGAGAGTATATTAACACCCAGCTTCAAGTGGGAAGGGAATATTCACAAGTTACAGCTGTGCTACAAAAAAAAAAAAAAAAAAAAAAAAAAAAAAAAAAAAAAAAAAAAATGCAGCTATTTCCCATGGGAAAGGAATTTCTTTGGATGCCCTGGAGAGTAGTTAAGGAAGGGAGGATAAAAACACTTTCAAGAAATTTGCCCCTTAGTTATTACACCTCTGGAGCACTTAAAGCTCTAAAATCTAATTTCATTTCCAGAGTCTTTACCGTCAATGATAATAATAAAAATATCATCTCCCATGGGCAAGGCGCTATGCTGAGTACCCACTGGAATCAATGGGAAGGCTGTAGTGAAGAGAGGAGTTTTGGAATTTAACTGCCTGGGTTCAAATCCAGGCCCAGCCACTTGTTATGTACCTGTGGGTAGTTTGCCTAGCCTCTCTGGAACCATTTCTTTGTCTCAATAAACAATATTTGCCATCGTTACTATTATTAATATGTTTAATCCTCACAGCAACCCTTTGATGGCACTGTCATTGTCCCCATGTTATAGATAGGAAAACTGAGATTTGTAGCTGTTAAGTAGCTTACTATTTAGGTCACATAGCTAGAGAGTGGCAAATTAGGGCTCCAAACCACATGCATTTTACCACTGTTAGAGGTTTCCTTTTTTGTTTTTTGGGGGTTTTTTTGTTTTGTTTTGTTTTGTTTTGTTTTTTTGAGATGGATCCTCGCTGTGTTGCCCAGGCTGGAGTGCAGTGGTGCAATCGCAGCTCACTGCAAACTCCGCCTCCTGGGTTCAAGCAATTCTTCTTGAAATTAGCCACCATGCCTGGCTAATTTTTTAATTTTTAGTAGAGACGGGGTTTTACCTTGTTGGCCAGACTGGTCTCAAGCGCCTGAATCTCAGAAAATCTGTCAGCCTCGGCTTCCCAAGAGTGCTGGGATTACAGGTGTGAGCGACTGCACCCAACCAGTTTCTTTTTTTGTATCCCAACACAAATTTGTTAGAATCATTACCTTCCTGGCCAGCAGAATAAAGAAGGCTTACTTGACAGAAATGAAACGTTTTTGTCTTATTTCAGGTCGGGCCTTTGATGAATCAACAAAACACTTTTGTGAAAACTCTTGAGAAGTGATTTTCCTCTCTACAATACTTGGTTAAAAGTTAAACAAAGTTTCCCAAGTTCTCTTGGCTAAGTTTTCAATCTGCTCATGAGCGCTATGAATCTCCCAGAAGGGGACACATAAGCAGCATTTTCCACTCTTATTTCAGCCTCTTGCTGGACCACACACTCTACTCTATGAACCATAGAATCAGAGTAGGAGTCAGGCTTCTGCATTTCACAGCTTAAGTATTTTGCATTTCAAAACCCCTTGCATTTCACAGCTTAAAAAAACCTGATGCAACTAAATGAACACAAAAACCCTAAGTCCCACCTTAATACATCTTTAGACAGTTACTAACACCACATAGGATCAGTCCTATACAGGAAGTAACTCTCTTGACCCATTTGAGTTCTCAGTTTCTTTCTCCACTGGAGTGGACCAGGCCGTTACACCCATCATAGCTACTTGGTCCTGAAATGAAACTCAGCATACTTGGCCTCTTCAGGTAGCGGCTGGCTGAGACACAGGCATGCGTGGCATTCGGTAGGAATAGAAAGTAGCATGACATGAACTACTTCCACTTCTCAAAGTGCAAACCATCCAGAGTCTACAGGAGCTGTGAGACGACATTGTTGAGGGAGAATTCTACATTCCCCCGCTGATAAGCATTTCCAGGCCTTTTGGTTTGTTTCTGGAAACACACTAAGTGATAACATAACACATAACAATACAGTCTTCTTATCTGTGTTCAGATGGCTAATGCGGTTAATCCATTTTTTTGTGTGATCAGGAAAGACACATTGAATCACACATACAGGAAGAAGGATTAAAGAGTTGGGGCTTCAAGTTGACCATAAATAATTTTTCACTTGTCTAGTAGGAAGTTTCCCAGAAGAGAAACACATTTCTTTGACTTTCCATTCTTTTGTAGGAAAACATTATCTGCATTGATTGTTTTTCTTTTACGTGTTCTTTTTTTTTTTTTTTTTTTTTTTTGAGACAGAGTCTTGCTCTGTCGTCCAGGCTGGAGTGTGCAGTGGCGCTATCTTGGCTCACTGCAACCTCCGCCTCCCGGGTTCAAGCAATTCTCCTGCCTCAGCCTCCCAAGTAGCTGGGACTACAGGCACATGCCACCACGCCCGACTAATTTTTTGTATTTTTAGTAGAGATGGGTTTTCACCATGTTAGCCAGAATGGTCTCGATCTTCTGACCTTGGGTTCCACCCTCCTCGGCCTCCCAAAATTACAGGCATGAGCCATCATGCCTGGCCTATGTATCCTTTTTCTAACTCTAGATTTAAGAATAAATTTTTTTAAATTGTAGTAAAATATACATAAAATTTATCATCTCAACCATTTTTAAGAATAGAGTTTGGTAGTGTTAAGTAATGTTTATGTTGGGTGTGTGTGTGTGTGTGTGTGTTTGAGACAGAGTCTTGCTCTGTCGCCCAGGCTGGAGTGCAAGTGGCATGATTTCGGCTCACTGCAACCTCCGCCTCTTGGGTTCAAGCGATTCTCCTGCCTCAGCCTCCTGAATAGCTGGGATTACAGGCACGCACCACCACACCTGGCTAATTTTTTGTATTTTTAGTAGAGACAAGGTTTCACCATGTTGGCCAGGCTGGTCTCGAACTCTTGAGGCAATCCACCCGCCTCAGCTTCCCAAAGTACTGGGATTACAGGCGTGAGCCACCACGCCTGGACGTGTTTATGTTGTACGGCCAATCTCCAGAACTTTTTCATCTTGGAAAAACAGAAACTCTGCACCCATTAAACAGCTCCCTATTCACTCCTCCCGCAGTCCATGGCCACCACCATTCTACTTTCTGTCTCTATGAATTTAACAGGAGAGAAATAAAATATTTTTATTTTAAATATTTGTAGATTTTCATGTTAACCTGCTTCCCAACCTAAGTCATTCTTATGGATGATATTTCTTCTACCCATTATTAAGAGAGTTAAAGGTTCAAAGTAGACATGATCGGAGTCCTCAGGGAGCTGGCTGACGTTTAGAAAAATCTTTCATCACATTTTCATTCTCATTAGAAATTCCTTAGACCTAAAAACAAATAGCTTGACAGTTGATCCCCATCAAGCATGCAGATGGGCAGAGTAATTGTCCCCTGTTACAAGTTAGGCCACAGACAAAAATGTAATGACAAAGGAATTCTAGCTGAGAGGACACTGCACTTCCCAGAACACAAGCAGGTTTCCTGCTACAGGATGCATCTTTGGTAGAATGCTGAGAAAATAAAAGGCTGACACCAATCCTGTGGATCAGTCATGATGTTGGAAAAGTGAGTTTCTAGGCTGAGCTTCCACTGGTTGCCAATAGACTCTGTCAAACCAAGCCCCAAACTGCTCACAACTCGGAACTTGGCAAGTTACTTTCAAAGTTCTTTTCCCAGGCAGTTTATTATAAGCCCTTAGAGTTGCCAGATTTAGCAAATAAAAATATAGGACGCCCAGTTAAATTGGAATTTCAGATGAACAACGAGCAATTTTTTAGTATAAGTATGTCCAATATATTAAATCTGCCAACTCTAACCCAGATCACCCCTTTAGGATTCTTCTCAATAGTAATAATCGACCACCAGCCTGGGCAGAGAGTGGTAGGAATAAAGTGTTTGGTAAAATCTTTGGTTTATTATGCTACCTTCAGAAAGGAAGGAACATTTTTGTTGTTGTTGTTTTGAGGCAGGATTTTTCTCTGTTATCCTGGCTGGAGTGCAGTGGCATGATCATGGATCACTGCAGATCACGTGCCCCCTGGGCATAAGTGACCTTCCCATCTCAGCCTCCCGAGTAGCTGGGACTACAGGTGTGTACCCCACGTCTGATTAATTTTTGTATTTTCCATAGAGATGAGATTTCACTGTGTTGCCTAGGCTGATCTCAAACTCCTGGGCTCAAGCAGTTTGCCCACCTCAGTCTCCCAAAGTGCCTGGATTACAGGCGTGAGCTACCACACCTGGCCAGGAAGGAACACATTTATTGAACATAGGCAAGTGCCTTCATTGCATTCTATTGTAATATACCCAAGAATCCTATGCAACAGGTCACTATTTGTATTTTTATAATATGGAAATGCAGGCTCACAAAGGTTAGTTTATCTAAGACCACAAAACTCCTAGGAACAGAGAGACCTGGGACTGAATGCAGTTCTAAAGGCCAAACCGTATTACTGCAAATCATAGGCCTAGAGCTGATTGGTTGGTTGGTATTTTTGATTTTTTCCTAGGTATGTACTGGCTGCCTGTGTACTAGCTCTAGTAAAATGATGGGCAGCTAGGTGATCTTTCTAAATCTCAGTTTCCTTATCTGTAAATTAGAGCACCAACATCTTGGGTGCCATGAAGACTAAATGAGTTTGTGTAAGTAAAATGCATCCTAGGCACTTGTCACACATAGCAAGTGCCTAGGATGGCCACCTTAAGAGCCCAAAGTGGATGGGCGCTGTGGCTCACGCCTGTAATCCTGGCACTTTAGGAGGCCAACGCCGGCCGATTGCCTGAGCTCAGGAGTTTGAGGCCAACCTGGGCAACATGGTGAAACCCTGTCTCTAGTAAAAATACAAAAAATGAGCCGAGCATGGTGGTGCGTGCCTGTAATCCCAGCTACTTAGGAGGCTGAGGCAGGAGAATCACTTGAACCCAGGAGGCAGAGGTTGCAGTCAGCCGAGATCGCGCCACTGCACTCTAGCCTGGATGACAGAGCGAGACTCTGTCTCAGTAAATGAGTACATAAATAAAAGCCCAAAGAATATCTTTTATCATCCTATGAAAGAGAAGCTGAGAGGTCTGAGGAAGCTGGGGACCAGAGATGGTGTAGAAATGCATGCTCGCACCTGAACCCCCATGAAGGCGCTAGAAATGCATGAAGCCTAGAAATGCATGCTCACACCTAAACCCCCATGAAGGCCTTCTTTGCATGCTCACACCTGTAGCCCTGTGAAGGAGCTTCTTAGGATGAAGGATGGGCCAACAACTTCCCACCTCTCACAGAAACAGTGGGAGGCATCCCTAGATTTGGCCAGAGGCCAGGAGAAAGGCTTATATAATTCTTTCAGTTCTCACTTTTCACTCTGTAAATAGCTGCAACCTGACTTGGTTTAAGGTCTGATCAAGAAAGGTTTAAATCAAGAAAGGTTTAAAGGTAGGGAGGAAATTCCAAAAATGAAAGACCCTGTGGCTTAGGAGGGGAGGAGAGCAAGGGCTGGCACAGCCAGCTGGGTGTTTCCTTTCCCGGCCCCTCCCTCCTCTTCCGTTCCTCCCTAGCTTTCCAATTCTCTCCTCTTCCTCCTCTTGTGCTCCGGCCTGCAGTTGTCCAGAGAACAAACCTCTGGTCCTTTAGATCTGTTGCCACCTACTGTGGGAACTTTGGTAAGTTTTCAAACTTCAGTGGGTCTTGTTTCTCTCATCTGTGCATTTAGGGGTTGGACCAAATGAATTCACCTCGCTTACCCGGCTAGGTGGAGCTGCTCTCTTTTAAGTTTAGTCTGGGTGGGTAGAAAGTGAAGAGGGCTCTTTCTTTTAGCTGTTATGCAGTTAGCTCAGTCTGTAATCAGTTTTTCGGAACTAACTTGCAATAATCAGGAGTGGCATTAGGCATTGAGTGAACTTGAGCTCTAGCTTTCTGCTTTTGCATATGATTGACTGTGAATGAAAGTGTCAGCTTGTTTCTTCTTTTCTTCATCCCATCCCAGGCCTTAGTATACCCTAACAGTAACAGAGATAACTCATCCAGGGTAGAGATCTTACTCTGAGCTTTTTGAATCAGTATAAAAAGTGGGGCTTCAGGAATACCTTGTGTGGTTTAAGGAGCTTTAATTGATATATTGGACTTCTCACCTGTAGCAGTTTGCAACTCCCTGTTTTAAGGTTCTGCCGAAAATGACTGGAGTCTGGTTTTGCAGCTCATGTAAAAGTGTTTTTCAAAAACCAAATTTGGGGCCGGGCACGGTGGCTCATGCATGTAATCCCAGCACTTTGGGAGGCCAAGGCGGGCGGATCATTTGAGGTCAGGAGTTCCAGACCAGCCTGGCCAACATGGTGAAACTCCATCTCTACTAAACATATAAAAATTACCCGGGCATCGTGGCAGGTGCCTATAGTCCCAGCTACTCAGGAGGCTGAGGCAGGAGGATCTGTTGAACCCAGGAGGCGGAGCTTGCAGTGAGCTGAGATTGTGCCACTGCACTCCAGCCTGGGCAACAGAGCGAGACTCCATCTCGGAAAAAAAAAAAAAAAACCAAAACAATAACAACAACAATAAAACCCTAAATTTGGTGTCCTCACTACTAAGGGACAACTAGGCTATGGTTTTTGTTTGGTTTGTTCTGGTTTGGTGTGGTTCAAGAAACACTGCTAACACATTAAGTCTTGTTATCTATGTTCAGATCCTTGATGTGGTTAATCCAGTTTGATCTAGTTTAAAAACGCAGACTGTCATCACCTAAGCAATACATATTTTGGTGGAATTAATCAGTGGCTACCATAATGATAAATGCTGAAGCCTCAAAGTTAAAATCTTTCCTCTGCTCCTTCCCTATTTCCTGTCCCCTCTTCCTAGAATCCTGGAGGAGTAAGGCAAAGTTGTTAAAGCACAGGTTTGGAGTCGTATTTGCTTTGTGAGTTTAAATTGCTTAATCTCCCTTAACTCTGTTTTCATA
Source organism: Homo sapiens (assembly GCF_000001405.40). Taxonomy (NCBI): domain Eukaryota; kingdom Metazoa; phylum Chordata; class Mammalia; order Primates; family Hominidae; genus Homo; species Homo sapiens. The sequence goes on along the minus strand of NC_000003.12, from coordinate 69,235,807 downwards.
TCCATGAAATAGGGACACTGATGTTAATAGCATAATATGCCTGTAGAGAAAGGGGTTAGCCCACTCTCTGCCACCTGGTAATACCCAGTGAAAGAGCTGTTGTCCCTTAGAAGTATTTCTTTTTTTTTTTCCTTTCTTTTTTTTAATTTGATATGGAGTCTCACTCTGTTGTCCAGGCTGGAGTACAGTGGCATGGTCTGGGCTCACTGCAACCTCCGCCTCCCAGGCTCAAGCGATTCTTCTGCGTCAGCCTCCTGAGTAGCTAGGATTACAGGCACCCACCACCACACCCAGCTGATTTTTGTATTTTTAGTAGAGACAGGGTTTCACCTCAAAGCCAGGCTGGTCTTGAACTCTTGACCTCAGGTGATCCACCCACCTCTGCCTCCCAAAGTGCTGGGATTACAGGCATGAGTCACTGCGCCTGGCCCTTTAGAAGTATTTCTTTTGGGGGATTAGATGACAGCACTCATGTTTTGTCACTGCTAGGTCAGGTCACTTGCTAGAGTCTCCTAAAACAAACCTGAGCTGTCCACCCAAAAGCTTTGCTCAGGCTCCCTGACCATCTCTACAATTTAAGGAGTTGATTACAGTTTCTTTCTTGAAAATATTATTATTATTATTATTATTATTATTATTATTATTATTATTATTATTTGAGACAGGGTCTCGCTCTGTCACCCAGGCTGGAGTGCAGTGGCATGAGATTGGCTCACTGTAAACTCCGCCTCCTGGGTTCAAGCAATTCTCCTGCCTCAGCCTCCTGAGTAGCTGGGACTACAGGCACACACCACCACACCCGGCTAATTTTTTGTATTTTTAGTAGAGGTGGGGTTCCACCATGTTGGCCAGGCTGGTCTGGAACTCTTGATCTCAAGTGATCCGCCCGCCTCAGCCTCCCAAAGTGCTGGGATTACAGGCATGAGCCACCACACCTAGCCAAAATCTCTGTTTTATGTTGTGTTTATCCTATTGCAGTGGTTCTTAAGCCCTTAGTTAAAAGCAGATTGCTGAGCCCCACCCTCAGCCTTTCTGATCCAGTAGGTCTGGGGTGGAGCCTGAGATTTGCCTTTCCAGAAAGTCATCCGATAATGTTGATGCTGCTGGCCAGGGTACGAGGGTACAATGATAATCACTGTTTTCTTTTGTTTGTCACCTTTAATATTGCTTTACCTAGGAATCAGTAGAGAGAAACTTACTATTAGAAATTTCTAGTTGTTAAGTCCAGCAGATAATACACTGAATTCATCATTGAAGGCCAGGTTCTACAAATAACTGAAAGAAACATGATATTCTTTTTCAATAAAGGGCAATTTGAAGGCAAGCTAGCCAGTGAAAAGCTCTTAAACTGCTAATCACCCAGGTCTTGGTCAGTGCCAGTAGATTAGTTGAGGAAATTGGTGTTTGTTAATAGTAACCAAGATCCTTTTTAATAATTACTTGTTTATGCAATCTGTCATCCTTCAATAGAAGATCCAGCTCAAATGGTTTGATTGATAGTTAAGTTGGCACCTGTTACACCTATGTAACAGACATTTAATACACTTTTTTTTTTTTTTTTTTGAGACAGGGTCTCACTCTGTCACCCAGGCTGGAGGGCAGTGGCATGATCTCAGCTCACTGCAGCCTCCACCTCCCAGTGCAAGCAATTCTCCTGCCTCAGCCTCCTGAGTAACTGGGACTACACGCACGCGCCACCAGGCCCAGCTAATTTTTGTATTTTAAGTAGAGACGGAGTTTCACCATTTGGCCAGGCTGGTCTGGAACTCCTGACCTCAAGTGATCTGCTAGCCCCAGCCTCCCTAAATGTTGGGATTACAGACATGAGCTACTACGCCTGGCCTAAATAAACTTTTGTAGCTGCTATGATCACTAATCCTGTCCCATTTCTTCAGTGTAGTTCAGAACCTTGATGGGTCATCACAGGTTTCTAGTAAGCACAGACAAAGAAATGACTTCTCATCAAGGCCTATACAAGGCAACACTAGAAGACTGGCAAATGTTTCCAATTAGCTCCATTCCTAATAACAGTAAATCTTTGGTTTGCCTGGGACACAGTACTAAATAGAGTTCTTGGCTGTGATGACTTGCCCAAATCCTGGGAGGCCCCTGTCATGATCTTTTAATTTCTCATGTTATGTAAGCTGTATGGTACATATACACTTAATAACAGGCTTTAGACTTTACTGAGTGTTCAAATAGGCACTTAACTATGGCATTTTTACATCCACATACACATTTTCTGAAATAAGGATTTTGAGTTACAATTATGTGTAGGTGAAAAAAGAACTCCAGACCCAAGTTAATCTTTTTTTTTTTTTTTTTGAGACAGGGTCTCACTCTGTCACCCAGGCTGGAGTGCAGTAGGCGATCGTGGCTCATTGCAGCCTCGAACTCCCGGCCTCAGGTGATTCTCCCAACTCATCCTTCCAAGTACCTGGGACTACAGGCGTGTGCCACCCCACCCAACTAATTTTTCTGTATTGTTCATAGAGACAAGGTTTCACCATGTTGGCCAGGCTGGTCTCGAACTCCTGGGCTCAAGTGATCCATCTCGCCTCCCAAAGTGCTGGGATTACAGGTGTAAGCCACTGCAACCAGCCCCAAGTTAACTTTCTAAACAGCTTAGGTTTAGAAAGTGAAGCTTCTGTAGCTGTTTCCATTTGGATATTATATTTAATATACATTTTTTATGCACCTTTGGTTTGGGTTTCAGGTAAGGAAGCGCTTTGCTTGGAGAAGAAAAGTGAAATGCGGAGCTGGTGTGGTGGTTCATGCCTGTAATCCCAGTACTTTGAGAAGCCAAGATGGGAGGATCACTTGAGCCCAAGGGTTTGAAACCTGCCTGGGCAACAAAGGGAGACCTCATCCCTACCAAAAAAAAAAAAAAAAACAAACAACAAAAGTGAAATTTGCAACTTTGGGGCTTGGGCATTTTTTTTTTTTAAGCTGTTCTACAAATGGAGGATGCCCCCACACCAAGCATAGACAGCAAGGGTCTTAGTTTTCTCTAGGAAGTACTAGCATGCCCAGTGTGCTAACTGCCTGCACTCCCTTCTACGCCAGTCTCTGATAGCAGGTGGCTGATTGTTGCTGTGTACAAGCCCACAATTAGCCACAAGCAGGTGCACCCATTTGCTGGGGGTGGCTTTTTCCACACAAGTACTCCAGCACACACAAAGAGTAGCCTCAGTTTTGCCAGCCATGTGGCTTTCTCAAAAATGAGTGGGGTTGGCACATTCCGTCAGGGTACTTGGGGTCAGTAAAGAAAAACAGCCTGTGAAAGGGGGGCTTCAGAATGACCAAAGGAATTGTTGCCTGAGAAATAGTTGTAGTAGCTAAATAGTGGGTCATGGGCAGCTTCCTTCTGGAAAGTTATCGAAATAGGAATCTGGAATGCCTAAGGGAGGAGTTCAGCCTAGATAATCAGATAAAATGCAAGCATGTTCTTCATTGTGACATCTGAATTCCTGCTGAAATTATGGAGAGAAGCAATTTCTGGTTTGGTCACTGAGAAGTAGCAAGTGATGTAGATTTATGGGCATTCTCTCTGGCTAGGACCCGGAGAAACCAGTCCCTCATGGCAATTCTGGTCAAGTGCATCTTTAAAATAACATATCCGTTGCCATTAGGGTCAGTAATGTCCAGTCAGTTTGAGTGTATTTATTGCTGGTGAAAGGCAGAGACATCCCGATTGAGGCTTGTTCACCTCCCCTACTACTTTTGGGCCCTCCCTCTGAACTCTGAGGTTGATCCTGACTCATAAATCATGCCTCCTGCCCAGCCGGCCAGGGAGGGGCCTTCTGTGCAGAAGCCAGACCTGGCTGCTCCTACAAGCTCCGTAGATCCCTTGCAGCCTCAGGCTCCCAGACAGATTCCCCGGGAGGGTGAACAAATGAGCACTCAGCTACTGCCAGTCCACTCAAACGTGAAATCCCGTTTGATCCTAAACTATGGAAACGATCGAGCTTAACCTTCTATAATAATATGCCAGTGTTTCTAACATCCCAGTGGATTCATTTTTGGTTTAGTAGGTTCTAACCTCTTACGTTACCGTTGCAGCACCTCCCCATAACAGGGCAGTGATCTTGAACTTCGGCTTTCCCCACATCCACTCAACTGGCCATACTTGATTCCATTTTTGTTGTGAATTATATCACATAGAATAATGTGTAAAACATGTATATTGGTATAAAGAACAAATTAGAAGGATGCAGCTGGGCCGGGCACAGTGGCTTACGCCTGTAATCCCAGCACTTTGGGAGGTGGAGGCGGGCAGATCACCTGAGGTCACGAGTTCGAGAACAGCCTGGCCAACATGGCGAAACCCCGTCTCTACTAAAAATACAAAAATTAGCTGGGCGTGGTAGCACATACCTGTAGTCCCACCTACTGGGAGGGCTGAGGAAGGAGAATCGTTTAAACCCAGGAGGCGGAGGTTGCAGTTAGCCAAGATGGTGCCACTGCACTCCAGCCTGGGTGACAGAGTCTCGGAGAAAAAAATAAGGAGAAAAAAAGGATGCAGCAATACAACCACAGCCAGTGAGGAATGTTGCCAGGACCCCAGAAGCCTCCTGCCCCCCACTGTATATTGTACTTTCCTACCTCCAATAAAATTCCCTCTTTCCTCATGGGCATTCTGACTCTATGGTAAATGTTTTCTTGTCTTTGTTTTGTTAAGCCTATAGCACCCAGTATTTCCGGGCTGTCTCCCATCCAAGAAGTAACCAGCCCCAACCTTACTTAGCTTCCCAGATGAGATGAGATCGAGTGCTTGTCTTTCCTCATAGTTTTATCACCTATGTGTGATTGTTTCTAGTTTCATTTTGTTTGTTTTGGACCTTTATGTACATGAAGTAGTGATTGTGTTTCTTATTTGGGGACTTGTATCTTTGCTCAATATGTGTGACATTCATGATGTGTGTAGCTATTGTCTGTTGTCTTTGCTGCGTGGTATTCTATTACATGAATACATTACAGTTTAAGCATTTATACTGTTATGGGATATTTGAGTTGTTCTTTTGTGTGAACAATGTTAGTGTAAATTTTTTTTTTTTTTCGAGGCAGAGTCTTGCTCTGTTGTCCAGGCTGGGGTGCGATGATGCGATCTCAACTCACTGCAGCCTCTGCCTGCCAGGTTCAAGCGATTCTTCTGCCTCAGCCTCCCAAGTAGCTGGGATTACAGGTGCCCACCACTATGCCTGGCTAATTTTTATATTTTTTTAATAGAGGTGGGGTTTCACCATGTTGGTCAGACTGGTCTCAAACTCCTGACCTCAGGTGATCCACCCACCTGAGCCTCCCAAAATGCTGGAATTACAGGTGTGAGCCACCACGCCTGGTCCTAAATCTTACTCTTGTATATAAGTTTCTCTAGGGAATATACCTAGCAGAGGATTACTGGGTTATAGGGTATGCAAATTTCCAAAATGATTGTACCGATTGACACTCTTACTAGTAATGGATGAGAGTTCCTATTGCACTTCATCTCCATATAAACTAGACCTTGTTGGAGTTTTAAAGTTTGATAGTCGCCGGACGAGGTGGCTCATGCCTGTAATCCCAGCACTTTGGGAGGCCAAGGCAGGTGGATCACGAGGTCAGGAGTTCAAGATCAGCCTGGCCAACTTGGTGAAACCCCATCTCTACTAAAAATACAAAAAAATTAGCCAGGCGTGGCGGAGGGCGCCTGTAATCCCAGCTACTCGGGAAGCTGAGGCAGAGAATTGCTTGAACCTGGGAGGCAGAGGTTGCAGTGAGCCAACATTGCGCCACTGCACTCCAGCCTGGGTGACAGAGCGAGACTCCATATCAAAAAAAAAAAAAAAGTTTGATAGTCTGGCCGGGTGCGGTCTATCTCTTGATCATGAGGTCAAGAGATAGAGACCTTCCTGGCCAACATGGTGAAACCCTGTCTCTACTGAAAATACAAAAAGTAGCTGGGCATGGTGGCGTACACCTGTAGTCCCAGCTACTCCGGAGGCTGAGGCAGGAGAATCATTTGAACCCGGGTCCTTGTTTAGGACCAAACAAGATCGCACGACTGCACTGCAGCCTGGCGACAGAGTGAGACTCCATTGTGTATTGGTAATTAATTGAGGATTTAATTTGCATTTCCTTGATAACTTATGAAGATGAACACTTTTTTCTGTTGGCCATTTGGAATTCTACTTCTATACACTGCTTGTTGAAGAGTTTAACTCATTTTTCTGCCAAGCTATCTGTGTCAGTCGTCTTTCGATTATTCTGCTGGCTTTCTCTTTTAGTGTTATAGTCACGTCCACAGCTCAACCACTTCAAATATCGGTGATGGCTTGCTGGAAAATTCCTATATTAAACAGGTTCTTATAGGAAAGTGATGTTATATATTCACAAGGGATATTTTGCAATAGTACAAACGACCAGATTTGGATGATTAACAGGAGCCTTTTCTAACGTGAAGAAATAAGGCCATGTTCTTCCCTGAGAATGTAATTTTGGGGGGCTGGCCATGGTGGCTCATGTCTGTAATCCTAGCACTTTGGGAAGCTAAGGCAGGAAGGTTGCTGGAGGCCAGGAGTTTGAGATCAGCCAGGTCAACATAGTGAGACCCCATATCTATGAAAAATTAAAAATTTAGCCAGACATGGTGGCACGCAGCTGTGATTCTAGCTACTTTGGAGGCTGAGCGGGGAGGATCACTTGAGCCCTGGAGGTTGAGGCTGCAGTGAGCCATGATTGAGCCACTGCACTCCAGCCTGGGCAACAGAACAAGACCCAGCCTCAAAAACAAAACAAAAAAAAAAAAAAAAACATGATTTTGAGGGATAGTCAAGATTCCACAAGTAGCGAGACAAGTAATTTGCCTAAATTACTTGTCGCCTTTAATCAATCACTATTGACAATTTGCAGTTAGCAAATTATCTGATTATCTGAAACTAGAAACCAAGAAACTGAGAAGGCATCTTCTCTCCATTCTTTTTTTTTTTTTTTAAATAAGAGAATCTCACTCTGTTGCCCAGGCTGTAATATATTGGTGCAATCATAACTCACTAGAGCCTTGAACTCCTGGACTCCAGTGGTCCACTTCAGCCTCCCAAGTAGCTGAAACCACAGGCACATGCCATGACACCTGGCTAATTTTTTAAAAATTTCTTGTAGAAACAAGGTCTCACTGTGTTGCCCAGGTCGGTCTCCAACTCCTGGGCTCAAGAGATCCTCCCAGCTCAGTCTCCCAAAGTGTTGGGATTATAGGCATGAGCCACCATGCCCAGCGAGCTCTGACTTATGTGAAGATAAATTAAAGTTTTGATCTCTATCACACAGAGTCAAATCTGTATCTTATATGAAACATGGGCAATGTTCTCCTCTCTTCAGAGTTCACACCATATCTCAGTGTCCCCAGGTCTGATGGTGAGTTTGACTTACATTTCTCAGCTCGCTTACCCAGTTGATTTTCTAATGCCTGTCTCACTTGGCCCCAAGATATTTGCATCTGAGATGTCTAATATTCAGAGTGACATAAGAGAAAAATTCTGTAAGTCTAAAAGATATGCTTTGTAGAGTATTAGTGTAGAATTTTCAGGATTCTTATCATTGAAGGCAGGGTTTCTCAATCTCAGCACTATTGACATTTTGGGCAGGATCATCCTTTGTTGTTGAGGGCTGTTCTGTGCATTATAGGAACTACCCAGTAGAAGCCAGTAACACCTCCTTCCTCAGTTGTGACTATCAAAAATGCTTTCAAACATTGCTAAACGTCCCCTGAGGGGCAAAATTGCCCACGTTGAGAACCACTAATCTAAAGTATATTTCTTTCTTCGTTTTTCTTAATAAACATTTTTTGGAGCAGTTTTAGATTTACAGAAGAACTGAATGAAAAGTACAGAGAGTTCCTTTATACCCCCTTTCCCCACCCCCACTGTTTCCCCTATTATTAACATCTTGCATTAGTGTGGTACATTTGTTGCAAAAGTCTATAGTCAAATTAGGGTTCACTCTTTGTGTTGTACAGTTCTACAGGTTTTGTCAAATGCATAATGTCATATATCCACCATTACAGTATCATACAGAATAGTTTCAGTGCCCTAAAAATCTTCTGTGCTCCATCTTTTTAAGAATACTTTTTTCTTTCTTTCTTTCTTTTTCTTTTCTTTTTTTTTTTTTGAGACAAAGTCTCACTCTTGTCCCCCAGGCTGGAGTGCAATGGCGCGATCTCGGCTCACTGCAACTTCCGCCTCCTGGGTTCAAGTGATTCTCCTGCCTCAGCCTCCTGAGTAGCTGGGATTACAGGTGTCTGCCACCACAGCAGGCTAATTTTTGTATTTTTAGTAGAGACGGGGTTTCACATGTTGGTCAGGCTGGTCTTGAACTCCTGACCTCAGGTGATCCCCCTGCCTTGGCCTCCCAAAGCGCTGGGATTATAGGCTAAGCCACTGCACCCGGTTAAGAATACTTTTTTTCAAGGTATTCTAAACTCTCCTTAAAATGATCCTAATCCACTTCCCTATTAACGCACATTTTAGTTGCTTCTCAGTGATTGATCAGTACTCAAAAAAAGGTCTTAATGAATGAATATTCATCATTATCTCAGATACTGGCTCATGATTAACCTGTAGTAATTTATTGATTTATTCAGCCAGAATTTCTAAACAAATAACATCTTATAACTGGAGTAGATTCTGATTGTGTATAGTTCAAATTACTCTTGAAAATCGCTGGGAAAATGATATGCTGAAGACTAAACTTCATCTTTCAATAAATCCAACACAGGTGGTATTTTTCTCCAGTTGAAACACACAGCTATTTCTTTAGGCACTAGATATAAAGATTGCTTGAGTTTAGCAGACATGTATTAAATGCCTGAATGCTGGAAAAATCTCAGTGTCGTGAGATACTTGTGCTTTGAGGGACATAGGACTAAGGACAACAGCTTCAAGTCACCCGTTTTGTACTTACTCTCAACCATGAGCTTATTGAATGGAATGACAGATAAAATTTCTCCCTCACTTCTTTCCCTATTCTCCTTTCCCTTTTGGCTGACTGCATTTGTATGAGTTAAAAACAGTTCCATCATATGACACTCGTTCTACATATTTTTGTTAACTGAATAAATAAATTTATGATAAATAGCAACTTCTGATCTAGTGAGGTCTCCATTGCCACAGAATTAACTGTAATCCAAGTAAGTGAATGCTAGGCTGGGTTCTTGAAACATAGCCTATGGTTCACCTGGATCCAGAAATAACAACATGCATGTGGTCGATGGGGATGATTTCATAACACGATGTTGTCCTGAATTTATCATTTTTGAATACATGCATGCATTTGCCCTTCATTAAAAAAACTCACAATTTAGAAGTAAAGGTATCTGACAGTTTTAGGTTTGGAAAAAAAAAAAAAAGTAAATGTGGTATGCCAGACAGAACATAAGAGAGATTATTAAGAAAAATAAATATACTGGGAGTTGACAGTTGACCTTTAATATGAATGAATTGGATTGTGGTATATTTTGATTTTCAGGAAGCACAAACCAGTTTCCCAAGATTGTCAGTGTGGTTAAGCCATAACTCTCAGATTTCAAATGAATAGAGAGATTTATTCTTATGTAAGAACAGGAGCCAAGTGACTTTTTATTTCCTGTAGTAATTTGGAAAGCTAGATCTTTCACCTGTAGGAAAGGCCACAACCCTGGCTTTGAAATGTAATAGCAACAAGGAATGGTTCAGTGTTTGGCCCTCCAGCTGGGGGGCTCGTCTACTTAAATAGATAATAATAGTATCTACTGCATGGGAATGCTTGTGGTGAACCTTACATGAGGTAAATAATGCCCAAGAAGTGTGTTGCATGGTATCTGGCACTTGGGAGCCTTTCATCGAAGGGTAGCTAGTGGTAAAGATAGGAAGAAGTGGAAGGTAGGAAGAGTTAGCATTATGCTGTTTGATGAACACCAGTTTCATCAGAATTTTGAGTAGCTACCCTCTAATAGGCTTTAGATAATCATGTTCATTTCCTCATAGATTATGTCCTTAAATACTCAGTAGTTAGAGTATTTTCTCTCATAACCAACTATGACTGGGTAGTATTACGTGTTCTCCCTCTTTTTTTTTTTTTTTTTTTTTTTTTTTTTTTTTTGAGACGGAGTCTTGCTCTGTCGCCAAGGCTGGAGTGCAGTGGCGTGATCTCGGCTCACTGCAAGCTGCGCTTCCCAGGTTCATGCCATTCTCCAGCCTCAGCCTCCCAAGTAGCTGGGACTATAGGCACCCACCACCAAACCTGGCTAATTTTTTTTTTTTTTTTTTTTTTTTTTGTATTTTTAGTAGATACAGGGTTTCACCGTGTTAGCCAGGATGGTCTCAATCTCCTGACCTTGTGATCTGCCCGCCTTGGCCTCCCAAAGTGCTGGGATTACAGGCGTAAGCCACTGTGTCCGGCCTGTTCTCCCTTTTTTAAAGTTCTGTAAAGACCACAACTTTCTCTTGACAACTAGAATTTTGCCATTTTATAATTAGATAATAGCTAACCTTACATGAGGTACATTTTAGTTCACTTAATGTGACTTAAGAGATACCTTGGGTTTCATTAGAAACACGTTTTCCAGTCATCTTCTATTCAAGAGATTTCTACAGGTGGTTGAGTTGGTCTGCTATATTTCAGAGGGTTGTAAGGAAGTAACAGAAGAGTAATATAAAAGACTACATAAACCTTTTCATTGCAATGATATCTATTACGAAAAATTGTTGATGTTATGTGAATGGTTTCATGATAACCAGTATTCCACCATGATGAATATTATGTAGCCACTAAAGATGATTAGTAAGATACTGTAGGAACATAGAGAAAGTGGATAATGAAATGTGAAGAATATTCTGTAAAAATACAATGTGAAAAATGTACAATTATAATCATAGTTACGTGTAAAATAGACATGTGCAGAAAATATTATAAACTTCAACATCTCATCATATAACTCAGTTGTTAAATTTGGGGGCTGCTTCTAGTTAGAGTCCATAACCATGTGTATGTTGGCTCCAACATGCTGTAAATAGTTATTTTTTTAATCTAATTCATTTGGTGACCGGCTTGCATAATTTTTTGGATAACAGTACCTGACATTACCATATTCCATTTCTTTTTAGTGATGAAAATGCCAGGAAAGATTTAAAGACATTACCAGCCTTTCCAACCAAAACTCTTCAGGAGCATCCATCCCTTGCCTACTGGTAAGCCAAATCCACATAACAGGTGTCTCATTTTCATAGCCTCCATTCAGAACTACATGCTTTTCAGGGCATTAAAAGAAATATAAGTGGGAAAAATATCACATTGCCAATCAATTGTATAAAGTAACCATAGGTAGACCTTGATCCTTTCAGTGAAAGGATCTACTCAAAGCTTACTGGAGATCATTGTACCAAGATGTGTCTTGCAGTCATTTGCAAAGAGCAGCTGGCTGATGTTTCTTTCAAGTGTGTAAAATGTCTGTAGAGTATGCTCCTAGGTGAATATATAATATTCAATATATGTGCAGTCACTGTGTAATGCAGCTTTAATCTAGCAGAATGCAATATAAGTGTTATAAAATACAGATTTCCTTGGATCAGAGATTTTCATAATGACCAGAGGTTTCTACTACAGCTAGATATTGTATATATTGAGTTGGTTTAGTTGTTTGTACATTAGTGAATCCATAGTATCCATTTTCATCCCATATTTTTTTTCTAAATTACGTTTTCCCTTAAAATACTTACATTCTTGTTAAATATATTCTCCTTGGTTTCAGTCTGAATCCTCAAGATGGTTTTTCTTTCCACTAAAATGTTACAAAATAAAGATTACAAAATAGATATTCAATATTGAGACATTTAGTATGAAGTTGGAAGTATATTCCCAAATATATAGTGAAAGTAAGTACTGAGGCTACATAGCATCTTGACTCTGGAAACTTCTAGCCATGTCATTTTCAAGTGATAGTTTTTTGTTTGTTTGTTTTGTTTTTTTGAGACAGAGTCTTGCTCTGTCGCCTAGGCTGGAGTGCAGTAGCATGAACTCAGCTCACTGCAACCTGGTTCAAGTGATTCTTGTGCCTCAGCTTCCCGAGTAGCAAGGATTACAGGCACCCTCCACTAGGCTCGGCTAATTTTTGTATTTTTAGTAGAGTCGGGGTTTCACCATGTTGATCAGGCTGGTCTCAAACTCCTGCCCTCAGGCAATCTACCCGCCTTGACCTCCCAAAATGCTGGGATTACAGGTGTGAGCCACCGGGCCCGACCAAGCGCGATAGTTTTATCTATTTTTATTTTATTTTATTTTTTGAGACGGAGTCTCCCCCTGTCACCCAGGCTGGAATATAATGGCACAATCTCCGCTCACTGCAACCTCTGCTTCCTAGGTTCAAGCAATTCTCCTGCTTCAGTATCCCAAATAGCTGGGATTACAGGCACACGGTACGATGCCCAGCTAATGTTTTGTATCTTCAGTAGAGAAGGTGTTTCACCATGTTGGCCAGGCTGGTCTCGAACTCCTGACCTCGTGATCCGCCTGCCTCGGCCTCCCAAAGTGCTGAGATTACAGACGTGAGCCACTGCACCCAGCCTTGATAGTTTTTTAATTAAAAAAAAAGACATTACTAATGAGAACTAGTCATATGGAGATAGAAATACTTCATCTTCTAGGTTATACTTGAGATTTCCTTTCCAGTCAACAAGTTTTACTCTAGGGCAATAAAAGGGTTTTCTCCTAAAGCAACATGTCTGTAAATGGTGATAGTAGAGTATTTTAGATTGCACACAGACTCAGAAGCAGTTTAAATTCTTGTAAAATCTTTCTGAATCATTCAATGAGAAAGTCTTTAATGCCTAACACTTGCTGATCTCCCTGTTTTAACCAAAGAGAGGATAGGCCTTAGGCTCAAAATTTCTTCAATAATGTTCTACAGCTAACATTTGATATCATTATTTTATGTGTATTATATTCCATCCAATTATGGCAAAAGATCATTTCCCATTGGAGAAATTGATATTGTTTCCTTTTCTAGTAAATTAAGTTTTTTGTTTTTGTGATGGAGTTTTGCTCTTGTTGCCCAGGCTGGAGTGCAATGGCGCAAGCTCGGCTCACTGCAGCCTCCACCTCCTGGGTTCAAGTGATACTCGTGCCTCAGCCTCCTAAGTAGCTGGGATTACAGGCATGCGCCACCACAACCAGCTAATTTTGTATTTTTAGTAGAGACGACATTTCACCATGTTGGCCAGGCTGGCCTCAAACTCCTGACCTCAGGTGATCTGCCTGCCTCAACTTCCCAAAGTGCTGGGAATACAGGTATGAGCCACTGCGCTTTAAGTCTTTTTTTTTTTTTTTTTTTTGAGATGGATTTTCACTCTTGTCACCTAGAATGGAGTGCAATGGCTCAATCTCGGCTCACTGCTATCTCCACCTCCCAGGTTCAAGCAGTTCTCCTGCCTCAGCCTCCCGAGGAGCTGGGACTACAGGCACATGCCACAACACTCAGCTAATTTTTTGTATTTTTAGTAGAGATGGGGTTTCACTGTGTTAGCCAGAATGGTCTCAATCTCCTGACCTCATGATCCCCTCAGCCTCCTAAAGTGCTGGGATTACAGGCGTGAGCCACCACGCCTGGCTGTGCACTTTAAGTTTTAAAGGTAGTAATATATATATTATATAAATATGCTACATAAAACATAAGTTAAAGATGATAATGGAGGCAGTCAAATGTCTGAAGTTCAGGAATCCATCTCCTACAGAAACAAAAGCCAAACTCTATCTACCAAACAAGTTGGTGAAGGCTTTCTCTCTCAAGTTTCCTGACAGCCACCTGATAATGTGGAAACTGTGCCTGTACCTCAGATAATCATGCATTGCAATCCTTCTCATTTCTTTGTTTTACAGTGAGGACAGGGTAATTGAGCATTATTTGAAAATCAAAGGTCTCACTCGAGGTCAAGCTGTGGTTCAGTAAGTATCTTTCCTTTTGCTTAGATATAATTTTAATATCTCTCATCTGAAGGTATCACTTGAAATGATTTCTGTTGTGTAGTTTTTGTGAACATAGTCCTTATCTGGTTAGAAATATCTTACTGTGAATTAGAAAATGTCTTCGGTCATTCTATACATTGGTGTCACCAACTCAGATACCTACCAGTGTCAGGCAAGTAAAAAAATGAGAAATGTAGACCAGATGTAGGGCAATAGAGAATGGTGGGGACTGTGGTAAACAGGTGAGCTTTCATCCTGAGTAGAGGCAAGGTTACTCAGCTTTAGAATTCAGGCATAATGTTGCCAGATCCTTTGTTTTCCAGGAGAAGCTGGAAATTCAGATTTTTAAATCTTATCTCATTGGGAAGTAATTTAAAGAAAATTTAATGCAATGTTAGCCAAATAAAACCTATCTAGAAGCCATGTTTTGTCCCCCAGTTTGTGATTCGAATTTGAGTCGAGTGTATAGTATATTGGTGTTAGATAGTCTGTTTCTTCATGCTACTAACAACAAGCCATTGTAATGTATTTCTACATTTTGTGACTTATAGAGTTACCACCCATTATTAAGAACAGGCCAGCACAGTGGCTCATGCCTGTAATCCCAGCATTTTGGTAGGCTGAGGAGGGCGGATCATTTGAGATCAGAGGTTCGATGCCAGCCTGGCCAACATGGTGAAACCCCATCTCCACTAAAAATACAAAAATTAGCCAGGCATGTTGGCAACCACCTGTAATCCCAGCTACTCGAGAAGCTGAGGCAGGAAAATTGCTTAAACCAGGGAGGCGGATGTTGCAGTGAGCCGTGATTGCACCATTGCACTCCAGCCAGGTGACAATAAAGAAACTCTGTCTCAAAAAAAAAAAAAAGTTGCTACACTAAACTTTTAAAATTATTTCTATGCCCGTGAAAACTGAAATAAGGGCTTGGAGATTGTAGATTTTCCTCACACTCCTACTTCTTTGCTCTAATCTCTCTTTTTGAGACAGAGTCTTGCTCTGTCACCCAGGCTGGAGTGCCGTGATGCAATCTCATCTCACTGCAATTGCCACCTCCTGGGTTCAAGCGATTTTCGTGCCTCAGGCTCCTGAGTAGCTGGGATGATACAGGCGCATGCCACCATGCCCAGCTAATTTATGTAGTTTTAGTAGAGACAGGGTTTCCCCATGTTGGCCTGGCTGATCTCAAACTCTTGACCTCAAATGATCTGCCCAACTCGGCCTCCCAAAATGCTGGGATTATAGACATGGGCCACTGTGCCTAGCCTCTAATCTTGTTTTTATCAAAACACACCTTCTGTTATCTTTGCAGCAGAAATCAGAAGTTAGCATCTTGAAATTGGATCCTTGACATTTTAATTCATTGTGCCTGTTTTCTGAACTGAAAAGTAAAAAGAAGTAGTGACAATTTCCATTAAGGGTATTAAGGTAAACTAGTGAGTACAGTCATGTACCATTTCTGTACACATATACAATGGTGGGCCCATAGGATTATAATGCCATATTGTTACTGTATCTTTTCTATGCTTAGATACTCAAATACTTACCATTGTATTATAATTGCCTACAGTATTTCAGCCCAGTAACATGCTGTACAGGTTGGTAGCCTAGGAGCAATAGGCCATACCATACAGCCTAACTGTGTAGTAGGCTCTACCATCCAGGTTCGTGTAAGTGCACTCTATGATGTGTGCACAAGGACAGAATCACCTAACAACACAATTCTCAGAATGTATCTTCATTGTTAAGCAATGTGTGACTGTATATTACAAAGTTCCCATGCTTAAGACATGGAATCAACCCAAATGCCCATCAATGATAGACTGGATAAGAAAATATGGTATATACACACCATGGAATACTATGTAGCCATACAAAGGAATGAGATCATGTCCTTTGCAGGGACATGTATGAAGCTGGAAGCCATTATCCTCAGCAAACTAATGCAGGAACAGAAAACCAAATACCACTTGTTCTCACTTATCAGTAGGAGCTGAACAATGAGAACACATGGAGACAGGGAGGAGAACAACACTTACTGGCCTGTCAGGAGAGGGCTGGGGTGGGAGAGAGCATTAGGGAAAAGTGCTAATGGATGCTGGCCCTAATCTCTAGGTGATGGTTTGTTAGGTACAGCAAATCACTATGGCATACATTTAGCTATGTAACAAACCTGCACATCCTGCACATGTGCCCTGGAAACTAAAAAACAATTAAAAAAAAAAAAGTACCCATGCTTAAATGCAGAGTCTTATTCTTTCTCCTGATCATTATTGTGTGGCTTCATCTAAGAGACGGTTTCATTTGGTAGTTAAGGCTCTAGGATGTGGAGTCTGACTCATTTTGTTAGAATTCTGGCTGTGCAGTTTAGTTGCTGCATGACCTTGACACATTTAACCTCTTATATTCATTTGCATGCGGGCCATTTACTTTTAAAAAATATGTCAAATTATTCATTACACTTCCTGGAGAAATTGATCATCAAAATGTCATTAAAAAGTCTACTTGCGTTAAAACAGGAGCCTCAGTTCCTTGCGGGCAGAGAGGAAGCGTTACAAAATTTAGTCCACCCCAAAGCCTTAAAGGTGTACAATAAACACTACTGAATTAAAAATAGCAAGTAGTGGCATCGTTGCTTTAATTTTTATTTTGGGGGGACTTTTTTTTTTTTTTTGACAGATTCTCACTCTGTCACCCAGGCTGGAGTGCAATAGTGCAATCTCGGCTCACTGCAACCTCCACCTCCCGAATTCAAGCAATTCTCCTGCCTCAGCCTCCCATATAGCTGGGATTACAGGTGTCCGCCACCACACCCAGCTAATTTTTTTGTATTTTTAGTAGAGATGGGGTTTCAGCATGTTGGCCAGGCTGGTCTTGAACTCCTGACCTCAGGTGATTCACCCGCCTCGGCCTCCCAAAGTGCTGGGATTACAGGCGTGAGCCACCGCGCCCAGCCTGGGGGGACATATTTTTTAAGTCAGGTTTACATACCATAATTCATAGTTTTAAAGTATATATTTCTAGGAGTTTTGACAGATGTTTCTAGTTATTTAACCTCTACCACAAGCAATATATGGCATAGCTTTATTGTTTAACTTATGAGTATGACCCAAAAGTTGGTGCCCATAGCTTGCATCATTAGGGGCTTACTTTAAAAAATACTTGCAAATGGAGTTTATAATATGGTACATTCCTAATCCATAAACATTTGAATGTGTGGAAAGTAACATTTTCTATAGCTTTATGAAATTGAGGTTCTATTAGCATTTTCCTGACATTTGGATAAGCTAAAATATATTACTCCCCAAAATGGTTTATTCTGTTTCTACTTGAGTGAAACATATTAATTATTCTTATAATAAGGAAAGTAGAAACGTGGTGTTTCTTTAAATCACTTTTCCCAAAAGGGTCCTCTAACTATTTTAATAAGATTGTGATACATATTTATTTTCCATAGGTATATGAAAATAGTAGAAGCTCTACCGACTTACGGTGTCCATTATTATGCAGTAAAGGTAAGTAATTTTACATGACAAAGCTTTCGTGATGATTGAGAGTTATTGCACAATACCAGCTTTTTTCATACTATATAAAAGGCTGATTATATCTTGCCTTTTGTAGCAAATTATAAAGTACATTATTTTTGCAAAATACTTGCTACGTTAAAATGTTTTTCCAAGACCTCTCTTCATCCTAAAATGTTCAGATCATTCTCTTTCGAAACACCTCTGCTTGCTGATTGGTCTTTTTTCCAGTTGGTCACCTTTCTAGCACTACCAGATCTTCATTTGAGAGTGCTTTTGTTTGAAAATTATGCAGTCTCCAGCGTTATTTCAACAGCTTCATAAAATTCTGAAATTTTTACAGGATTTGCAATACCATGTTTTAATCAGTGTATTACATACACTGTATTTTCAGATGTTTTATAAGCAGGGAGAGATTGACAAATATTTTGAGATGATGAAAAGTATTTTCAGATGTTTATAAGCAGGGAGAGATTGACATATTTTGAGATGATGAGATGAAAGTGTTAAGGATATCTTGTTTGGAAGAGAAATAATTTTATAATTGATCAGTTCTTGATTGACTTTTCATGTTATGATAATGTTCATATCTCTATACAATTCAAAATGATGGGGAATTAGAAAATTTACATAATGAGAATACCTGTGCTAAAAATCGGTACCAATTTAACTTTTTTTGTTGTTTGTTTTTGAGATGGAGTCTAGCTCTATTGCCCAGTCTGGAGTGCAGTGGCGTGATCTCAGCTCACTGCAACCTCTGCCTCCCGGGTTTGATCAATTCTCCTGCCTCAGCCCACAGAGTAGCTGGGATTACAGGCATGCACCACCACAGCTGGCTCATTTTTTGTATTTTTAGTGGAGATGGGGTTTCACCATGTTGGCCAGGCTGGTCTTGAACTCCTGACCTCAGGTGATCCACCTGCCTCAGGCTCCCAAAGTGCTGGGATTACAGGCATGAACCACCACGCCTGGCCTCCAATTTAACTTTAATTTCTACTGACTCTGGTGTGCATATAGGTATCTGTCTAAGCCTAAATTTTCCTTTTCCTGTGTCAGTATATTCTTTGCTTTGGCAAAACATAAAAGATAAATTTATGAAAACAATATTACTCACCTCCCCGTATGTACCTCAAACCAATTATTCAAACATCCTGTCATTGAATTGTACAGTTCTCCAAAAGGGTTTTCGATATTCCCGTGTTCATTGTTAATTGTTTTATAAACATCAGGAATTGGAACCACTTTTCTCATCTTTGTAATTCTTTGGAAACGTCCCCAACCTTTTATAACTGGTTACTAATTAAGAGGCAAAGAGCTTTTTTTTTTTTAATGGATAACTGGCTTTTTACTGGATTAATTCTTAGTTGAATTACTTACATTTTATTTATTTTCTCCAACTGTTTAATCAAAACAGTAATGCTTTACTCTTTTTGATGGTATTAACAGTCCTGGACTATTTCAACTTAAAGATTTTATTTGAAGAAACTCCAAGTAGGTGTTTTAATAACAAGTTAGGTTTTTAAATGTTTTGTTTATCAAGACAGCTTTATTTTGACTTGCTGATACTTGTTAAGAGGTGAAATTGCCAGGTGTGGTGGCTCACACCTATAATCCCAGCACTTTGGGAGGCTGAGGTGGGTGGATCATGAGGTCAGGAGATCAAGACCATCCTAGCCAACATAGTGAAACCCCGTCTCTACTAAAATACAAAAAAATTAGCCAGGCATGGTGGTGCACACCTGTAATCCCAGCTGCTAGGGAGGCTGAGGCAGGGGAATTGCTCAAACCCAGAGGCAGAGATTGCAGTGAGCCGAGATCATGCCACTGCACTCCAGCCTGGTGACAGAATGAGACTCCGTCTCAAAAAAAAAAAAAAAAAAAAAGAGGTGAAATTGGTAAATTTTATTCACTTCTAGAAGAGTTAACAGCTAGGTCTTGGTTCTCATGCTTTTTCATCTTCTAGGATAAGCAAGGACTTCCTTGGTGGCTTGGAATAAGCTATAAGGGAATTGGCCAATATGATATACAAGACAAGGTGAAGCCTCGGAAGGTAAGTGTGGATCACTTTAGGAGAACTTTGAACTGTTCAAAACATGTTAATCACAACATAGTTGAAAAGCACACACCATTAGGTTGTTGGGGTTTTTTTGGTTTTTTTTGAGATGGAGTCTCACTTTGTCGCCCAAGCTGGAGTGCAGTGGGCTGATAGTGGCTCACTGCAACCTCCACCTCCTGGGTTCAAGCGAGTCTCCTGCCTCAGCCTCCCAAGTAGCTGGGATTACAGGCACACGCCACCACACCCGGCTAATTTTTGTACTTTTAGTAGAGACGGGGTTTTGCCATGTTGGCCAGGCTGGTCTCAAACTTCTGACCTCAAGTGATCTGCCCACCTTGGCCTCCCGAAATGCTGGGATTATAGGCGTGAGCCACAAGCACACACCATTAGGTTTCTATTTTATGTTAGTATGAACAGGATGATGCCATTTATTTTATAAATTTTATATGTACATTTATGCATATACATATTTGAATTGGATGGTAGACATATAAATGAATAATAAAGACATGACCCAAAAGTTTTGGTGCTAGTGATCTCTCAATGATGCAGGTATAAGTCTTCTTTCTTCTGCTGCTATTATCTCTGTTTCACCATTTTCTGCAGTGAACATGTCTGCTTTTTGTAGAGAAAAATCAGTTGTGTGCTATTTATGAAAGGGTCACAGGCCAGGCATGGTGACTCCTGTCTGTAATCCCAGCACTTTGGGAGGCCAAGGTGGGTGGATCAGAAGGTCAGGAATTTGAGACCAGCCTGGCCAACAAGGTGTAACCCCGTCTCTACTAAAAATACAAAAATTAGCCACGTGTAGTGGCAGGCATCTGTAATCCTAGCTACTCGGGAGGCTGAGGCACGAGCATTGCTTGAATCTGGGAGGCAGAGGTTGCAGTGAGACAAGATTGTGCCACCGCACTCCAGCCTGGGCAACAGAGAGAGACTCCATCTCAAAAAAAAAAAAAAAAAAAAAAAAAAGAGGGTCACAATCTATCAGATTTGGATTTCCAGGGTTAAATAACTAACATTAATGTCCATTTAAAATTTTACTATGAAGCTGTTTTTTTAAAAAAATTCATTATTAGCTGGGTGCGGTAGCTCACACCTGTAATCCCAGCACTTTGGGAGGCTGAGTCGGGTGGGTTGCCTGAGCTCAGGAGTTTGAGATCAGCCAAGGCAACAAGGTGAAACCCCGTCTCTACTAAAATACAAAAAATGAGCTGGGCATAGCGGCATGCGCGTATAGTCCCAGCTCCTCGGGAGGCTGAGGCAGGAAAATTGCTTGAACCTGGGAGGCAGAGGTTGCAGTGAGCCGAGATCACGCCACTGCACTTCAGCCTGGGCGACAGGGTGAGACTTCATCTCAAAAAAAAAAAAAATTCATTATTATTATTATTTTTTGAGATGGAGTCTCGCTGTGTTCCCTTGGCTGGAGTGCAGTGGCCTGATCACAGGTCACTGCAGCCTCGATTTCCCTGGCTCAAGCAATCCTTCCACCTCAGCCTCCCAAGTAGCTTGGACTACAGACACATGCTACCATGCCCAGATCATTTTTAGAAAGTTTTTTGCAGAGACAAAGTCTGACTATTTTTCCCAGACTGGTCTTGAACTCCTGGGCTCAAGCGATCTTCCCACCTTAGCCTCCCAAAGTGCTGGGATTACAGGCACGAGCCACTGTGCTCAGCTGAATCTGCTTCTCTTGATCCAAGCTCAAGTGTACAACACGTTTTTGCCCATATTAGAGTTGAAGAATCCATATAGATCACCATGCAGCTGCTCTTGGCTTCCTTTGGTATGACAGTGACATCAAGACTGACTCATGCTGCCCTGGTTGGTTTTGCCACTCTCCCTGTGCCATCCTGCCATCACTGAAAGCACAGGAGTAAAACAATGGCCTCTAATAACAGACCATGGTCAGCTACCTGCATTATCACAACCTGACATCACAGCCTTAAATAACTCCTGTAATTTCCATCTGTCTCTTGCTTTCATGTGTGTTAGAAAAACAGCCAATCTCTTTATAAAACAGCCCTATAATCATACGTACTCTTCATCTTCTAAGTGTCCATGCAGCTTGAATCATTGCACACAGTCTTCTATGAGTTATGAAAATAAATAAAACCCCCTCTTTTCCCCATTTTATGGTTGTGAAACTGACACAGATAACACAAAAGGGTAGATTAGGGAAAGCCATATCCCCTCTGCCACCCACCTCCAATACTGATCCAGCTTTCCTGGATCAGGCTAGTAGGGCGTTGAGGCTTCTTACTAGAAATTATTGATAAGGCCGAGGGTGGTGGCTCATGCCTGTAATCCCAGTGCTTTTGGAGGTCAAGATGGGAGGACTACTTAAGGCCAGGAGTTCAAGACCAGCCTGAGCAATGTGACAAGACCCCATCTCTACAAAAAAAAAGAAAAAGAAAACTTAACAAATTAGCCAGGCATGGTGGCAAATGCCTGTAGTCCCAGTTATACAGGAGGCTGAGGTAGAAGGATCACTTGAGCCTGGGAGGTTGAGGCTGCAATGAACTATGATCATGCCACTGCACTCCGGCCTGGGTGACAGAGCAAAACCTTGTGTCAGAAAAAAAAAAAAAAAAATCAATGAAAACAACAGCGCATCATTCAACAAGCAGTAGAGGACAATGAGAGAGCATGTTTGTAATCATACTGTTAACATTTTTATTCTATAAGCTCTGTGACCAAGATCAATTTAAGGAATACTTAATTAATTTCCAGGAGGAGTATAAGTACTATTGTTCCTGCTTATATTTCAAAATTGACTTCTAAAACCTAATTTCTAATCAATAATATTAGAAATGAAGGATACCCAATTTTTTCAAATATTTTTTAAAATCAATTTTATTTATTGTTAGCTTTTTTTTTTTTTTTTACCCAGAGTAAGAAATACTCATGAGGGCAAGGAAGAAAAAATGGCAGCAAACACTACAAAAAAATGCTTTAGGGGAAGAAGTCTTCTGCAATCCCCATTTTTCCTCCATGACAACCAGCAACTGTTAAAAAAATGGTACCAGTTCATTTAGATTTTGTCAGTGTATATTCTAAGCATTTACAAAGACAGAGAAATCTAATATATACAGTGTTTCATACCTTGCCATATTTCTCTAGCTCACTTATAAACCGATTTCTTTTCACTTTTTTAAAGCTGCCTAGTGCTTCATGATGTGGAAATACATAATTTATTTAACCACTTCACTTTTGATGGACATCATACTTGTTTCCATTTGTAGGAGTGGAGAGAGTTTGCAGAGCATAATAAAAAAACCCAGTCAAACAAATACCTTACCCTAGTTTATCTATTTTGCAAGACCAAAATGCTGTCTATCATGTTTTCTTAAGGTAGACCTCACTTGTATTGAGATTTTTTTGCTAACTTATTTCTCTTCTGAATTTTACTTAAGAAATAACACTCAGGAGTCTTACTGGTTTTTCTGAATCTTCCATGTAAAATATTAGGACAACTCACAAGTAATTTATTAGCTAATGTGGCTTGATAAGATTGAGCTTCCAGCAGAATGTAAATGCATCTGCTAACAGCAACCAGGCTTTGTCCCAAAACAGTAGTGAATCAGAATCTGCACAGTAAATATTGCAGTTAATTTCCTCTCCTGTACTTATGACTCACAGGCCTTTCTTTACGTTCACAGTTTCATAGAAATTGGCAAATACTTCTTGACACTGATCATAATCAGTTTTGCTTGTTCATTCCAGAGTCTAGAAAAGGGTCAGAAGCTACTTCCTTTTTTGGATTTGCAGGGTTTTTTTATTTCAGTTCCAAAACATGCCACTCCATTTTTAAAAAGACCCTACACAGTCCATCTTTTGTTATCGCTTTTTTTCTTTTTTTTCTTTTTTTTTTTCTTTTTTTTTTTTTTTTTTTTTGAGACGGGGTTTCGCTCTGTTGCCCAGGCTGGAGTGCAATGGCACGATCTTGGCTCACTGCAACCTCCACCTCCTGGGTTCAAGTGATTCTCCTACCTCAGCCTCCCGAGAAGCTGGGATTACAGGTGCCTGCCACCATGCCTGGCTAATTTTTGTATTTTTAGTAGAGACAGGTTTTCACCATGCTGGCCAAGCTGGTCTCGAACTCCTGACCTCAGGCAATCCACCTGCCTCGGGCCTCCCAAAGTGCTGGGAATACAGGCGTGAGCCACCATGCCCGGCCCATGTTATCACTTTCTTGCCTTCTCTTTCTCCGTTTTTTTTTTTGGGGGGTGTCTACTCTGTGCCATTGTTTATTTCTTCCTTTCTTCTTTTGTTAAAATCTGACAATGGATTTTGCTTCCATATATTTATTTTTTATGTCCAGACAATGTAAGGATTGAGGCTGTTTTACAAGTCCCTCTCCTGGCCTAGTTTGCACAAATGAAAGAATGCATAATTTAAAGGACCATGAGCACAGCCTTCTATTAAAGGAGGATCATGCTTCAGCTGTTTGTGTGGACCTGTGCAGGCTGCAAGTTTACCAATGGACCAGCAGGAATGAAGGTCAAATTGGCAAACTGTAATGAAACAAAGGCTATAATGAGAGGCCTTAAGGTGCTCAGCCTCTTGAGCCACATCCCGTCTTGTTACAATTATGTGGCTTAAAAGCAGGCCAGAAGAAGGGAAATTTACTGAGAATAAGTACTAAGAATAAGAAAACTGATGCCGAAAGGCTGTTTTGAAAAGGAGTTGTTCCAAGATCTCCCAGCAGTGACCTTCAGACCTTTCTGTATCAGTTATCACCTGTGAATGTTAAGGGCAGGGAGGTATTTGTTTGACCTCCCAGGGCATCCAGCAGATGCTCTTCAAGTCTTTTATTTATATGGCTTTTTTTTGCCAGTCTGGGGTGCCAACAAGTTGTTTTCAACCAGTGTGTAGTGTAGTACAGTGATGCAGGGAAAGAGTTTGGGAGACATCCCAACCTCTGCCCCTGGTGTCTATTTACTGTGCCACCTTGAGCATGTTGTTTAATCTCTCTTTAAAAGTGGTTTTCTCATCTGCACAAGGGTATTGCCACCAACTGTGTAGGGTGGTTGTAAGACCTAGAGGACAAATTTAGCACCATAGCTGATACGCCATCATCATTAGTAGTAGTGAGAAGACAGACAATAAAAGAGTATGGGAAATATTCTTGGATCACTGGTTAGAGAGGGACACAACATTGCTACAAGCCCACAGCTTTAGTGTACTAAGAATCCACTCTCAAATTTTCTTTCTTTTTTTTTTTTTTTTTCGAGATGGCATTTCACTCACTCTTGTTGCCCCGGGTGGAGTGCAATGGCACGAGCTCAGCTCAGCTCACTGCAACCCCTGCTTCCCGGGTTCAAGGAATTCTCCTGCCTCAGCCTCCCAAGTAGCTGGGATTACAGGCATGCGCCACCATGCCTGGCTAATTTTGTATTTTTAGCAGAGATGGAGTTTCACCATGTTGGTCAGGCTGGTCTCGAACTCCTGACCTCAGGTGATCCACCTGCCTGAGCCTCCCAAAGTTCTGGGAATAGAGATGTGTGCCACTACACCCGGCCTCCACCCTCAAATTTTCTGTTTTCGGAGATGTGTGAGCACTTCTTTCACCTCCTAATTCATTAAGCATCATGCCTGAAGGTGTGACGCAAATTAAAGGAAAAATTTTTAATCCAAAATTACAAACCACAAACATTCAGGGTATTAAAAATTAAGACAATAAGCAGCTTTACTTTTTAATCCTCCCTTTGTGTATGAATATGTCATTGCAAACTCTTAGAGAATGTGAAAACGTACCAGAACTCAACTGAATTCCAAATGGTAAGACATTTGGACTTAGAGACTGATGAAGTTTCACTTAAAGAAAAAAAAAAAAGCAGCCTTGTGTTCCTTCTAAGTATTTATTGTTCAGTATTTCAAGGAAAAATGTCTGTTCTTCATAAAGAAGCAGACAGTGGGTCAGAGACTGAGCCAAGTATTAGTCTATGTCATGACAGATTTGTATCCCTTCGGCAAATACTTCCCCTGGAAAACCAGAGCCTGTCAGATGGCAGAGATAAAATGACATACTGTCGAGGTGTCCATAGTGGGACAAAATGCTTCTCAAGATAAGTATCTTTTTGCCTTATATCATGCCAAGAAAGACTTGAGGTGAACTTCATCACCACAGGGCATGTGAAGGTGGGAAAAGTCTCTTAGCTTTCTGTTTCTGTCTCTATATATATTGGAATTCCCAAATCCCTAAAGCCAAATGAATTAAGTAACAAGCACAAAAGTCTTCCTGTTTTCTTCTCATACAACTACAAGGTTATTTTATTTAAAGACAGTGACTTGGTTATTTCTTTAAGCACAGCTATCTTGAGCATTTCTAAGCTCTTCTTTCCACCATGACCATACCACCTTGGACCTAGATTAGAAGCTACTTCTGACACTGCTGAAATTCTAGATGAGATTAACTGTAGGAGAAGAGAACATGGGTTGTTCTCTTTCTACATTAATGCCAAATAAAGCATGGTATGGAAGAAAATAATTGGATTTTAGAATGTCAACCAGAGACTGGTCCATCCTGTTTATAAAGTGTGTATCTAAGCTTTAACCACACCAGTAATCAATCTGATTGTTAAAACCTTCTGCAGAGTCAGTGGGAGGAGAACTCCCATCCTACAGCATGGATTTGAAATAAGAACCAGTTCTGCATTTCCACTTACCAGCTGGCTGACTCAGAGCTGTCACTCAACTTTCTGGGCCTTCATTTTTTTCAGCTATCAAATTGAGATAACTCTTGTCTGCTGTCCACCTCACAGATCATTGTGAGGACCCAATGAGTTAGTGAGTTATTTCACTGAGTGGGTTATTTTCCCCTCCACACCATACTTTAATTTATAGAAAGTGTATTGTACAGCATGGTCTTTCTCTTCCCCTCCCATAGTTGATCGCAATTAGAATTTTAAGCAGTTCTCGTAAAACATGGAACTTTTAGAAAATTGGTTAGGTATTGGTGAAGAAGATGGAAAGAGGGAGGCCTAGGCAGGCTCCTCTGTCATTTGGAAAGTACCAACTCTGAGTGCAAGGGCAGCTGGGTGGTATTGTCTCTAGGTGGGTGGCCCTGGGCAAAGCTTTAACTCAAGATGTTCTTTTTTTTTTTTTTTTGAGATGGATTCTCGCTCTGTTGCCCAGGCTGGAGTGCAGTGGCGTGATCTTGGCTCACTGCAACCTCCACCTCCCAGGTTCGAGCCATTCTTCTGCCTCACCCTCCTGAGTAGCTGGGACTACAGGCGCACGCCACCACGCCCAGCTAATTTTTGTATTTGTAGTAGAGATGGGGTTTCACCACGTTGGCCAGGCTGGCCTCGAACCCCTGACCTCCTGATCCGCCTGCCTCAGCCTCCCAAAGTGCTGGGATTACAGGTGTGAGCCACCGCGCCTGGCATAACTCAAGATGTTCTATTACTAAAAATAAGGAAAAATAGATCCTAGGGGAGATCAGTAGTTTCTGTCACACTGTATTTGTTTCCTTTGAAGTCTTTGGAGGGATGGTTGGTGAGAAACAAGTAAGCAAAGAAATAAAGACATAAATTTGTAATTATCTTTGATGGAAACAAATGAGATGGGGGACAGTAATGGGATGCAGGGAGGGGACATTTGGTGTGTTCAGGGAAAGCCTCTCTGAGGAAGGTGATGTTTAACCTGAGACCCGAAGGGCAGAAAGCTCATAAAGAACAGTATGGCTTGTTCTCATCAAAGAACAGGGTATGCCGATGGGAAGGAGATAGGCATGTTAGAAACCCAGGAGAAGGCTGGTTGCAGTGGCTCAGCCTATAATCCCAGCACTTTGGGAAGCCGACGTAGGCGGATCACTTGAGGTCTGGAGTACCAGACCAGCCTGGCCAACATGGTGAAACCCTATCTCTACTAAAAATACAAAAATTAGGCCAGGCGTGGTGGCTCATGCCTATAATCCCAGCACTTTGGGAGGCCGAGGTGGGTAGATCACCTGAGGTGAGGAGTTGGAAACCAGCCTGGCCAACATGGTGAAACCCCGTCTCTACTAAAATACAAAAAATTAGCCGGGTGTGGTGGTGGGTGCCTGTAATCTCAGCTACTCAGGAGGCTGAGGCAGGAGAATTGCTTGAACCCGGGAGGTGGAGGTTGCAGTGAGCCAGGATCACACCATTGCACTCTAGCCTGGGTGACAGAGTGAGACTCTGTCTAAAAAAATAAATAAAATAAAAATAAAAATACAAAAATTAGCCAGACATGGTGGCGGGTGCCCATAATCCCAGCTACTTGGGAGGCTGAGGCAAGAGAATTGCTTGAACCCAGGAAGCGGAAGTTACAGTGAGCCAAGATGGCGCCACTGCACACCACTGTAGCTGGAGCTTACGGAGTTCCGTGTAGAAATGGAAGATGCTGCTAGAAGAAAAGGAAGTGGCTGCCAGACAGGCAGAACCATCAGATGTCCATTGTTTTTTCTTTTTTTTTTTTTTGAGACGGAGTCTCACTCTGTCACCAGGCTGGAGTGCATTGGCCCGATCTTGGCTCACAGCAACCTCTGCTTCCCAAGTTCAAGTGATTCTCCTGCCTCAGCCTCCCGAGTAGCTGGGAGTATAGGCATGTCCCACCACGCCCAGCTAATTTTTGTATTTTTAGTAGAGACGGGGTTTCACCATGTTGGCCAAGATGGTTTCGATCTCTTGACCTCGTGATCCACCCGCCTCGGCCTCCCAAAGTGCTGGGATTACAGGCATGAGCCACGGTGCCTGACTGTCCATTGTTTTTTCTATTCCTTTACATGTCTAAGCATTTACCACATGGTTGAACTGTTGGCACATGAAGAAAAATGAAAGATAGCTCATAAATAGGATTGACTAGTCTGAATGCAGAGAAAAGCAATTAGTACATAAAGCACTGTAAAAAATAGTTCTATGAAGAGGCATAAACAGTAAAGATTTATTTTCTTTCTTTCTTTCTTTTTTTTTTTTTTTTAAAGACATAGGTTCTAACTCTGTTGCCCAGGCTGGAGTGCAGAGTCATAATGATAGTTCACTGCAGCCTCAAACTCCTCAGTTCAAGCAATCCTCCCACCTTAGCCTCTCAAGTAGCTAGGACTATAGGCATGTGCCATTGTGTCCCACTAATTTTTTAAATTCTGTTATGGAGACAGGGTCTCACTATGTTGCCCAAGCTGGTCTTGAACTCATGGCCTCAAGTGATCCTCCCACCTCAGCCTCCCAAAGTGCTGGGATTATAAGCGTGAGCCATTGTGCTTGTCCAAAGTTTCTTTATTATATACTTGTGACCAATGATTGGCTGGTTTGGGACTTTTTTTTGGTAGCAAGGCTTCACTGATAAGCTAAAGTTGTTAAATTCATCTATCTTTACATTTCTAACCATAGAGTGCCATGTACCTGATTTTATGCTCCCCTCCACCAAAAAAAAATGTATTAAGCCCAATGCATTTACAGGGGCCCTAAATGAGTGCTTTATATTCTTTGTCTCATTTAAGGAAAAAGCCACAATCCCTGCCATCAAGTACCTGCCAATATATCTGGAAAGAAAGAATGTATTCAAAATTAGGTATTTTATTGGAAATATTTAAAAACCAGACTAGGTACAAAACCACAAGAAGGGATACCAGTTGTAAATATCCATAATAGTTATACAGGTGCCCAGAGCAGTAGCTCAGCCCTGGTGGCATCAAATACATCAGTGAGCACGCTAACGAGAGTCTTAACAGGATGTCATTACATCAGCTCTGGAAGGTTAGAGATTCGGCCACAGAGGAAACTTGGGTGTGATGACATCCTTTTAGGTGTTCTCGTTTTTACGTTATACATTTCCCAATACCCAGAACTTCTTTGTCTAAACTTTTCTGAAAATACTCAAGAGTTTTACTCCTTGCATTTAAGATATGGGTTTTTGTTTTGTTTTGTTTTGTTTTTTTGAGATGGAGTGTCACTCTGTCGCCCAGGCTGGAGTGCAGTGGCACGATCTCAGCTCACTGCAACATCTGCCTCCTGTGTTCAAGCAATTTTCCTGCCTCAGCCTCCCGAGTAGCTGGGACTACAGGTGCATGTCACCACGCCTGGCTAATTTTTGTATTTTTAGCAGAGATGGGGTTTTACCATTGGTCAGGCTGGTCTCGAACTCCTGACTTTAGACAATCCACCCACCCCGGCCTCCCAAAGTACTGGAATTACAGGAGTGAGCCACCACACCTGGCCAAGATATGGTGTTTTATTTGTAAGGTTGAGATCATATTTGAAACATTCACTACCACAGCGTATACCATTTGGGTACTTTTATGAGATTTTAGTTCAGCACAGCTGACTCTTCTAGTCTGGTCAATTGTAAGCCCCTCTAGTGGGTAGCATTTGCATATGTAAAGCAATGTGAACAGGCATAGTTGAAAGAAATAGAACTCCAGAATTAATTGTTTCAGAGTAAAAATTGTTAAATCCTTCATCAGCACATTTCACCTACCAAAGCCTAGTTATATCACCAAATATTATCCTGTAAGTCAGGGTTTCCCAATCTCAGCACCATAGACATTTAGGGCCATATAGTTCTCTGTTGTGGGGGCATCATATTCTGTGCACTGTAAGATGTTGGCAGCATCCCTGGTCTCTACTCTCTAGATGCTAGTAGCATCCTCCCCTCCAGTGTGTTAACCAAAAATGTCTCCAAGCATCACCACATGTCCTGAGGTTGATGGTTGGGAGGAGTGGGAGGGGTGCAAAAATCACCACAGGTTGAGAATCACTAAGAAAAATTAAAGGGACTCAGGCTGGGCATGGTGGCTCATGCCTATAATCCCAGCACTTTAGGAAGCCAAGGCGGAAGGATTCCTTGAGCCCAGGAGTTCAAGACCAGCCTGGGCAACACAGGAAGACCCCATCTCTACAAGAAATTAAAAAATTAGCCTCCAGTGAAATACCCCCAATGAAATAAACAGAAATATAGTCAGGTGTGGTAGCATGTACCTGTTGTCCCAGCTACTCAGAAGGTCGAGATCAGAGGATCGCGAGCCCGAGAAGTCGAGGCTGCTGCAGTGAGCCGTGATCATGCCACTGTACTCCAGCTTAGGTGACAGACCAAGACCCTATCTCATACAAAAAAAAAAGGGGGGGGACTCAGTCCTATCCCGCAAATGGCTGCTGTAATTGCTTTCTTTTTTATTTGAGGAAGAAATAAGAATTACTCTTTTTTTCTCTTTTTCTTTTTTTTTTTTTTTGTTAAAAACATAACAGATACCCATACAGCACTCTTCCCAGATAAGAAAGGCAGGATGACATGCTGTGGTTATACATTGAGGATCTTGGAGCCTGGCAGTATTTAAGTATCAATATCTGCCCCTATTTCGCTGTGTGACCTTGGTCAATTTACTTTAACCTCTCTGAGCCTCAGTTTTCTCTTCTGCATAGTGAGACTAAAATAGTACTGCCCCATGTGGTTGTTGGGAAGACGCCATAAGATAATAGATGCAACATCTTAGTGCTCCAGCTGAGCGCTTAGTTTATGCCAGCTGGCACTGTTGGTGTTAACTGCGTATTTGTTGTATGACTGTCACTTCGACAGCCTGTACCCTCCTTGAGGGCAGAGACTTTGTCTCAGTCACATAAACATTTGATGGAAAGAAGGTAGATCAATTGGGCTTTATAGAAGCCTATAATTCTGTGAAATTCCAGAAGGTACTAACAGTATATGTATCATGTGTAATCTTTCAAAATGAAAAAAGAATAAATCAATAATATAGTGATTTTGTTTGGCTTCACGTAATAATAGCAGAGGGATCCCCCACCGTGTGAGTCACTGATGTATAGTCATACACTGCAGCTGTGACTGTCTCAAATTTAGTCATTTCCAGGCGAATTTGCAGTTAAATGATTAACCTATAGGTACTATGAGTTGCCATTAAAAAGCCAAGCCTCTCCTGATGTCTTTCCTGTCCTGGCCTATTGTGAAGCCTTTAGGTGGCATCTACCTTCAATTCATCAAGATTTAAAAAGACAGTTTGACCCTTTTTGTCCAAGGCTTTCCCTGGGTCTTTCATGCCCCTGGGAAGGTCCTCCTAGCACGTGGCAGGTGCATACTTCTCAGCATTTTTGTACATGCTGGGACACATTCCTCCTTTCCTGGGTACCTGGGGCAGGAGGGAGTTTGCTTTGTCTACCTGTGGGGCATGCCGTGACCAGCCCCTCCCTCCCCATTTATGTCCTCCATGATACAGAAACGGTGAGCAAATTTCCTACCTAGAGGGTGTATCAGGAAACCCCCAATGAAATAAACAGAAATAGAGCAGCCAGTTTTTATAAAGCCTGAAACTCACAGAATTGGAAGTCTGAGTGACACAGATATGTTAACAGAATAACCCAATTGTTTCTCAACAATGGAAAGATGTGGGATCCAGAGAGCAGTTTTTGCTTTTGTTTCTGCTATTAAGTGACTGCCCTCCATGTGATAAAATTGGAGAGGTGAACTGAGAGTTCTTCATTACAAATACAGCTGACTTTATTGCTTACTGAATTTTGATACTGAGCCAGGCGTTGGGCTGAGTGCTTCACAAACATAGTTTCCCTGATCCCTTCCGACAACTCTCTGAGGTGGGTGTTGGTGGTCCCATTTTACAGATGCAGACACTGAGATTCAGGAAAGTTAAGCAGCTTGCCAAATACAACACAGCTAGAAGTGGCAGTACCAGAATGCTAACCAAGGCAATCTGACTTGGTTCACTTGGCTCTTGTGAGCCCCACAATGGAAGGGCTCTGTCCATTACTTGCTGACAAGAACAAGACCTCAAACATACACGGCACTCAAGAAATATCTGTTGATGGAAAAGAAATGGATAAATGACTCTCAAAGCTACTGAAATACATATCTGAAATATAAGGACCATGTCTCCTAAAGGTTCCTCTGCTTTTCCTTATAGTATTTTTCTTTCTTTCTTTCTTTTTTTTTTTTTTTTTTTTTTTTGCTGAAGTTTGACAGTACCCTCAGATATTTAGGAACCATTATAATAGTGGGGTGGGACAGGGAACAGGTGATTTCTTGTAGTTCTTTAAGTCTATAAAAGTGAGTGGAATCTAACTAAATATTGATTATAGATTTCAATAAAGTGGCTTAAATATTCAACACATTCATTTCATTAAATAAACTGTAATCGTCTACAGCAAATTATTCTAAAACCATCAACACTTTTTTTTTTTTTTACTTCATCTTAGGGTTAAGGGAATTTCTTGTGATGACAATATTTTATACAGTTCACTTTCAAAATACAGCTTGATTCCACCATGATTTTCTGTGTCAGTTTTAAATTTTTGTCACTTTGTTTTTTTAAGATAAGGTTTGTAACCTTAAGATATTCTCCTCCTGTTGTAATTTCTTGATTATCTCTTTGTTAATGTTATTTATGCTGCTCCTCTTTTAATATTTTATCTTTCTATTTACTTTTGCAATTGCAAAGTAGTCCCAGATATTATTCTTCAGTCACTCTCTACATCCTTCTTTTGATATCAAAAGGCACAACTAGTGATTCAAGATGAGTGTAGAGCAGAAAGAAATCTGGAAGACCTAATTTACAGTTTTATTTTCACCTTACAACTATTTCCCTTTCATCACTAGCAGCATAGATTTTGTCTAAAAACAACATAGTGTTCAAACTCGTAGCTTCTAGTAGGTGCCACATAGACAATTATAAATACTCATTAATGATTATTATTATGCTTATATAATGATCACTTTAGAACACATTCTAGTTCCATACTCTTAATTGTATTGCAAGACAAATAAAGCTCCTCTTTTTTTTTTTTTTTTTAAGTCTCTAATAGTGAAAATTTTGGCTTGGGCAAAATACATTTTTCTGTTTTAATATGAAAATTACAAGTGTATGTGTACATACACATGCATATATTTTATATATACACACACACACATATATGTCATAGTCCTACCCTATGTGGACACCAATATTGTCCAAATAATAGAAAATGGGAAGCATACTTAGCTTTCTTGTATCTTCCTTTAAACTTTGATTTCTTTCCTCAAATACAGACCATTGGTCTGAAATCCCTTCATGACTTTTCTTTTTTTTGAGACGGATTTTCGCTCTTGTCGCCAAGGTTGGAGTGCAGTGGTGCGATCTCGGCTCACTGCAACCTCCGCCTACCTGGTTCAAGTGATGCTCCTGCCTCAGTCTCCCAAATAGCTGGGAGCATAGACTCTCGCACCATACCCGGCTAAGTTTTGTATTTTTAGTAGACACGGGGTTTCACCATGTTGTTCAGGCTGGTCCCGAACTCCTGACCTCAGGTGATCCACCCGCCTCGGCCTCTCAAAGTGCTGGGATTGCAGGCATGAGCCACTGCGCCCGGCCAACCCACCACGCCCAGCCCCTCTCTTGATTTTGACCAGAGGGTGCCTTTTATTTATCTTCTAAGATAAACACTGGAGAAAGGGAGGAGAATGAACACCGTTCAACTGCCTGCCCTGTGCCAGGTGCTGTCTGAGGCAAGGTGCATGAGCTATCTTTCAGCAAATGAATTCACCTCAGCTCCATTGCCGTTTGTAGAGCTGCATCCTGGCCCTCGGATATGAAGAGTCCAGAAATAAAAAACACAGTAGGAGAATGATTTCAGCAATTTCAAAAGAAAAACCAGCTTATATCCAGCTGCCAGCTAGATAAAGTACCACTACAATTAGAAATATTTTCCTAGCAACTTCAAACATTGAAAATAATTAAAATGTAATAATACTTAATGTTTAAAACAGGGAACTCCCAACTGATTAGATGGTGAAAATCTCACTCTTGTACAAAACAGACCAACCTATATTCATTTTATATATATAAACTTTTATTACTTTAATTTTGAGAAATTCCAAGAGTCCTAAAGATATGACAATACCTGTAAAACCACTTAAATAGCTGTTACTAATATTTTGTCATTTTTCATCCTATTTTTATTAATAAAAGAAAACATTACTAATGATATTCAAGTTTCTATACAACGTACCCCCCATACCATCTGCCCCCAGAAGTAATCACTGAATTTTGTATCATTCCAATCCACATTTATATTATTATATGCACATATATGAAATCATACTTTGCACAAACTTTTAAGATTTCAGGCAGGGGAATGAACTGCTCTCTGCCTTTCATGCTTTAAACCCAGTCTTGTTCCCATAACCTTGTGCAAACCCAGTTACAATCCAGTTATTTCAAATTCTCTAAGCTGAAGTCCTTCGCCTTTTAAGTAGAGTTTTTGCTTGCAGGGAGCGTATTTGCTCTCAATGCAGGGACAGGCTGAATGGAGTCCAAAGCGCTAGGGTTTCACATTTGTAAGTGATAAGAGGGGGAGGTGGTGACTTTCAGAGATCATGTTTCAAGTCCAGCCCTGGTTTTTATGTGTGTGGGAATGGACGCAAAGGAAAACACAGCTGAGCTGCATTGTAACTCTTCCTGTAGAACCTGTTCATGTCCAGGGTGAGTAAACTAGGGTAGAAATGTCTTCCTAAAACAGCCTCCGGTGAAATTCGTCCTTGGATTCAAAGCAACTTACTTCCTAGGAAGTATCAGGCAAATCCCAACTGCCCTCCATTTTAGAAAGGTCTCTTTTCTGGGAAAATCTGCCACTGAGAACTTTGCCCTCCTCTCCCTGATGGGAGGAAGGAGTAGAATTAGGGAGGTGTCACTCAGGAGAGTTGCTGATGTCAGTAGTGTGTCAGCCGTGGGAGGCTCAGTTTGTGAAATTGAGTTACACCTAAGTGTCTTATGAAACTCAGTTCAGAACTCACCGGAGCTGCCGTCTGGGAGGGGGGAGGGCGGAAGAACCCTGAGGTTTTTCCTCACATTTCTGTCCCATTTTTGGAACCTCTGGATTTAAAGAAATGAAAACCTCAAGTTTGTGGAGATTTTAAGAAATGGGTATGTAACTTTATACTTTTATTAATTCTTCTGTGAACCTGAGTGAGTGTTATAGTTACAGACAGCTATGTGTGCGGACCCCGGAGGGCTGTGTTTTTAGGGTGTGCTGGTTTATTTCACTGTTCGGAATTGGGGGGTCCAGTCTGAACCCTTTTTTCCCATGCCTGCATACGTATAGAAACCTTCAGCTCATTTTGTTCCTTTACATGATGAGGTTTACATGTCTGTGAAAAGCCTGGGTTCCCGTATGTCAGGAAATGGTTTTGCTGATAGTGCATTGCAGAGAAGTGCTTATTGTATAGACTATTAAAAATAATCTTTTAAGATTCTTTGAACATAATTTTAAAATCCAGCCGAAGTCTAATAATATAATGAAACTCTCTGCTGTTATTTCC
This sequence comes from Homo sapiens, assembly GCF_000001405.40. NCBI lineage: Eukaryota > Metazoa > Chordata > Mammalia > Primates > Hominidae > Homo > Homo sapiens. The sequence goes on along the minus strand of NC_000003.12, from coordinate 69,199,975 downwards.
CTAATCAAGTCTGGGGGCAGAGAAGAGGAATTTGACCATGAAGTCCAAGTTGACAGGACAAACCAAGGCTCAGGATAGTACAATGTCTTATAAAGAGCTTAGGAAGCAGCCCAGAAAACATAGCAAGGCATCCTCAATTCTGTGAATGAGCTGCTTTCTATCAAATTATTTGGTTTTCAAATGCACATTGCTAGTAAAGTTTGTTCCTCCCAATCAAACTGACGGCACTGAGTGCCGCAATAGAGTATCAGTAGTGTGTATATCAGAGTGTACAGACACTGGGAGCTAGCTATGTTCAAAAACTGGAGGTTCTAGCTCAGAAACCAAGAAGAGGCTCTGGTGTTCCCTCCTACCCCTTCTCTGCCCCCAATTACTGGTGCTAGGTTTCTGTGGCATTTAGGGGAACTCTTCATAGGTAGGAAAGTGGTATCTCAGAGAATCACCCCTGCATGGGGGTTCCGTTTTACTTTCACTTTGTATTCTTTTGAAATTCAATCTCTGATGTTATTGAAATATCCCTTTGAATATCTTTCCATTTAACTATGAAATCAACATCTTTGAGAAGGCTGGTGCTTACTGGAATCTGTGCAGATTTCCTTATTATATAGTTGAGTCAGAGGAAAAATAGTGTACATGTTCTTCCACAGATGGTTGGTTTTATTGTTCAAGGAAGATTTATTGGTGATGTGAATCTTGTTTTTTTTGAGACGGAGTCTCGCTCTGTCGCCCAGGCTGGAGTGCAGTGGCGCGATCTGGGCTCACTGCAACCTCCGCCTCCCGGGTGCACGCCATTCTCCTGCCTCAGCCTCCCGAGTAGCTGGGACTACAGGCACCCACCAGCACGCCCGGCTAATTTTTTTTGTATTTTTAGTAGAGACAAGGTTTCACCGTGTTAGCGAGGATGGTCTCGATCTCCTGACCTCGTGATCCACCTGCCTCGGCCTCCCAAAGTGCTGTGATTACAGGCGTGAGCCACCGCGCCCGGCCGAGGTGAATCTTAATAGTTAAAGATTGCTGCCAGAAGAAGGAATAAAATGGTTTCAGGTCATAGTTGATTTGTAAAAAGGCTGAATCACATATTCATGTTTCATCGTATCAGTGTACCTTCTTGGAGCTTATAATTGTTTGATTATTAAGCTGATTTATAGAATTAGTAAAAATAAGCATAAATAATACTTCCTGGCTTTTCTGTTTTCTTTAGTTATTCCAATGGAAACAGCTGGAGAACTTATATTTCCGTGAGAAAAAATTTGCTGTTGAAGTTCATGATCCACGAAGGTGAGGATCAAAGACGTTTCTCTGTATGACACAGTTACTATACAAATAACGCTGCTATCAACATTTGTGTACAAGTTTTTATATGAACATATGTTTTCATTTCTCTTGGGTGTATACCTAGGAATGGAATTGCTGGGTCAAATGGTAACTATCTTTAACCCTCTGAGGAATGGCAAGGCTGCTTTTCAAAGTGCTGCACCATTTTACATCCCAAGCAGCAGTATATGTGGTTCCAATGCCGACACATCCTCACCGACACTTGTTATTTTTAGTTTTGTGTGCATGTATAGTTTATGCCATCCTAGTGGGTTGAAGTGGTACCTTCTTGTGGTTTTGATTTGCACTTCCCTCATGACTAATGATGGCTGAGCATCTTTTCATGTGCTGCTTAGCTATTCCTATATCTTTAGTAGAGAAATGTCTATTCAGATCTTTTGCTCATTTAAAATGTTGGTGTTCTTGGTCATTTAAAAAAAAAAAAAAAAGCCAAATTACCAACATGAACTGAAGTCAGGATGTGGGTTCTCAAATATCTTAGGAGAAATCCCGCCCCCCTCCGCCCGCCCCCAACTGCCAGACAGAGTCTTACTCTGTCACCCAGACTGCAGTGCAGTGGCGCAATCTTTGCTCACTGCAACCTACACCTCCCAGGTTCAGGTGATGCTCATGCCTCAACCTCCCAAGTAGCTGGGAGTACAGGCATGCACCACCACGCCAAGCTAATTTTGTATTTTTAGTAGAGACGGGCTTTCACCATGTTGGCCAGGCTGGTCTCAAACTCCTGACCTCAGGTGATCCGCCCGTCTCCGCCTCCCAAAGTGCTGAGCCATGGCACCCGGCCTTAAGAGAAATTCTTAATCAGTCCTTAGTGGGTACTTTTCAGTCCCGAGATGGTTATGGATGTTTAGAGGCCAGAGGGATGGGAGGAAATACCTGTGATAAAAAGGTGACCTGAAGAGATAAGCCAAATTCCTACAAAGAACATTAGTACCACGTCACACACACACAGTCTGTCTGCCTCTTGCCTGTTCTCTCTTTCTTTCTCTCTGTCTCTCTCTCTTTCACTTCCCCTCCCTCCCTTCTCCCCGCTCCCCCTCTCCCCTCTCCCTCCTCCTCTCTCCTCCCCCGTCCCCTTTCCTCTTTCCATCTGGTGTACAAGCAGCACTCTGGACAGTTTTGGACTTGCATATTTTCAGCCATTATCGTTAAGTGCATTCTCTGATAATGTCAGAGCCGGCCAAATCTACCTAGATCTGAAATGCTCTTTTACCTTGAATTAGGTGCTCACCCCACACTTGGTTGCTGTTTCTTTAAAATCTTATCCCATTTATTCCTTACCACTTGTGATGGCTACACATCCTTAGAGTTTCTAACTAAATGTTTTTGTATAATCTCTAATTTGACTGATTCTTTATCAGCTTTTGAGTTCATGTGTATGTGTTTTTAAACATGCTGTTTATCCAGAAAGAGATTACTTAGGTCTGAATTGTTTTGTTGTAAAAGGAGAAAATCAGAAACTTGGTCCCCATTTGCGTAAGAGTTTTTGCAACAGAAGACAGGTAAGAGGAACATGCTTTGTTACAATGCTGCTCGCAGGGTACATTTTGCATCATGCTGGGCCAGAGGGGAATTATTTGAGTGCTTTCTTTAATCTTTCAGGATTTCAGTTTCAAGAAGAACCTTTGGGCAAAGTGGCTTGTTTGTGCAAACATGGTATGCTAACTCTTCTCTCATCAAGTCCATTTGGGTAATGGCAATTAGTCAGCATCAGTTTTACTTGGACCGGAAGCAAAGCAAAGTAAGTAACTGGCATCATTTCTATAGGGACAGATTCCCCTTTTGCATTCTGTTCAGAAGATAAGCCTTCTCACAAAAGATGCAAGCACATATATTTTTGCTCTCTGAGATTTTTTTGCGTTTAACTTCCAACTATTTCAGGTTTTTTATATGTTTACATGATGGGCAATATATAAGCTGCTTTAAAAGTTGTAAGACTGGCCAACTTTTTGGCATGCACGTTTGTATATACTGGTGACACTGCTGGCGGTGATGTTGCCGGTGACACTTCAAAGTTAGTAACTGAACCACACCATGAGAAAATCACGTATAGTTATTAAAACATTTTAACTACTTGTGGGGTTTTTGTTTTGTTTTGTTTTTTGGTCTGAAGAATGCCACTTGAATATGTGAAAATTCTAAATTATCCTCTGTGTTGCTATTTTTATTGTATGTTAACTTAATTGTTTCATTAATTTGAAGTATGTTTGAGTTAATTCTGTTTCATTGTTGTATGCCTCTTAGGCAAAAATTCCTTCAGCCAGGAGTTTAGATGAGATTGCAATGGATTTGACAGAGACAGGAACACAAAGGGCCTCCAAGCTGGTGACACTGGAGACGAAAAGTCAGTTCATCATGGCAAGTAATGGCAGTTTAATCTCCTCAGGTAACATCTTGGGATTAGAGAACGTGCAAGCCATCTTTATTTCGTTTGTTTTTTCGGTCATAAACCACTTCGAAATTCATCTTTTAATCCATTATTTTGGGAATAAATAAGTATGTCAATAAGTATGTATGCGACAGCTTTGAATAAAATTTTAAGGCTAATTTTTTAAAGAATATGTAGAAAGTCAAATTATAAATAGGTTGTGCATGTCATATGAGATGCAAGGATGGTGAGTACCAAGGTGTGGCTTGAAAGAACATTTTCCACAGCAGCTGCTTTTTCCAGCATTCAGTTTTTGATACAGATAATTGTCTAATTCTCCATGCAATATAAAATGCTATACAAACATGATTACAAGCATACCCCTCAAATGTGGTAGCTTCCCCTAAGCCCTTCCTCTGTAAAAATTCTGGAATCCCTTATCATTAAGTATATGTAACTTTACTAAAATGATTCGTCCCATCTAAATCTCACTGTCAACTTGTGACTCTGAAGCATGACCTTCCTTCACACTGATTTTTCTTTTCCTTGCTTGCTTGCTTACTTTTTAAAAGAACACTTGAAACAACTCTTCAAGGACCATCTTACCTTCTCTTCTGCTCAGAAAAATGAAATTTTTCTTTGGGTGTGTCTGGGACGTTAAGCATTTTATCATTACCCCCAAAATGACTGAGCCAGGATGCAAAAAGGCACATTTTATTACCAGGTTCTGTTTGATGCCCAGAAGAATGAGAAAATGTTTTCCAGTTTCCTTTTATTATGTTGAGAAACAAGGAGAAAAGAAATAAACTACCATTTAATAGCAGCTTTAGCTTAAAAATCCTTTGTCCCTTAGAAAGGAAGGAAACATCCCTTGTATAAACCTTCCCTGCCCTTCCCTCATCCCCTAGGTTCTCAAGACTCAGAAGTTAGTGAAGAGCAAAAGAGAGAAAAAATCCTTGAACTAAAGAAGAAGGAGAAACTATTACAAGAAAAACTTCTGAAAAAAGTTGAGGAGCTTAAGAAGATCTGTCTGCGGGAGGCTGTGAGTCTGCTTTTTGGGGCTCATCAAGTTGTGTTTGACAACTTTGGCCAGTGTCAATTATCTGCTCTTGATTCTGTCCTGTTTTACAGGAGCTCACAGGCAAAATGCCAAAGGAGTATCCCCTGAACATAGGCGAGAAGCCTCCTCAGGTCAGAAGACGTGTGGGTACTGCGTTCAAATTAGATGACAACTTGCTGCCGAGTGAAGAAGTATGAACAACGCCTCTGAGCCTTTCAATTAATCATAAGACAGGAAAGCTGTCTGAGTGTAGTGGACATTTTCCTTTGGTTTTTGAGTCTCTGCTGTATGTTATCTCACCAGTACAGATGGATCGTGTAGACCAAATTGAACTCTTTCTTTCATGCCCACTCCAGTCAAAATTGAGTTACTTCTCACTAATTTACTCCCCAAATCATAGGCATTCAGTGAACTCCAAATGTTTCTCATTTGAGAGTCAGCATTATAAGAATTAAGAACTCCAGCATTAGGTTTGTTTACTTAAAACTAAATAATAGCCTTTGTCAAATAGTTTAGCCTCTCTAAAGTCTCATTTCTCAGGCCTCAGTTTTCCTCATCTGTAAAATGGGGGTAATGATTGGACTTCCCTCCACGGGATCCAATGAGTATTAAATGAGATAATACATGCACAGCACTGAGCTACAATCAAGTTAAAATATTTGTTAGCCAATATAGAATGTATAATACTTTCTCATTTGCATGTCATCAGCCAATATAACCATATCTATGTTTCTTGTAGAAATTTGACCATCTTAGCTTTAGAAAATTGTATCTGTTTTCATCTTTGGAAATCTTTACTATTTACTGAGTGCTCACTGTGTACCCATCTCTGAGCTAAGCAATGCACATATACTATCTCATTTAATCCTCATCCTACTTCATAAGGTAGGTGTTATCTTCATTTTACAAATGAAAAAAACTGAAGCATTGAAAGATGAAGCTGTGTATCCAGGGTCATGCAACCAGGAATTACCAGGAAGAAGATCAAACCCAAATTTATCTGTCTCTAAAGCTATGCATATAAATATAATCTTCTGCATCCATGAGCTTTGAGTTGAGAATATATCTGTGAAAACTGTGATCTTCTCCCAACCAACTGAATGAATGAAAGGCCATTCCCTTCCTTGAAAAGGGAAGAGGTTTGGACTAATGAGAAGTTGAAGTTAAGACGAGTAAAGGAAAGTGTTTGACAAGGATGTCTATGCAGTAAAAGTTGGGAAGATAGTGTTCTCAAAGAACGTCTGATTCAAGAAAGTGCACAGGAAGTTTTATTACACAATGCATGTAAGAGTTGATTGTATGTGTCCATAAAAATAAAACTATCATTGTATAAATGCAGGATCCTGCTTTGCAAGAACTGGAGAGTAATTTTCTAATACAACAAAAGCTGGTGGAAGCTGCAAAGAAACTTGCCAATGAGCCAGACCTTTGTAAAACTGTGAAGAAAAAGCGAAAGCAAGATTACACAGATGCGATGAAAAAGCTTCAGGAGATTGAAAATGCAATAAACGAATACCGAATTAGGTGTGGAAAGAAACCCAGCCAGAAAGCAACAGTGTTACCAGGTTAGTAATAAGTAAGGTTTTTTTTTTTGAGTCCCCTACTCAGTACTTCATGGTATATAGCATTTCCAAACCAGTTACCAGTTGATGAGAGATCAAAGGAAGAACCAGGTGATCAAAACTAAGTTTTCTTTTTTATTTGGAGACAGAGTTTCACTCTTGTTGCCCAGGCTGGAGTGCAATGGGGCAATCTCGGCTCACTGCAAACTCCACCTCATGGGTTCAAGTGATTGTCCTGCCTCAGCCTCCCAAGTAGCTGGGGTTACAGGCATGCGCCACCACACCTAGCTAATTTTGTATTTTTGGTAGAGATAGGGTTTCACCATCTCGGTCAGGCTGGTCTCAAACTCCTGATCTCAGGTGATCCACCCTCCTCAGCCTTGCAAAGTGCTGGCATTACAGGCATGAGCCACTGCGCCTGACAAACTAAGTTTCTTAGGATAAAAATTGTTTGGAATTTCAGTTTTATAAGTATGTACACTTGATTTAAAATTTCTGTGATTTGTGAAGGCTATTTAAAGATATGGGCAGCACGAGCATGGCGCCCCACACCTATAATCCCAGCACTTTGGGAGGCTGAGGTGAGCGGATCACTTGAGCTAAGGAGTTTGAGACCACCCTGGGAAGCGTGGTGAAACCCCGTCTCTTCAAAAAATATTTTAAAAATTAGCCAGGCATGGTGGTACATACCTGTAGTCCCAGCCACAGGGGAGGCTGAAATGGGAGGATCATTTGAGCCCAGGTAATCGAGGCTGCAGTGAACTATGATTGCACCACTGCACTCCAGCGTGGGTGACAGGGCAAGACCCTGCCTCAAAAAAAAAAAAGTGAACAAAATTAAAAAATAAAGATATGGGCAAATGGTCATGATATAACATGAAATGCAGAAAAGCCAGATATAAAATTGTTACCACAACATGATCCCAATTTTATAGAAATATGCACACACAAAGACTGGCTGAGAAATATTTCAAAATACTAACAGTTGTGAAATTTCAAGTAACTTAATTTTCTTCTTAATATTCTGTAGTTTCCAAGTTCTCAACATTATGTATTTATGACTTTCATTTTCAGAAAAAACATAAACTTAGAAATCCCAGGTGGATTTAAAGTCCAATTGACCTTACATGTTTATTGGTATGGTTTTCAGCCTGGTGACTGAAATATGATTGTATTTCTTTGATTCTAAGACATTTTTTCCTTTACATTTTAACATCTATGAAATTGGGATAGTTTTGGGTTTTTTTGTTTGTCTTTTTTTGTTTTTGTCTTTTTGAGACAGGATCTCTTTCTGTGGCCCAAGCTGGAGTGCAGTGGTACCATCAAAGCTCACTGCAGCCTCGACTTCCTGGGCTCAGGTGATCCTCCTACCTCAGCCTCCCTAGCAGCTGGGACTATAGGCACGCACCACCATGCCTGGCTAATGTTTTGTAGACATGGGGTTTCACCATGTTGCCCAGGCTGGTCTCAAACTCCTGAGCTCAAGCAATCCTCCCACCTCAGCCTCCCAAACTGCCAGGATTGAGGTGTGAGCCACCACGCCCAGCCTTGGGTTAGTTCTTAACACACTAGATGGTGCTTTACAGTCATACTTGGCAGTACTTTTTTTATTATTTTTTGCTGGTACTTAAAATATATATCTTAGATTTGATGAAATAAGGTAAGTGAGTTTAGAATATAATTGGGTGTAGAGCATATGATTTACAAAGCAGACATGGCTTTTGGAAAGGGAATGTACAGCATCAACACACAAGTGTTAGTCCACTACAGCTGGAGAATGTAGAGTAGCTTTGGTTGAATGTGAAATCCAGGCAGTCTTGGGGGTGGTTAATTTCTGGACCTACAGATATGGGTGATTAGTGTTGTGCTTAACTTCATGGCCATTTGTTATGGCCCATCCATCCTCAAACTGTGCAAAATTCAAATGTTCTCCTTTACAGTGAAAGTATGCCTAACAGCTGACTATACTGGCACCTTGCCTTCAAGCTCCACTGTGTGTCTGATAGAGATAGTTCACTTGTTTCTGATACAGATTAACATTAGAGATTGGTTGGAGAGCTTCCCTTCATAATGGTCTTGAAGTTTACATTGAGGATTATATTTGCCTAGAACCTCATGCCAAAACACTCAGGTGAATATGGAATGATTTGCAAATGCAGATCAACACATCTGAGATACTTTTCTTTACTGAATACGTTTGTTTTTTTGTTTGTTTTTTGTTTTTTTTCTTTTGAGACAGAGCTGTCTCTGCCACCCAGCCTGGAGTGCAGTGGCATGATCTCGGCTCACTGCAACCTCCGCCTCCCAGGTTCAAGCAATTCTCCTGCCTCAGCCTCCCAAATAGCTGGGATTACAGGCATACACCACCATGCTTGGCTAATTTTTGTATTTTTCATAGAGACAGGATTTCACTGTGTTGGCCAGGCTGGTCTTAAACTCCTGACCCTCAAGTGATACACCAACCTCGGCCTCTCGAAGTGCTGAGATTACAGGGGTGAGGCAGTGTGCCTGGCCACATTATTTAACATTTGATGGATACCAGCAATAGAGTGTTATGGCCATTGCCAACCAGAACACAGTGTCTAGTTAACTAAAGATTTAAGTCTAGCTAACATTTACTGAGCATTTGTCATGTAATGCTGGGAGCTGGGCTAGGGGCTTTACATCCGTTATTCTAACGCCTCACCCCAGCACTACGTGATAGGTACTGTTGTTATCCCCATTGTGGGATTGAGCCAGGTGATACTTAGAGATTAAGTAATTTGCCCAAGGTCTCATAGTCGATAAATGGCAAAACCAAGACTTAAACCTAATTCAGTGGTTCTCAACCAGGGAGGCTGGAAATCCTATAATGCACAGGACATCTCCCCAGGACAAAGGATTATCCAGTTCAAAATGTCAGTAGTGCCACTGTTGAGAAACCTGTTGAAAAGCTTGGCCAGTCATAGTGATTCACACCTTTAATCCCAGTACTTTGGGAGGCCTAGGTAGGCAGGTCACTTGAGCCCAGGAGTTCAAGACCAGCCTGGCCAAATGGTGATACCTGATCTTTACTAAAAATCCAAAAAGTTAGCCAGGCGTGGTGCTGCATACCTGTAATCTCAGCTACTCAGGAGGCTGAGGCGGGAGGATTGCTTAAGCCCAGGAGGTTGAGGCTGCAGTGAGCCACGATCACACCATTGCACTCCAGCCTGGGCAACAGAATGAGACTCTGTCCCATAAACAAACAAGAAAAAAAAAAAAAGGCCTTTTCTTTCAGGGAGGGGTCAAAAGCCAAGTTATATTAAGAGTAGATTTTCAAATGAGGATTCAAATGTGTTTTATTTAACATTTAGCATTTATGATAAGAATGGCATGATTTTTTCTTTCCAGTTTGTTGATCATAAGCACTAAATATATAGGTAAAGTTTTATTCCAGTGTAGAAGAAACACCGAAAACTAGTTTAAAACCAGCACTCCCTTGAAGTCTGTTCCATTTTAAGAAATAATCTAATGTGATATTCGTACAATATGTAAAATGTTTTGATTTTTGTTAGTATATGAGTCCATTCTTACTATGGTAGTTAATTATTCTTAATGCACTGTAATTAATTACATTTATTTAAATGAAAATGCATTCCATTGAAAATTGTTTATCTAAGACCCCTCTAATTGTATAAATGCACAATTGTACTAAAGGCAGTTATTTTTATTCACAGAAGACATAATCCCCTCAGAGAGTAGCTCTTTGTCTGACACCACCACCTATGATGATCGTAAGTGGCTCTTCCTTTTTTGGTTTAAAAATGTTAGATATTCTGAAATAATTAAGATAATTTTCTTAGTTAAGTAAGGCCTATTTGTTTTTCTTTTGAGAAAAAGTAGAATAAACTAACTTACATTTATGCAAAATGGTTGGGAAAGGAAGTGTATGATTAACACCTACTCAGGTTAACTCAGCGTTAATAACAGGACCACAAAAATCACATGACCTCAGCGAATCAGAATGCCCTCACGGGAGTATCTAAGTCTCTCAGTAAGGACTTTAAGGCTCTCTAAAGTGTTTCTTAACTTTTTATTTTGAAGTAATCATAGATTTACGGAGAGTTGTATAATTAATACAAAGATTCCTTCACCCAGCTTTTCCCAATGGTGACATCTTATATATCTGGAGTCCAATATCAAAACCAGGATATTAGATTGTACACGTTATCACTGTATTCATCACAATATGAAATAAAATCATTGTATGTTTTACAATGTGAAATAAACTTTCATATTCTAGATAAAGGAAAGTTTATTTTATTTAGGAAGAAAGGCACAGTTAGACATTGGGCTACCTGTCATTTTGTTGTTTCATAGAGGCAGGCTGTATCGATTGTAATGGCCTGTATTTGTTCAATACATTTCTTGTCTCTCTCTCTCTTTTTTTTTTTTTTTTTTTTTTTTGAGATGGAGTTTCGCTCTTGTTGCCCAGGCTAGAGTGCACTGGTGCGATCTCAGCTCACTGCAACCTCTGCCTCCCAGGTTCAAGCAATTCTCCTGCCTCAGCCTCCCGAGTAGCTGGGATTACAGGCATTGGGCACCACTCCTGGCTAATTTTTGTATTTTTAGTAGAGACAGGGTTTCACCATGTTGGTCAGGCTAGTCTCGAACTCCTGACCTAAGGTGATCTGCCTGCCTCGGCCTCCCAAAGTGCCAGGATTACAGGCGTGAGCCACCGAGCCCAGCCGTTCAATACATTCCATTATAGAATGGGTTTACTATCAACTAATAGAGTGTTTCTTTGTCATCTCTTGTACTTAATCATGATTGAGTTGGCGATCTCTGTGGTATGACTTGAAGAATTCCAGGAAACCACACCCCCACTGCTTTATCTTCCCCAAGTTTTTTTTTTTTTTTTTTTTTGAGACGGAGTCTCGCTCTGTCGCCCAGGTCGGACTGCGGACTGCAGTGGCGCAATCTCGGCTCACTGCAAGCTCCGCTTCCCGGGTTCACGCCATTCTCCTGCCTCAGCCTCCCGAGTAGCTGGGACTACAGGCGCCCGCCACCGCGCCCGGCTAATTTTTTGTATTTTTAGTAGAGACGGGGTTTCACCTTGTTAGCCAGGATGGTCTCGATCTCCTGACCTCATGATCCACCCGCCTCGGCCTCCCAAAGTGCTGGGATTACAGGCTCTTCCCCAAGTTTTATGGTGCATAAAATTTCACCACTGCAGAATTCTTCATGTGAGGTGATGTTTGGTCATGCTTGCCATCCCTCTTTGAAAATGTAAATATCAGTGGAAAACATAACAAGCCTCTAAAGATGCAGCATAAGTCAGTTTCCTTACTTTCAATGACAGGATAAGCCTTTGGCCAAAGAGGCCTAAAAACTTTAAAAGTAAAGGTGAACAAAAATGATCCAGGCCAACTTCCCCTTGGTTCACACTGGGGGTTTTCTTTAATATAGCTTTTTAAAAGCTGCAGTATTACCCATTCCCCTTGAGTGATTTACTCACTCTAAGTGACACCTGTTGAATTTGGCAAAAGATGGTTCAGGTCCCAGAAGAGTGTTCAGTATTTTCGTTTTTTCTGGTGTATAAAATATAAAAATTAACTTCTTGAAAGAGTTATGTTCTTCTAAAAATATCATCTTTGGAAGAACACTTTGTTCACTAAACCTTCTAATTTCTTTTTTGAGGTATTGGCAAGATATTTATTTACCTATTAATTTGCCTACTTATTTTTTCATTCACCCATTTACTTATTATAGCCAGTGATGCCTTCACTTTTCCTGGGCAGCGATCAAGTTCAGTACCTCATTCTCCAAGAATTCTTCCCCCCAAGTCTCTTGGTATTGAGCGAATCCATTTCAGAAAGTCGTCCATCAATGAACAGTTTGTGGATACCAGGCAGTCCAGGTGAGAGGTCATATCATCAGTAAGGTTAATGCCCCACAGCTAGGAAATTTTTCCTCCAAAATGCAATGTATGGTTGATACATTTTCACATGTTTTTATTTATCCTTCCAAAAGATGTTATCTTGTAAAACTGGGGCATAGAAACTAACCCAGTTTGTTGTTCACAGCAAATGAATATACATATATATACATATATATATATGTATATATATATATATTTTTTTTTTTTTGAGGTGGAGTTTCACTCTTGTTGCCCAGGCTGGAGTGCAACGGCGTGAACTCCAGCTCACCGCAACGTCCGCCTCCTGGGTTCAAGCAATTCTCCTGCCTCAGCCTCCCGAGCAGCTGGGATTACAAGCCACCACACCCAGCTAATTTTGTATTTTTAGGAGAGACGGGGTTTCTCCATGTTGGTCCGGGTGGTCTCGAACTCCCAACCTCAGGTGATCTGCCTGCCTCGGCCTCCCAAAGTGCTGGGATTACAAGTTTGAGCCACCGTGCCTGGCTGAAAATGTTTTTAAGAAGTCTTTTAAAATGCATTTGACCATTTCCTTGACTTTAAAGTCTATTTGATCTATATTAACTTATAGGGACATTAATTATCATCTGGATTTAGACATAGTGTCCACAGTTCAGTTTTATAGTCACTGGTCTAAGGAAATTGTCGTTAAAGTCCACTCTGCAAAACCAAGTAGCAGGACTGATTTCCAGTCCTGCAAATAAACATGGGACTTAAACTCATAATCTGTAAAATAGATAATCCAAGCATTTTCTCAAATATCTCAGGTAAATATTATCAGGGCAATGAGACCAGGTTTTAGAAACATGACAGGCCAGTGGTTCCCAGAACTTGGCTGTATGGATCAATCTTTAAAAAGCAAACAAACAGTTACCAGCTGTTTGCTTTGCCTAAAAAGAAATTTTCAAACACAGGCTGAGTGCGGCAGCTCACACCTATAATCCCAGCACTTTGGGAGGCCAAGGTGGGAGGATCACTTGAGCTCAAGAGTTGGAGACCAGTCTGGGCAACCTAATGAAGCCCCATCTCTACAAATTTTATAGACAGAGTCTCTTTCTGTCGCTCAGGCTGGAGTGCAGTGGTGCAATCTCAGCTCACTGCAACCCCTGCCTCTTGGCTTCAGGCAATTCTCCCACCTCAGCCTCCTGAGTAGCTGGAATTACAGGCACGCGCCATCATGCCTGGCTAATTTTTGTATTTTTAATAGAGACAGGGTCTCACCATGTTGGCCAGGCTGGTCTTGAACTCCTGACCTCAGGTGATCCACCCGCCTCAGTCTCCCAAAGTGCTGGGATTACAGGCATGAGCCAGTGTGCCCGGCCCAAAATTTCTTTTTTAATTAGCCAGACATGGTGTTGCCTACCTGTAGTCCTAGCTACTTGGGAGACTGAGGCAGGAGGATTGCTTGAGCCCAGGATTTCACAATTGAAGTGAACTATGATCATGTCACTCCACCCCAGCCTGGGCAACAGAGCAAGATGCTGTCTCAAAAAAAAAAAAAAAAAGGAAAAAGAAAAAAAAAAGAAATGTTCAAAAAAATAGCACCATGAATCCATGAAAGAAATGACATTTTGATATAAAAAATATATTCACTATCGTTGTGGCAATATTAATCGAATGAAGTTAACATTTCACTTAATGTAATGTTAATTTCATTTTATATTAATTTCATATAACATTTCTATTGAGCACTTACTTTTTTTTTTTTTTGAGACAGAGTCTTGCTCTGTCACCCAGGCTGGAGTGCAGCAGCACCATCTTGGCTCACTGCAACCTTCACCTTTCAGGTTCAAGCAATTCTCCCCCCTCAGCCTTCCAAGTAGCTGGGACTACAGATGCCCGCCACCACACCCGGCAAGTTTTTGTATCTTTAGTAGAGATAGAGTTTCACCATGTTGGTCAGGCTGGTCTTGAACTCCTGACCTCAGGTGATCCGCCCACTTCGGCCTCCCAAAGTGCTAGGATTACAGGCATGAGTCACTACAACTGGCCGCTATTGAGTACTTACTGTGTCCCAGATACTGTTTATGTTTTTTCTATGTAATTTATTAATGAACTTAATCTTCACGACAACCCTGATAGTGTTACTACTGTCATTACCCTTTACAGATAAGCACACTGAGGGCCAGGGACCATGAATAACTTCTTTGGGTTCATCAACTAGTAAACATGGGAATCAAGGTTTGAACCTAGGTAGCCTAGAACTTGGCAGGATCCAAAGCTTGTGATCTGATTTCAGTGAACATGTTATACCACATCTCAGCAAAGATGGGAAGTATTTGCTCTACAAGGGCCAAAAATATAAATTAAAAAAATTTAAATAAAGGAAATTATTCTCAAAATCAAGGTAGATTATTAGATTATTCAAGGTGGATAAATTGTGACTTATGAAAATATAACCTCCACATTGCTATGTTTCTTCTTTTTTTCTTTTCTTTTTTTTTTTTTTTTGAGACGGAGTCTCACTCTGCCACCCAGGCTGGAGTGCAGTGGTGCCATCTCAGCTTACTGCAAGCTCCGCCTCCCAGGTTCACGCCATTCTCCTGCCTCAACCTCCTGAGTAGCTGGGACTACAGGTGCCTGCCACCACACCTGGCTAATTTTTTTGTGTTTTTAGTAGAGACGGTGTTTCATATTAGCCAGGATGGTCTTGATCTCCTGACCTCGTGATCCACCCACCTCGGCCTCCCAAAGTGCTGTGATTACAGGCATGAGCCACCGCGCCAGGTCACATTGTTATATTTCTAATTTGTTAAAGAGCAGTGAAATCTTTATCACATATCGGCCCCAGTTTGTGGATTAGCATTTAGGAACTTTTGCCTGAAATGGTAAGAGATCCAAGGAGCTACAGCCATGCTAGCCAATTTAATTAAAAGTAAATAAAATTTAAAATTTGGTTCCTCAGTCATGCTAGCCACAATTCAAATGCTCAGCAGCCACATGTGGCTAGTGGCTATCATATTGGTCAGAACAGACCCGGAACATTTTTGTCATTGCAGAAAGTCCTATTGGATAACATGAGACAAGTGTGCTTCTTATGTTAGGGAAAACAAAGCTATTTCAGCAAAAGGAAGAATTATAGCTGGGAATCATTGTCTTAAAAATTATTATACCCACATCTCCAATCACTTAAGATGGATTTGCTTTTTTATCCAGCAATTTCACTTAGGAATTTTACTACTGAATTAACTAACTACATGTAGGATGCTCATTACAGCATTGCTTACACTACTGGCAAATTGAAAACAAACCACATGTTCAACTAGCTGATTATTTAAATAAATTATGGTAAATCCATACAATAAAATGCTATGCAGTCATTAAAATAACACTGTAGGCAAATAGTAAGCAACATAAAATGTTAGGTACAACTTAACTTTTTAAAAAGTGAGCGTTGAAAAAGAATATATAGTAAATCTCATGTTTTGTTAAAAAATAAATATGTATGTTTATGTATAAATACATGCTAATAAGTTTATGTGCTTAGGAAAAATAATCTGAAAACATTTAATGTTGCCTGACTATGTAAAAGGTATCAGATTATACAGGCAGCGGCTCACGCCTGTAATCCCAGCACTTTGGGAGGCTGAGGCAGGCAGATTACTTGACGTCAGGAGTTCGAAAACAGCCTGGCCAACATGGTGAAACCCCATCTCTACTAAAAATAAAAAAAATAAAAAAAATAAACATTAGCCAGGCATGGTGGTGTACACCTGTAATTCCAGCTACTTGGGAGGCTGAGGTGGGAGGATCACTCGAACCCAGGAGCTGGAGGTTGCAGTGAGCTGAGATTGTGCCACTCTCCTCAAGCCTGGATGACAGAGCGAGACTCCATCTAAAAAAAAGATTATAGACATTTAAATTTTTCTTTTTATCTGTATTTTTAAAGTTTTCCTAATGAACTTAGACTTGCTTTTGTAGTAAGTAAAATTTGATCAAAATTATTTTTAGTTAAAAAAAATTAACTTCAGGCTGGGCGCGGTGGCTCACGCCTGTAATCCCAGCACTTTGGGAGGCCGAGGTGGGCGGATCACAAGGTCAGGAGATCGAGACCATCCTGGCTAACAAGGT
Organism: Homo sapiens; assembly: GCF_000001405.40. Lineage (NCBI taxonomy): Eukaryota > Metazoa > Chordata > Mammalia > Primates > Hominidae > Homo > Homo sapiens. The sequence continues at coordinate 69,183,680 of NC_000003.12, read as the reverse complement.
GAAACCCTGTCTTTACTAAAACTACAAAAAATTAGCCAGGCGTGGTGGTGGGCGCCTGTGGTCCCAGCTACTCCGGAGGCTGAGGCAGGAGAATGGCGTGAACCCAGGAGGCGGGGCTTGCAGTGAGCCAAAATCACACCACTGCACTCCAGCCTGGGCGACAGAGCAAGACTCAGTCTCAAAAAAAAAAAAAAAAAAAAAAAAAATTAACTTCTAATTGTGTTGTCACCATGCTGGGAAGTAGACATAGTGACTTAAAGCTGTTGTTCTTAGTCCAGGGACCAGCAAACAACAGTCCAGTGGCCAAATCCATCCTGCTGCCTGTTTTTGCGCAGACCGTGAGCTAAGAATGGTTTTTATATTTTTAGGTAGCTGGTGGTGGGGGGATCAAAAGCAATAATATTTTACAACCTGTAAAAATGATATGAAATTTAGCATCCATAGGTCATTTTCTTGGAACACAGCCACACCCATTCTCTTACATATTATCCATGGCTGCTTTTGCACTGAAAGGGCAGAGCTGAGTAGTCGCTCTAGAGACCATCTGGCCCACAAAGCCAAAAGCTATTTAGTATTCTAGACTGTTTACAAAAAAGGAGTTTGCTGAATTATACATCCATCCCTGTTCACCACAAAGATTTGATCATCTAAGGACTGTTTTGAATGTTCAGGTGCCTACATAAACAGCTCTAGTTGCTTTGAGTCTTTTTATTCAGTGTACTCTTTATTAAAAGTCCTTTTTTTCCCTACATATTTGTGACTCAGAAAGTCAGACCATATGTGCTCCCGCTGTTTTAGCGGGTTTTCTTTGTGGTTTAGTGAACCACAAAGACACTCTTCCTATCTTTCTCCCTATTTTCCCTTTCCTTGGGCTTCTAGTAAGTTTTGTATCTGCTTATGACAAGTTTGCCAGAGATGTTGAGAGACTCATCATTTCCTGAATTCTTCTTTTTATCATCACAGAGAAATGCTGTCCACACACAGCAGCCCTTACAAAACTCTGGAGAGGCGGCCCCAGGGAGGACGAAGCATGCCCACCACGCCAGTTCTTACCCGAAACGCCTACAGCAGCAGCCACTTGGAGTAAGAGAGCTTCTTTCTCATTGCTTTAGCTGTCTTGATTTTTGCTTTGAGGTTCTGTCTTGCTTTATTGTGTTTTTTAATCATTTCAAGTGACTTTCTGTAGCAGGACCTTGTTTTATGGTTTTACATTTTCTGCTAACTTATGGTTTCAAATATGTTGGCAAAGAAAATGTATTTGATTTGTTCAAATATACATTAGATTTTTAGTACCTTAATTTCCCCAGTCACATATTACCATTCATTATTCAATGGTGAGGATGAAGTTAGTAACAATAGCAACATTTTGAAATGTTTGTGAGTGCTGTGCTAAATGTTTTATATTCACTGGATTATTTAGTCCCTACAGCAAGCCTTTTGTGAGGTAGATATTATATATTGTTTTCATCCTCATCTTACAAAGGAGGAAGCAAGATTCAGAGAGGTTAAATATCTGGCCTGAGCTCATACAGCTGGGAAATAGCAGTGCCATGACTCAGCCCAGCCACCTCTGACCTCCACTCGAATGTACCATATCTTCATATCCTCTAGGAAGACAGGACCCTCCAAAGACACGTTGGGTTTTTTGTTTTTGTTTTTGTTTTTTTTTCCAGGCTGTGATGCAAACTGTGCATCCTCAGTCTGTGTCTTTCCCTACCCTCAAGGAAGGATTTGGCTTGCGCAACTAACAGAAGCCAGCTCTTTTCTCATTTTGACCATGGTCAAAATGAACCTACATGTGAGCCAACAGATTTGGAGAACAATGGATTCTATTGTGCAGTCAGCTTTGGCAACTCAAAGTCCTATTGTAATTCACGAGCTATTCAGTCATTCAGCATGCTATTCTTTTTTCTTATTTGGGTCCTCCTTTTCTTCTTGGTGTTGAGAAGTTTGCCTTTCTCCTCTTTCAGACCCGAATCTTCATCTCAGCACTGCCGCCAGCGGAGTGGAAGCCTGGAGTCCCAGTCCCACCTGCTCTCCGAGATGGACAGCGATAAGCCATTTTTCTCCCTCTCCAAATCCCAAAGAAGCAGCAGCACAGAAATCCTCGATGACGGGTCTTCTTATACAAGCCAATCAAGCACAGAGTATTACTGTGTGACACCAGTTACCGGCCCCTATTACACCACCCAGACCCTGGACACTCGCACCAGGGGTCGGAGGAGGTCAAAGAAACAGAATGTTTCTACTTCAAATTCAGGAAGCATGCCCAACCTAGCACAAAAGGATAGTTTGAGGAATGGTGTTTACTCAAAGAGTCAGGAGCCACCGTCTTCCAGTTACTACATTGCCGGGTACACACCCTATGCAGAGTGTGACTTTTATTACAGTGGTGGTTATGTCTATGAGAATGACACCGAGGGACAGTATAGTGTCAACCCTTCCTACCGGTCCTCAGCCCACTATGGATATGAGCGCCAGAGGGACTACAGCAGATCCTTTCACGAAGATGAGGTCGACCGGGTACCCCATAACCCATATGCAACTCTCCGGCTGCCAAGGAAGGCTGCTGCAAAATCGGAGCACATCACCAAAAACATCCACAAGGCCTTAGTTGCCGAGCACTTGCGTGGCTGGTACCAGCGGGCCTCTGGGCAGAAGGATCAGGGACACAGCCCGCAGACCAGCTTTGACTCAGACAGGGGATCACAGAGATGCCTGGGGTTTGCGGGGCTGCAAGTACCTTGTTCTCCAAGCAGTCGTGCATCCTCGTACTCTTCAGGTGAGAATACTGTAAAAACACGCAACACCTGGATTTTATTTACATCGTGTTTCCTGCCCACCTAAAACCGCCTCACGGATCATGAGACCAGTACTCAGGGTCAAAAGTGGGGCAACCATTCGGTGGAACCCCACAATAAGAATTTCCAACTTAAAAACAGTTCTTTCCAGCTCTCCAAAGAACTCAGTACACATGAGTCTAATGAAGCAAATTGTAGATTCAAATCCAGCAAACATTGATTGAGCATTTACTCTCTGTGCTGCCCTGTTTTAGGGTTTTTTTTTGTTTTTTGTTTTTTGTTTTTGAGAAGGAGTCTCACTCTGTCGCCTAGGCTGGGATGTGTTAGGGGTTTCACTTGCTTTGTCTTTTTAGGATTTACGTTGACAGGCACATCTCTTAAATGTGTTCACGTCATTGAGGCTTGATATTTTAAAAGAATAAACCCTCAGGTAAGCAGAAAACATTAGAATTATACATCCCTCCTGGTTCACCACCAAGATTGATCATCTAAGGACTGCTTTGAATGCAAGCCTGGGATTATGCAGGTACTTAGGCAAGTGCCTGCATAAGGCTCGTAAGAATCCTTATAGGAGCTGGCATTGATTAAGCACTGTTCTAAGTAATTTGCTTTTTTTTTTTTTTTTTTTTTTTTGTAGAAACAAGGAGGCTTAGGTTGGGTCTTGCTATGTTGCCCAGGCTGGTCTCAAACTCCTGGCCTCAAGCAACCCTCCTGCCTTGGCCTCCCAAAGTGTTGGGATTACATGTGAGAGCCGCAGTGCCTGGCCATGCATATTGTAATTCAGTATTCATATATACCTATGTTGTGGTTGACTTAAGGGATTTTCAAAGATAATTTTGATTAGAGATGTTTCCTTTATACTCTTGATGTTGACTTTGGCCCCTAACTCTGCTAACATTTGTGGAGGACTTCCTGCCTACTCCCAGTTGTACTAGGTACTTTAAGTAGAGAAATAGAAGATAGGGGAGGCTCTGTGTATGGTTTTATTTATTCAGCAAATGAGCAGCCACATTCAAGATGTGGAGGACCCATTGTTGAACTAGTTCCTGGCCACGATGAGCTCAGAGTCAGCAGCCAGAGGAATGTTTAAAAATTAAGCAATTTTAAAACGCTAAGAAATGAATGAATTCTCAAACTGCCAGAAAACCTGTAGGTCATGAGTCTCACCTTCTCCCTTATTAACATGACACCTTAGTGAGACATAGTATAAGGATTCCTGAGTCATTGTATAATAGTCAAGTGAAAACTACACCTTTAAAAGTTTCATGTACTTGTTGATGAGGCGTTTCCATGGAGATTTCTATTTGGGTTCAAGTTCTCTCCTATTTGTGCAGGACTTTGGACTTCCACTAGGGCTGTCCCATCTATTACCACATCTAACATATGAAAGGGCTTCGGTAATTATTTCTTATTTATGGCTCTGACCTAGAAAACACCTTTCTTCCTCTTAAAGTTCAAGATGTGAGAAACTTTCACAGGTCAAACCTGGGCAGAACAGACAGAGTACTACAAGGGAAAGACCAAACAAGGAGGGCTGAGATGCATGTGGATGGTCACTACGGCACAGGGCTGGGGTGGTGCCTGGGGGAAGCAGGTGTTAACTGAGGAAACTCAACATTCCTGGCTGCTAGCTTAGTAAAGGTGAAATGGAGGTAAAGCTTCCTGTTTCAGACCTGGTGTGAGCCTTGCTGACACCAGCAAGATGTGGCCCCACAGACCAAAAGGCATCACTCTTTAAAGAACTACAGGGGTGGAATCAGTACTCCCAGAATTCCCTGCTGGAATTCCCCTCATTTCTGTCTCCACTTTAAAACTGCAGAAATGTATTACAACAGGCAGGCGTCATTCTCATGGAGTGATAAATTTCCAGTTATTTGCCAGATTAGTCCTGGCATTGTAGTCCCTTCCAGCCACCTGAAGGATCTCTCGGTGACTCAGTTTTAGTAATGACAACTACCATTTGTTGGCAGCTTACTAGATGCCATGCACATTCAGAACATTACATGCACTCTCCTATTTAATGTATGCAACAGTTCTATATAGTGATTGCTATTGTTATGCTTATTGTTATCATCCTAATTTTGCAGCTTAGGCAACTCTGGCTACAGAGTTTAAATAACCCAAGTTCCAAAGCTACTAAGTGGTGGGATGGGGATTCTGGGGATTCTGTCCTAGCTCAGCTCCTTTTTTTTTTTTTTTTCTTTTTTAAAGAGACAGTCTCAGTCTGTCACCCACATTGGAGTGCAGTGATACTATTATACCTCACTCAGTCTCAAACTCCTTGGCTCAACGCGATCCTCCCTCCTCAGCCTCCCAAGTAGCTAGGACTACAAGTACACACCACCATGCCTGGCTAATTTTATTTTTTTGTAGAGACTGGGCTCTGTTTCCCAGGCTGGCCTCTAAGCCCTAGCTGCAAGTGATCTTCCCACCTCAGCCTCCCAAAGTGCTGGGATTACAACCATGAGCCATCACACCCAGCCCCACAGCTCTAACATCTTAACCACCAAGGCTTAGAGCCTCTGATTTCAGTTTGGAAATGGCTTGGAAGCTCAAACTCAGAGTGTTACATCTGTTAGTCAACACCTCATGACATCCAGGGCCACAGATGAGTTTTGAAATGCGTTTGTCCCATAGTGATCACAGGCACTTTGTGTGTATGAGAGAGAAGAGGAGTAGGTCTGAAGCCAGAAACAGGAAATGGAAAAAGGGCAGTGCTGGTTTTTGAGTCTTGAACGAGTATCATGGCGTGTGGTTATCTTGTCCATCCTAGGCGTGGAGCAGAACTGGTTTTATAGAGAGGACAACAAACGCCCAGTGATGAGGCATTTGTTGGGCTTCGCTCCCAAATTATGTCCTTGTCTTGTTCCAGTTCAGTTCCTCTGTAGAACTAAATCCCTTCTTCCTGAATTCCTTCCTGTGCTACTTACCACCTCGCCTCTTCCCCCAATCCACACCCCAACACATACACACTTTTTTTTAAGACAAAAAATAGCCTTGATCTTGCTAGCGGCCAGTGTTGTCTTTGGCTGAGGAATAGTCAAGTCTCAATAAGTCAACTTATGGAACACATTTCCTCCAAGGCCTCTGACAAACCCAGACTCATCACCTTACCTTTATAACACCATAGCGTGAATGGGAAGATTCTCGCAATATATGAGAATTGTTTTCTTGCTTGTCTTTTCAGTTATTTTAAAAATTATTTATGTGTTATTATTATTTTCTTTCTTGGGATAGGATCTCACTTGGTGGCCCAGGCTGTAGTGCAGTGGTGCAAACATGGCTCACTGTAGCCTTGACTTCCAAGGCTTGAGTGATCCTCCCACCTCAGCTTCCCAAGTTGCTGGGACTACAGGTGTGCACCACCATGCCAGGCTAATTTTTGTATTTTTTGCAGAGATGGGGTTTTGCCATGTTGCTGAGGCTAGCCTTGAACTCCTGGGCTCAAGCGTTACTCCCACCTTGACTTCCCAAAGTGTTGGGATTACAGGCTTGTGCCACTGAGCTGACCTGAAATTATTTTTATTTATTTATTTATTTTGAGACAGAGCCTCACTCTGTCACCAAGGCTGGAGTGCAGTGGTGTGATGTTGGTTCACTGCAACTTAAACTTCATGGGCTCAAGTATTTCTCCTGTCTCAGCCTCCTGAGTGGCTGGGATTATAGGCATGCGCCACCATGCCCAGCTAATTTTTGTATTTTTTGGTAGAGACAGGGTTTCACCATGTTGGCCAGGCTGGTCTTGAACTCTTAGCTTCAAGTGGTCCTCCCGCCTCGGCTTCCCAAAGTGCTTGGATTACAGGCATGAGCCACCACACCTGGCCCCAACCTAGATTATTTTTTGAATTGACAAATTTATCTTTCAATTAATCTTATTCTCAATAATAATATTAATAGTTATTTACTGAGTACTTTGTATCAAGTACAGTGCTAAAGATTTTCATAATTACCTTATTTAATCCTGGCATCATACCTATACAGAATATATTAATATTATTATCCCTACTCTATAGATGAGGAAACTGAGGCTTAAAGAGGATAAACTACTTGCCTAAGGTCACATAGCCAGGAAGTCACTAAATTGGAATAGGAACTCTGTTATTTCAAACCCTCTTAAATTTCTCCTCTGACAAAGCTGATTGCAATGTACCTCTGAATGACCTTAACAATTTTTCACTTTTAATATTTCCATTAATTTTATCTTTTTCCATTTTTATTTCCAGTGTCTTCTACAAATGCTTCTGGGAACTGGAGGACCCAGTTAACCATAGGGCTGTCGGATTACGAGACTCCAGCACATTCTTCTTACACCAGCTGCTATGGCAATGTCTATAATCCTTTACCCTCTCCAAGCAGGTGAGGAAGCAATGCTCGAAAATCCTAGGAGCCTGTTCCAGTTCAAAAGAATTCAGGGATCCTAATTTACAAACGTCAGATAATCTAGTTCAGGGGTTGGCAAACTCTAGCCTGTGGGCCAACTCCAGCTGCCATCTGTTTTGGTAAATAAAGTTTCATTGGAGAATAGCCACCCTCATTCACTTACATGTTCTCTATGGCTGTTTTTGCACTATGAGGGCAGAGCTGAGTAGTTGCACCAAAGCCAAAAATATCTGGCCACCATCAGCCAAAAAGTATCTGGCCTTTAAGAAAAAGTTTGCTAACCCCTAATCTAACTCATTCAGATTTGACCCTGGTCTTCAGTATTACATTGAATTCTTGTATATTTCCTCTAATGTTTACAAAGAACTACTTGCACAGACACCAAAGCCAAAAATATCTGGCCTTTAAGAAAAAGTTTGCTGCCGGGCACGGTGGCTCATGCCTATAATGCCAGCACTTTGGGAGGCCGAGGCGGGCGGATCATGAGGTCAGGAGATCGAGACCATCCTGGCTAACACGGTGAAACCCCATCTCTACTAAAAATACAAAAAATTAGTTGGGCATGGTGGCGGGCGCTTGTAGTCCCAGCTACTCGGGAGGCTGAAGCAGGAGAATGGCGTGAACCCCAGAGGCAGAGCTTGCAGTGAGCCCAGATCGCGCCACTGCACTCCAGCCTGGGCGACAGAGCGAGACTCCATCTCCGTCTCAAAAAAAAAAAAAAAAAAAAAAAGAGAAGAAAAGAAAAAGTTTGCTAACCCCTCATCTAACGCATTCTGTTCTTTAGTCTGTACATTGAATTCTGAGTCTGAAGCTTTTATTTTTTAAATTATGGTACTTGAAATCCTATTAGTGATATGTCCATTTAAGTCTCTTTTGAAACCTTGCAGGAAAAATCTCTCTACTCCAGGAAAGGCTGTTCATACCAAGGTTCCTTAGACAGTTGGTAGGCTGGATTTCAAACATTTGCTGCGTTTTTTATCTGATCCTATGTTTGTTATGAAGCAACAGACACAGCCAGCTGTCCTGTTTGTCTGTAAAAGTAGTTCTTTGTAAACATTAGAGGAAATGTACAAGAGCAATTTGTTAAAACTGATTTTTTAAAAAATTGCAAACTCTGAATTAGTTTTTAAAAAAATTCTTGTTATGCACAGGAATTAAGTTTGAAGAGGTCGTGTCTCCCTTTTACTTTCCCACAAAAGATAATCCACACCCATGGTACCAAGAAGTAGGGCATTTTCTCCTGTTTTTAGAATGTGTAGTTTTGATTTAAGTCATAGTGCTTCAGACACAGACTACATACTAAGTTATACAGACTACAACTTATAAAGGTTTCTATGCTGGTAAATTTGAGAATTTAGCAGTTTCTTATTAAGACACTCACTGTTACAATCAAATTGGAAATATTCAGCCCCAAATGCCTTTTTTTTTCCTCCGCATTCAGTGGGAGTTTTTCTTGGCTTCAAATATTAAGCCAATTGTCTCAGCTAAACAAAGGCTATACTCAAAATAGAATTTTAATGAAAATATACTTCAGAGGATGTCAAATAGCTTGGACTTCTGTAAATAATGTTTGAAAATGAGTTAGGAGCAAGAACCAAAATGACTGGCCTAAAATTTGAGCCTAGCCTTTTCAGTTTACTTCTAACCATTTTTTAATAATATATTTGCAAATTATTTTCGTGTTTGTGTAATTTTACTTGCCTTTTTGTTGACTCAGAAATGATTATACAGTTTTTGGTGCATTACTCAGTTCTCATATCCTTAACACTACTGTAATTGGACTCAGGAAGTGTTAAGCATTTTTAGAGAAAATCTGTTTTTACCAAGTCTGCTCATATATATCAGACAGCCCAAGATGGCTTGATAGGGGATCAGAGGGGTCATAACATACAGGAAATTAGAAGCTATTTAAAGATCCCTATTGTGTGTTTGTGTATGCGTGTGCATATATGAGCTCATGGTAGAAAATTTATAATAAAGAGATAAATAAGTAGGAAATAAATTAGCCATAATTCCACCATCCAGAGAAAGCAGCTGTTAACATTTTGGCATATTTTCCCCATTTTTCTCTGTCCACTTAACATGGTTATAATGATATTGTACATACAGTTTTACATCTTATGTTGTACATGAAATTCTACATCTCCATTTTTTTAAAAACTTAACATCATAACATAACCATGTTCCCATGTGTTTTAAAACTCTTTAAACCTTATTTTATATGACCAATATGATATTCCACTCAAATATACCCTACTTTACGTAGCAGCTCCTCATTTTTTGAAGTTTTTTTTGAGAGGCTTTTAGATTTTTCCTTCTTTTTTTTATAAAAGTACTGCAGCTATTTTTTTTTTTTTCTTCCCAAGACGGAGCCTTGTTCTGTTGCCCAAGTTGGAGTGCAGTGACACGATCTCGGCTCACTGCAACCTCTGCCACCCAGGGTCAAGTGATTCTCCTGCCTCAGCCTCCCAAGTAGCTGAGATTACAGGTGCATACCACCGCATCTGGCTAATTTTTGTATTTTTAATAGAGACAGGGTTTTGCCATGTTGGCCAGGCTGGTCTTGAACTCCTGACCTCATGATCCACCCGCCTCAGCCTCCCAAAGTGCTGGGATTACAGGTGTAACCCACGGCGCCCAGCCCAGTATTGCAGCTGTTAACATCTTTGTCCAAAATATTTGTCTGAATCCCAGATTATTTTCCTAGGATATATTCCAATAAGTAGAGTTAATGGATTAAATTGAAAAGTGTATTTTTTTAAGCTCTTGCCTTCCAGAAAGATTTGCAACTTTGCCTTTCCAGCCACGGAGATACAGAAGTACTTATTTCCATCCATTTGTTTATTTAGGATTCTTTTTAGGATACAGTCTGATCAATTTAACCTATTAACAGGGCAAGGATAATAACAATCATTCATAAAGCTTTATAAATTTGCTCTAAAATTCTGTAAATTGTTTTTATGAAATCATGATTTTTAAAATAAGAGAGAAATTAGGTGTTAACGATAAAAATGAAAAACTAGATTTTCCCGTTAAGCCAAAGATTTGAAATGCATAGCAATATATTAGTGTTTTGTTGTTTTTTTAAATAAAGTGTATATTATTTAAAGATCCTTTGCCCTAGAGTATCCGGGTCTTAAAATTATAGAAAGGTACTAATTTTTACCAATAAAATTTTTTTTCTAGTACAATTGGCATAATTGTCATTAGCATAAACTTTCCGAAGTAGAAATGTTGAAGCTACCTAGTATATAATACAGTCAAATTCTTGGCTCTACTGCTGCCAACTGTATTTTCAAATAACTTTTTTCTTTCACCTCCTATTTTCCATTCCCTTTCTCCTTTCCTATCTAACTCTATTACTAGGCAAAACCAAGGGCTTCTATCCCCAAGAATGGTTGTGTCTCCAGAAGTGAGATCAGTTGTAAATTCTCTTTTGCTAAGTGTAGCCAGCTGTAGTAAGTACAGTACCTCCAATCTGTGTGTTGCTTCTTGCATAGCAGGAGTTTTGCTTGCACTGACTGATGTGTGAAATTATGAAATCTGGCTTTGTTTTTTATGTTACATGAAAACACTAAAAACCTTTATTTCCAAAGCTCTTCTTCCAAAGACTTTAAAAAAAAAATCACCTTTACTAAAATACTTTGGAATGTAAAATAAAAAAGAAATCAACTAACTGTCTAATCTCTCTTAACCTACCGTTACAATAATGGGGTTTTGCTTATCGGAATGGTTTGTATGATAGGATGCTCTCATTTGGAATTGCCATCTAAATATGCGTATGATTTTTAAATGTGATGCTGTGTCCTGGGTCACTTCCAATTTATGCCTGACCCATAAACCCCAGGGATATCATATATGTCCCTATGTGCCCCTGCCACCTTCTAAATATATTATTTTGTCCCTGAGGAAAGCATCTAGCATATTCCCTCAATTCGAAGAGTACTTAAAATGTGATTGTCACAATATACTTTTTAAAAAGTTAAAAATATAGCTGTCACACAAGTAAAAATGGACATGGGCCGAAGATTTGTTTAACTCATTAATAAGTGAACTAGCAGGATGGTAAAGCTGGTTCAAAGAGACTCCGAGACACTGAAAGAGAGAATGTTGGAAAAGACTACTAAATTAGATACAAAACCAGTTAATGTCCTATAGTTCAATAAAACTGTAACCATAATCTTTTTTACTAGACAAGTTATTTGTATTTCTTTGAGACAAAAATCTACAAGTTAACATGTAACTTAATACAGTCTGGGTCCTGATCAATGAAACACAAGTTAAACAAAGGCATATCTTTCCAGAGAATTAAATAATCCTTTTTATGGGCCTGTTAAACAATGCTCCAGTATGACATTGAAAGAACATGCAGTCACCCTTCTCCTTTCCCTTATCTCTACATTTTGGGAAATTTTTCTTAACAGTGCTTCCTACTAACTTCTTTAAATGTAGTAGTCTTTGTGCTGTGGGGACAAAAATATGGCCACAAGTAGTAACTTTTCTGGTTTTCTTTAATAGACAATACACAGAAATCAGTCAACTGGATGGTACAGATGGAAACCAGCTGGAAGACAACCTGGAGAGTAGTGAGCAGAGACTCTTTTGGCATGAAGATTCAAAGCCTGGAACATTAGTCTGAACTGCAGTTGGACCTCCTGACCAAGCACTGCGTTCTCACACTAGTGTGCCTTGCAAATTGTATTTGTCTTCCGAGAGGATGTTCGTTTTAGAAACCTAAAGACATCAAAGGTTGAAGAGAAGACTTAGTTGCCCTGGAAGTGAATCAGTGAATCACACACCAAGCCCCACAAAGCCCCTAAAGGAGGATTTGGCCTTTCAAACTCTAGGCACTAACGTAACTGTAGGGTCTGCCCACATGTTGAAGTATTGCCAAGAGAGGACTCAGTGTGAAGCCTTCATCAATAGCAAGCACTTTTTAAGGGAGTAAAAGTTGTTAAAGGCAAACCTCAAAAACATGAAAGGGCATTCAGGATGTCCCATGGCAATAAGAACAGGGGAAATCTCAGAGCACAATTCAGCAGGATGAGAGAAGGGGAACCAGAAGCTCCGGAGTCATTGCTCACTTCAGAGTTTGAATTCGTGAGCTGACAAAGAGTAACATGCTCTTTCTACACAGACATGGACAATTTAGACAGTATTGGAAAATTACTTGAAGCTGGATTTTCATGAAGTTCTGAATGAGTGTAAATGTTTTTTAGGATACTATAAAGAGTGATGTTTTTCATAAGCACCATAAAATGGGTTCTGGAAAAACTGATTACCTTAGCATCCTGTAATATAACTTATGGTAGCAGATTGGGGAAAATGAAGCAGCCCACTGAATAATTGACAAAGTCTGCTTGGAGAACATTCTAAGGTACAATATCATGGAGCTCCTTTTTCCTTTCTCCACTAATTGCGTGATGAGCTATTGTTCTGGCTGTTAATTCTCCAACTCGGCTGTCATTTGAAGTGGCAGACTTAATATGGAAAGTTTTTATAATTATGAGTTTGAAAAAGCATTTTAAGATGATACAGAAAGTATCCAAAACAACAGAAAAAAAAAGCCACGTCATTTTAGATGAATTGCGTGCCTTAAAATGGTGAACGTTAGAAAATTAAACAAGTCTGGATTCCACAAGTAGTTCCAAGTCACCAAGTGACAAAAACAAGGTTAACATTAAAAAAGAAAAACAACAACAACGACAAAAAGCTCCAAGCTGCAGTGGATTTAATTATGAGGCTAAAACTACCTCATACTTTCCTTGGAAGAACTAATTAGCTATGGTTTATTGTAGGGTTTTGTTTGTTTGTTTTTTAAAGCAAATGATTTCCATATTCCAGATTGATCTTTTTTGTCATCTTTGCTTCAAAATTACATAAAAGGTGCTCCTTTCCCCCTTCTTTTATACAAGTTTCTTGTTCATATTGTGAATAGAAAAGTTTCTGAACAACTTTTTTGGAACATTTTCTATCTATATTCCAAAGCATGTAATATATACATAAAAACGATTTGTTAAACTGGTCCTTAGTCATTTGTATAATTAGAAATGAAGTTTGGGAAAAAATTTTGGAAAAAAGACAAGCAAAAAAAAATAACTTATTCCTTTTTTGCATATTTGTATAGCCTTCTAGAATCAGAAATAACCTTTTTGCATATTCTTTTATTGTTCTGACTTTTCAAGACCTATTATTTTTTTACATAGGTCAATAAACAAAAGGTGTGCTACTGAAAATGTTTACGTTTTCTTCCATTTATGTCAGGGGTTCATGTGAAGCAGGTCGCAGTGCTCTACTTCAAGTAATCATATTGGGCAAGGCTTCGGATTTTTATTTATAGTATTACCGTATTTTATTAATTCCGGGATGTACATTTTTAAATATTTACATTAAAAACATGGTTCATCTTTTTATTGATGGCATATTCTACTTGAATTGGCAGTTTTTTCTTAATAGTACATTAAAAATAATGCTGTGTCTTACAATAAAGTTGCCTTAGAATTGATGAAATGCGGTAGTTTGTCTCACTGAGGATGACTGGTGAGAACTTTTAGGTTTTTTAATCTTGGGAATGTTGTTTATTTGTAGCAAGTAATTTATACTAATTTCACAGACTGGCAAACAGGTCTTCTAAATTCAAGAAATTAGTTCTCTGACATCCTTTAATCCTACATAATGTGGAGAAGGGAGTGGAAATGAAATATATTTCCATACATGTATCTTGCATAAAATAACATTTTTCTGTTCCTGAAATAGTATGGTTACACTTGCAAGCATGCCTTGAAAGGGCAAATATAACTTGGCTCCCACAGAGGAAAAGAAGGTATAGAAATGGAAGCTCAGGGCCAGGCATAGCGGCTCACACCTGTAATCCCAGCACTTTGGGAGGCCGAAGTGGGAGGATTGCTTGAGCTCAGGAGTTCAAGACCAGCCTGGACAACATGGTGAAACCCCATCTCTATGAAAATACAAAAATTAGCCAGTCATGGTGATGTGTGCCTGTAATCTCAGCTACTTGGGAGGCTGAGTTGGGAGGATATCTTGAGCCCAGGAGGCGGAGGTTGCAGTGAGCCAGGATCGTGCCACTGCATTCCAGCCTAGGCAATAACAGACCTTGTCTCAAGAAAAAAAAAAAAAAAAAAAAAAGAAAGAAATGGAAGTTCAGCAATCCTACTGCACGGTTTTCTTCGTCTCTTTTGAAAAACATTTCTCAACCGCATTGGTATTAAACCAATTAAACTACGTTATTTATTAAAAGCCAAAAGTGACAAAAGTACATTATTCAACATGTACGTTTCCTCTTTTTTATTACAAAATACCATGGTTAAATGCAAAACCAAAATAGTACATAACAAAAACATAATCGTGCCCATTAGCCGAACACTCTCAGATATAATAGTTAATTTATTGTATATTTGTTTGGATTTTTTTCTATGCATATAGTAATTTTTTTAAAGTCCAGCATATTACAAGTACAGTTTTACAACATTTTTTTTTGTTTGTTTTGTTTTCTGCCTAATATATCTTGGGCCTCTGTATCAAGACATACTGATCTACCTCATAAAGATATATGTTTAACAAGGTGGATTTTTAAAATTGCCTCACCCTACTAGATGTTTATCTATTTTTCTATATTTGACAAAAATTTTCAAAATTCTTCCTTGTACTCACAAAAGCTTAAATATTACAAGAAATAAAGATTCCGGAATTGTTTTAAACTATTAGTTTGGTCTGTTCTTAGGAACAAAGGCTCAGACTAAAGAGTTACTACAAAGGTGAGTCCTTAAAGAGCTTCCAGAACTGGAAGAATGACTTTCTTCGGTACAATAGGCAAGTTTAGATTATTTTCTAGAGTAGTGCTTTTCAAAGTAGTGAAAGACCAATTTTTAAAGATTCCAATCCATTGTGTACCTATAGTTTTATAAAGTAAAATAAAAGCAAATTACTAGAGGAGAAAAGCTAATTCAGAAAAAAATTGCTAGATTATTGAAAAAACGTAAGAAAATACACATCCCTATGTATTATTAGATTCAGCAGACATAAAACTACTCTGTCAAGTTGGAATCAAAGTTTCTAAACACCAACTCTCAATTTCTGTACTTACCTTGCACCACGTTACAGACCACCCTTTAATAAGTGCTGACTTGGAGTTATGTCAAGGGAGGTACTTCATCCATGCTTATCAAGACAAGACAAACAGTAGTTGTCTCCTGTTATGTCACAGGGCATGGAGATGCAGTCCATTTCCAAAGACAAAATCTTTTGACATGTACACAAAGCCCAGAAGGTAATGAAAAGCTTCACTCCTTTTTCAGCTCAAAAGTTTAGCGAGCCTCTTACGTCCTGTTTCTCTCTTTTCTTCTGTTTTTTTTTTTTTTTTTTTTTTTTTTTTTTTTTTTTTAAGATGGAGTCTCGCTCTGTGGCCCAGGCTGGAGTGCAGTGGCACGATGTCAGCTCACTACAACCTCTGCCTCCCAGGTTCAAGCAATTCTCCTGCCTCAGACTCCCTAGTAGCTGAGATTACAGGTGTGCACCACCATACACGGCTAATTTTTGTATTTTTAGTAGAGATGGGTTTCACCATGTTGGCCATGCTGGTGTCGAACTCCTGACCTCAAGTGATCTGCCCTCCTTAGCCTCCCAGAGTGCTGGGATTACATGTGTGAGCCACCAGGCCCGGCCTGTTTCTCTGTTTTCATATGCCCCTCCTCTGGACTTCCCTGGGTCTTTTCTACTACTCTGTATCCCTTCCACCCCCATCCTTGTGCCACTTTGGAGTAGAAAAAAGAAAGTATGTCCTGCTGCAAAAACGAGTTGGCTTTTGTTGAATTCTAGTTCAATGTGCTCCAGGCTGGTGTGCAAAAGTGCTTTATATGTATTTTCTCATTTAATCCCCACAACAGCCTAATGGGGTGTATAGTGCTAGATAATCTCCATTTTACAGAGAAAGAATCTGAGAATTAGAAAGGTCATGTAATTTACCACTAGTAGGAGAAAAGCAGGAAGTAAATCCTGAGTTGGCATACTCCAAATACTAAACTATGAATTCCTCATTCCGTGAATGCTATCCAGGAACAACTTCTCCATAGGAAGAGTGAAAGTAGCAAACATAACTTTTTAAACGGATTAATGAAAATTGAATGTATACATGCTAAGCCCAGTTCTCCTTGCTCATTGTTACTTCTTAAAGGTAACAGTCCTAATTTTCTTTCATTTACTAGTGGCAGAAGGGCTGAGTTAGGTCTAAATCCAAGCACAGGTCAAAATAACCCTTACCTAGGAAACTACCCAGTTTCAGGTGGTGCCCACTGGGCTGAATTATTGATTGCTAGTGGATCAAGTACATTATTTATTTCTAGTGGATCAAGTACATTTCTTAAATTGTTTTCTAGTCAATAAAATGTCTTACCCTACTGAATATACTTGTTAAAATCACAGATAACGATAATGAACTAAATATTGATCAGTGACACTGTAAGTATCTATTGATCCTTCCCCATTTTGAATTGTTTAGGGGCAGTGTGATAATGTGAATTGTGAAATGCTCTTCTACAATGCCCTTGAGAAACCCTCTCAAAATTCAGCCCTATCAGATGTATGGACCTGTGGGCTTCACCTTGATTCTCTTTGGAAAGAGTGCATCTGAGATTAATCTCAGATTGGAATCTGAGCCCACCATCAGAGTGTCCTGATACCACTGTCATCCTTTTCTGCCTTTGATGATTCAGGGAGAATCTGTCACCTCTGCAAAAGAAAATAGGAAGTGTGCGAAAGATCCATTTTGGCAATACTTACCTGATTGCTCTTCTTAACACTAAACACACACACAAACACATTCTATTTCCTTTTGCTTTTGAATATCAGATGCCTTGGCAAGAATGGTGTACTGGGACTAGGAGGGGGATGGGAGTTCACCTAACTTCTGAGTTTCATATAATTTTCTCTTCTTGAATGGTTATAACATTCATGTGAAGTACCCAAGGTTTAAAAGATCTGTGATTTTTCAACTGGGACTGTACCACACCCTGTGGGGCATCTGGAGACATGTTCTGGCTTCTCCTAATGATTTGAAGGGAACGAGGATCATTAAATATACTGCACCTAGGTGTGGTGGCTCATGCCTGTAATCCCAGCACTTTGGGAGGCCAAGGCAGGTGGATCACTTGAGGTCGGGAGTTCAAGACCAGCTTGGCCAACATGGTGAAACCCCATTTCTACTAAAAATACAAAAATTAGCAAGGCGCGGTGGCATGCGCCTATAATCCCAGCTACTTGGGAGGCTGAGGCAGGAGAATCACTTGAACCCAGGAGGCAGAGGTTGTGGTGAGCCGAGATTATACCACTGCACTCCAGCCTGGGCAACAGAGCGAGACTCTGTCTCGAAAGAAAAAAACCATGTGTCCAACAAACATTAGGATACCAACTATGTGGCAGTCAGTCACTGTCCTAGTCACTGGGGATACGATGGTCCCTGCTTTCCTGAAGCTTACAGGCCAATAGGGGAGAAAAAGAAGTAACCTCTCTCAGTAAGTTAACATGACAATCCTATGAGAGCCAAGGGTGGTGAGAGGGGTGGGGAGCTATAGCTGAGATTGTAGGGACACAATGGGCCCCTTTGGAAAGGTGATGCTTAAGCTTAGACTTGAGGATTGGTAAGAGAAGATACAATTAAGCAAAAAGAATAGAAGCTCTCTAGGGTTTAAGAGAATGACATATAACATTCGCCAAGGCTGTAAAGCCAGGAGAAGCTTGGCCAGTTTTAGAAACTAAAAGAATGTGAAGACAGATTATTATGCCAGGATTAAAGAAATCTATCAAGGTAAGAAGACAGAAAGCTGCCATTTTTTACTTCTCACCATAAACAGTGGGTTACAGGCATACATTACCCATCTAATTCTCCCTACAACTGTGCAAGAAAAATGGTCTTATCCCCAGATGAGGATATAAAAAGGGAGGTTCAGAAAGTTTAATATTCCTTTGGTTACATGGCCAAACAGTAAGTAAGTGGTAAAGCTAAAATTCAAACCTACGTCTGTTTGGCTCCACATCTCATGTTATTTGATTTGATTTGATTTGATTTGATTTGATTTGATTTGATTTGATTTGATTGAGACAGAGTCTTGCTCTGTTGCCCAGGCTGGAGTACAATGGCATGATCTCCGCTCAATGCAACCTCTGCCTCCTGGGTTCAAGCAATTCTCCTGCCTCAGCCTCCCTAGTAGCTGGGATTACAGGCACCCGCCACCACGCCCAGCTAATTTTTGTATTTTTAGTAGAGACGGGGTTTCACCATGTTGGCCAGGCTGGTCTCAAACTCCTGAGCTCGTGACCTGCCTACCTCAGCCTCCCAAAGTGCTGGGATTACAGGCATGAGCCACCACACCTGGCCATCATGTTCTTTATTAACCATGACATTATAAAAATGCAATTGCTCACCAGGTGCAGTGGCTCATGCCTGTAATTCCAGCACTTGGGGAGGCCAACATAGGAAAACTGCTTGAGCCCAGAAGTTTGAGCCCAGCCTGGGCAACATAGTGAGACCCCGTCTATACAAAAAAATAAAAAATGAGCCAGGTATGGTGGTGCACACCTGTAGTTTCAGCTATTTGGGAGGCTGAAGTGGGAGATCATTTGAGCCTAAGAGGTCAGGGATGCAGTAAGCCATGATCATGCCTCTGCACTCCAGCCTGAGTGACAGAGCAAATCCCCATCTCAAAAACAAAATAAAACCAAAAAAAGAAAACAGCAATTGCTCAACAACCACCTCTCTTAAATGGAAATCAATGAAAATGAAAAGGGAAGGGAAGAAGCAACTAAAGTAGGCCTGTGGAGGAAGAAAGAGGGAAGGTCAAAGGGAAGGTTGGAAATCAGACTAGCAGGGTGAAAATAACCAGGGGAAGAAAAGACAGCCTAGGGCAGCCTGCAGCTGGTGGATTTTCAAGCTGTGCAATTGCAACACTCCTGATCAGGGCATGGCTTGAAGATATTCCTGATGCAGGGCCCATTAACACTGACTGGGCTGGAATTACCTGTGCAGACAGGCTGGAGGAAAGGAGCAGTGGTGTTTGTTTAAGGAATGTACTTGGAAGACAGGAGATGTAGTTAACTAGATGAGCATCACAGCACCTGGCCTCTTCTTCCCAACACACACATAACTTCACCAGAGAAACCATTCTCTATGTGACCCTCCTCATTTTCAGAAGAAAATGGCTTCATAAGAAGATCAGGGCTGGGTACAGTGGCCCAAGCCTGTAATTCCAACACTCTGGGAGGCCAAGGCAGGAAGATCGCTTTAGGCCAGGAGTTTGAGACCAGCCTGGGCACTATAGCAAGATCCTGTCTCTACAAAACAATAAAAAGGAGTTGGGAGTGGTGGCATGCCCCTGTAGTCCAAAATACTCTGGAGGCTGAAATGGGAAGATCACCGGAGCCCAGGGATTCAAGGTTACAGTGAGCTATGATCACACCACTGCACGTCAGCCTCGGTGACAAAGTAAAACCCTGTCTCTAAAAAGAAAAAAGGAAAGATTAAGGATTGGAAAGCAATGATGAGAAATATATCATCAAGAATACTGACAGTCCAAGACTGGGAAGGGCATTTCCAGTAGCCCTTCAATTATGATGGAAGAAGCCTTTCAGGGATCTGATAGTGGGTGTCTAAGCAGACATCCCCATCTTTATAAAATAGTGGTTAAATGTGTAGGCTTTGAAGTCATGCAGACCTGGAGACAGACTGCTGTGCTTGGAATATTTCCTGGCCTTTCTACTGGCTGCTTATATGAACTATGGGAAGTTTCCTGACCTCCCTGGGCCTCAGTTTCCTCTCTAGTACATATCTCACAAGGATATTGTGTGGGCTGAACAAGATAATGCACCTAACCAGCTCAGCATAACATCAAGTCTCTAGAAGGTATTTCATGATATAAACTATTTCCTGAGGGAGAAAAGTCAGAAGATGTTGTTGAATATTAAGATGATGTTTGGAGGATTTGCACTGCCTTAGTTTAGCCACTGAAATGACAATACTAAACTAACTCATCATTGTTGAGGGCTGATTCACGTCTCAGGCACTGCTGTAGGTACTGGGAACACTTTTTTCTTATTTATTTATTTAGTTTTATTTTATTTTTATTTATTTATTTTTTGAGACAGAGGCTTGCTCTGTTGCCCAGGCTGGAGTGCAGTGGCACAATCTTGGCTCACTGCAACCTCTGCCTCCTGGGTTCAAGTGATACTTCCACTTCAGCTTCCCGAGTAGCTGGAATTACATACATGCACCACCATACCTGGCTAATTTTTGTATTTTTAGTAGTGACGGGGTCTCATCATGTTGGCCAGGCTTGTCTCGAACTCCTGACCTCAAGTGATCCTCCCACCTTGACCTCCCAAAGTGCTGTGATTACAGGTGTGAGCCACCATGCCCGGCCACTTTTTTCTTGTTTAATCCTCACAGCAAGTTTGCAATTATTAATTCCAAACAGAAGCTCAAGAAGGTTAAGTAGTTTGCCCAAGTTACATAGCTAGAAGGTACACAGGCCTGGATTCCAATTCACAAATGTATAAGACAGAAACTTTGTAAAGCATGAATTTGTTCCACTCTGGAGTCCACTGTGCAGGGAGGTTTCACACAGGTCTAACCTGAGGAATCAAACTGATTAAGGCATTTTCCTAACAGTTCAGCTACAGCTCTTCTGCTTAGTCAGGACTAGGACAAGCACTTGAGGCTTGTCCTAGGACAGCCCTGCTGCTGGCTCAAAGACAGGTCCCTACCTTTTCTATGTTCATATGAATGCAAACAAGCCAGCCAGTAGGACGGTCAGATTTAACAAATGCAAATACCGGAGGCCAATTAAATTTGAAAAATAGCTCTAACCACCAAATTTTTGTAACTTAATTTTTTAAAAAGCTGAATATAGGACATTTAAGGCATCCTGGAAAAAAAATCCATACAGGACACCAAGCAAAATCATTAAAACAGGACATGTCCTGTAGATTCAAGACACCCAGGAAACCTAGTTGCCAGGCCCCTGCTCAGGAGTAAGTAGCACAATAATAGATGTTTGAGAAACCCCACACCCTTGGAGATTGTAGGCTGAGCAAATGGGTGTCATATCCTTCCCATCCACAGAGAAGTTGGCCCTGCTTGATCCCAGAGCTTTCTTCAGACTGAAAACCTTCTAGGACAGGCCCAGTTTGGTCTGTAATCATGCACAGAATATATAGAAACTCCCCTGAAAGAGTTTAAGAAAACTCAAACTCTTGAGAAAACCTGAGAAACCTGAAAAACGCCTGAGAAAACCTTTTCTTTCTTCTTTTTATTTATTTAGAAATCTGTTACAATTTGGACTAAGTGGGCACAGTTTTAAAGGTTCTTAAAACAAACATTTGGGTTCCATCACATCTACATAACATTGGTCAAGAATCCATCCATCCATCAAATCTATTTGCAGCCAATCAAAATCTCAGTCCTTTAGGACTGTATTAAAATCCAGCGATCAACCTGTAGCCAAGGAGCTGAATATTCATAGAGAAAATCACATAAGCAAGCAGATTTATTTTATTTTAGAGTCATGATCACCATCTCACACGGACACTCAACGCTGCTATATTTCTCATAAATGTGCACTTCCATGTCACACAACTATTTGAGAAACCCTTTTCTAAAAGTAGTTTTTCTCTGGCCTAGAATTCTGGAGCTTGGTCAATGAGGACACCTAGAGGCCTATCTGGGTTAATGCAGGCAGGAGTTGCTGAGTCTGAATTCATACTTTAATTCAACACGAGGTGTACAAACAAGTTTCAGCAGCCCTGCAGAAAAAAGCAAACAAAACTTAATTTCTAATGCCCATCAACTCCATTTACTAGCTATGTCTTCTAGGGGAAGTAGCTTAAATTTTTAAAAATGTCACTTTTTATAAAGTGGAAATAATCGTAACAATCTCCTAAAATTTTAAGGATTCAACAAAATGATGTACTTCAGGAGCTTAGCACAGTGCCTGGGACAAAGTGAGCCCTTATAAATGTTTGTTGTCCTTATTGTTTCTAATGGGATACTACAAGGAAATGGAATATAAGAGGGTTAATAACATTTAACATTGTTTCATTTAAATATTAATTAAATTAAATACAAACATTAAATATTAATATTTAACAGTCATTGAGTGCCAAGGCCAGGCTTAGGGTTAAATGAGTGAGGTACCTGCCGAAGTGCAAATTTTAAGAGCGCACCCGAAAACGTGGTTGACAAGATAAATAATATTTCAATGCAGTCTTTTGAAAAAATCCAACTTCACGCAATTTTTTCCCATGATTAAAAAAATGTCACCCCAGCACAGTAGCTCACACCTGTAATCCCAGCACTATGGGAGGCTGAGGTGAGTGAATTGCTTGAGTGTAGGAGTTTGAGATCGGCCTGGGCAACATGGTGAAACCCCGTCTCTACAAAAAAAAACACAAAATTTAGCTGGGTGTGGTGATGTGCGCGTATGATCCCAGCTACTCAGGATGCTGGGGGAGGATCACTTGAGCCTGGGAGGTTGAGGCTGTAGTCAGCCGAAATCGTGCCACTGCACCCCAGCCTGGGTGATAGAGCCAGATCTTGTCTCAAAAATAAATAAAATTGAAAAAAGTCAAAATTTTATATAAATACGAGTTCAGTATTACCGATTTTTCCTTTTGCGTCAGACTCCAATATGACTCAGAACTGCACTGCACTGAGTTAACACTTCATCTTAAATAACCAGAGGAGATATCTTTCTCCCATCTGTAAAATAGACGCCCATTTTACAGATGGGAGGGGGAAAGCAAGCCTGGAGGAACTGCTCAGACACACTGCCCAAGGTCACATGATCAAGTAGAGGGTCAGAAATCAAGCCCAAATCAGAATAATTCTAAAGCTCATTCTTTCCCCTTTCTCTCTCACACATACCTGTCCTTCACCATGTGACTTAGGCTACAGTTTTTCTATTCCAGGGTGTAATTTTACCAGTGCTGTAATTAGATTTGCCAGGTGAGCAGATAAAAATTTAAAATGCCCAGTTAATGTTAAGCTGTGCTGGCGATGACATTTTCCCTGAATTAAATGTTAGAAAGATATCGTCACACTGCATTCTCAATTCCTTTGTTGTAGAGCATTCTCTGAACTATCAACCACAAAATCATAGTTGGATCTGATTTTTGACCTGACATCAAATGCTGCCTTTGTGGTTAACAGACTATCTAAAGCTTAACTAAATTACTGAGGTGGGGCTATCAACAAGCCATATGTAACAGTGTTTTTCACCATGTTATATATAATAACACAGTGGTCAGTCTGCATAATGCAGAGATCTAACTGATGAAGATCAGCTTTCCTTCTGTAGTTTAAAAAGTTTAGGCATGGGCTGGGTGTGATGGCTCACACCTGTAATCCCAGCACTATGGGAGGCCGAGGTGGGCGGATCACCTGAGGTCAGGAGTTCGAGACCAGCCTGACCAACATGGGGAAACCCCATCTCTACTAAAAATACAAAATTAGCAGGACATGGTGGTACATGCGTGTAATCCCAGCTACTCGGGAGGCTGAGGCAGGAGAATTGCTTAAACCCAGGAGACGGAGTTTGCAGTGAGCGGGGATCGCACCATTGCACTCCAGCCTGGGCAACAAGAGTGAAACTCCATCTCAAAAAGACTAACGAACAAAAAAATTAGGCATGCTTTCCATGGTGCATCCTACCCTTGTAATAAGATCCAGCTTCGATATCAGGAAGCAGAAGATAGAATGAAGGTTTTCCTTGGAAAAAAGCATGGATTCAAATGCATCGCATTCTAGTAATGTTTATTGATAAAAGAGTAAAATGTTCAGGCATTTATGCTTACATTGCTTCTCCTTTTTCTTCAACCATTATACCAAAGTTACTTTTTTTTTTTTTTTTTTTTTTTCTGAGACAAAGTCTGGCTCTGTCACCCAGGCTGGAGTGGTGCAATGGCACGATCTCGGCTCACTGCAACCTCCACCTCCCGGGTTCAAGCAATTCTCCTGCCTCAGCCTCCGGAGTAGCTGGGATTACAGGCATCCGCCACCATGGCCGGCTAATTTTTGTATTTTTAGTAGAGACAGCGTTTCACCATTTTGGCCAGGCTGGGCTCAAACTGCTGACCTCAGGTGATCCACCCACCTCGGCCTCCCAAAGTGCTGGGATTACAGGCCTGAGCCACCCCACCCAGCCAAGGTTACTGTGTTTCAAGATAACTAGATGTAACAAATGAAACATATCTGAGTTACTTCAAAATAGATTGTTTGCTTTAATTCTTAGAAAAATAAAAAATAAAATTCCCAGTTAAATTTGACTTTGGGATGGTAGCTGGGACCACAGGCGCACATCACCAAATCATTGTTAGGATTCGTAATGTCCCATGCATGTCTTTATTTTATCTGACAGTCTATCCTCCCCTGCCTCATCACCCAGGTGACCAGACATTTTAATAAACAGAGCTCACGATTTCAAAATGTTATGGATCTGCTGGATCAGGCCTGCCATTTCTGTGCTGAGCACAGATCAGAAATAGTAAATGGCTCTAACAGAGTAACAAGGGCCAAAGAAATATTGAAAACTGGCTTGGTATCTATGTAGGCTTAAAAGCAAAGGGACGGTGTGAGCTTCATTTGGCTTTCCCAAATCCCCTTTCTGGCCTTTGCTGAGATGCTTTGGTATGAGAAATTACAAGCCTGACTTAGAATAAAATACAGAAAATTCTTTAGGTGCACTGTGTTGTTTGGCCTGCAAATGTTATTTGTTATTTTTTAGGATCTCCAGCTCCTGGCAACGTAAATTATTTTGTTGGCAGAACAATATTCTGAACCCCAATGATTTGCTTCCATTCACAGAGCAATGAAAATGATTGAGAATGTGTGAAATTCATTCTTTAAAAATACTAGTGATCATGCTGCCTAACTGAAGCTGAAACATTAGCAAGGTTCAACTCCTTGGAGTTCAGTGAATGGAATATATTGTCAACAATTGTTTCTTCTAATAATGTTGCTCCATGCAGATTAAGAGAGGGAAACATTTCAAGGCTAGCCTGAACTTTAGCTATTATTTAAGAAAAAAATTGAGAAATTAGTTCTTTTCGGGGGGGGACGAGGGGGTTGTTTGTTTTTTTGAGACAGAGTCTCACTCCGTTGCCCAAGCTGAGGTGCAGAGGTGTGATCTCGGCTCACTGCAACATCCGCTTCCCAGCTTCGAGCAATTCTCCGCCTCAGCCTCCTGAGTAGCTGGGATTACAGGCGTGCAACACCACGCCTGGCTAATTTTTGTATTTTTAGTAGAGATGGGGGTCTCACCATGTTGGTCAGCTGGTCTCAAACTCCCAGCCTCAAGTGATCCACACGTCTCAGCCTCCCAAAGTGCTGGGATTACAGGTGTGAGCCACCACATCTGGCCTCAACTTTTATTTTAGATGCAGGGAGTACATGTGCAAGCTTGTTACATGGGTATATTGTGTGATGCTGAGTTTTGGGGAAAAATTGATCCTGCCACCCAGGTAGTGAGCATAGTATCCAACAGTTATTCAACAGTTGCCCCCCCTTTCTCCCTCCCTCCTTCCATCCTCTAATAGTCCCCAATATCTATTGTTGCCATCTTGATGTCCATGTGTATCCAATGTTTAGCTCCCCTTTCTAGGTAACAACATGCAGTATTTGGTTTTCCATTCCTGCATTAATTTGCTTAGGATAATGACCTCCAGCTGCATCCATGTTGCTGCAAAGGACTTGATTTTGATCTTTTTTATATTGGCATAGTATTCCATGGTGTATATGTACCACATTTTCTTTTTCCAATCCACTGTTGAAGGGCACCTAGGCTGATTCCGTGTCTTTGTTATTGTGAATAGTGCTGCGATGAACAGACAAGTGCATGTGTCTTTTCTGTAGAGCAATATATTTTCTTTTGGGTATATAGCCAGTAACAGGACTGCTGGATTGAATGGTAAGTCTGCTTTAAGTTTTTTGAGAATCAATTTCTGATTCACACTCTGCCTATCCATCTAGTGAAACTTTCCTAGCTCCCTCTCAAATAAATACATTCTCCCCAGAGCACAGCCTACCACTTTACATGGTCTACCAATTTCAGGATTTCTGGGATCTGTGTGTGAGTTCCTTTCCTAGTAGACTTCTCTCCTACGCTGCAAGCTCTTAGAAGTCAGGGCCCATGTGTTATCTATACATGTGTTCCACACAGAATTTAAAACCTACTTCCCTTTCCAGCAAGTGCTTATGGAATTGTGTAGTATATACATACTGCATTAGTTTGCTAGGGCTGTAAACAAAGAACCATAAACTGGGTGACTTAAACAACAGAAATGTATTATCTCACAGTTCTAGGGTCTGAGATCAAAGTATTGGCAGGGTCGGTTCTTCCGAAAACGTGAGGGAGAATCTGCTCCGTGCTTCTCTGTGCCAGCTCCTGGTGTTTTGCTGGCAATCTTTGGTGTTCTTTGGCTTTTGTAGAAGCGTCACCCGATCTTTATCATCATCTTCACATGGTGGTCTCCCTGTGTGGGTCTCAGTGTTCTTTTTTTTTTTTTTTTTTTTTTTGTAAAGACACAGCCATATAAAGATACAACCTGGCTCATGCCTGTAATCCCAACACTTTGGGAGGCCAAGGCGGGTGGATCACCTGAGGTCAGGAGATCGAGACAAGCCTGGCCAACATGGAGAAACCTTGTCTCTACTAAAATTACAAAAAATTAGCCAGGAGTGGTGGCATGCATTTGTAGTCCCAGCTACTCAGGAGGCTGAGGCAGGAGAATCGCTTGAACCCAGGAGGCTGAGGTTGCAGTGAGCCAAGATGGTGCCACTGTACTCCAGCCTGGGTGACAGAGCAAGACTCAGTCTCAAAAAAAAAAAAAAAAAAAAAAACCTAATTGGTTTAGGGCTCATCCTAATGACTTCATTTTAATGTGATTATATCTATAAAAACCTAATTTCCAAATAAGGTCACATTCTGAGATACCGGGGTTAGGAATCCAACAGATCTTTTGTGGGGACACAAATCAACTATAATACACACCAAATGAAGAGGAAAATTTGTCCAAATCTGAAGGCAATTTAGAATTCTGAAATAAAATTATGCACTAACAGACACAGACACAGAGAGAAAATGAGTCATTTGACTATGGATGCAGCTATTGGAGTAACACATCCACAAGCCAAGGATGCAAGGATTGTCAGAAGCCACCGAAAACTAGGAAAGAGAGGCGTGGAGCATGTTTTTCTTTTTAGCTTCTAGAAGGGATCAACCCTGCCCACATCTTGATTTTGAACTTCTGGCCCCAAAATGCTGAGAGAATAAATTTCTCTTTCATCTCTCTCTCTCTCTCTATCGAGAGAGACTAACATGTTCTGGTTGTTTTAAAAATCTCTACTCAGCAGAGATTCTTGAGGGGAAGGACTCGGGGAGGTAAAGTCTTATTCAAAATTACCCTGAATAATGACATTGAAGTAATGATAGCTCTACTAGATCAGGATATTGACTGTTGAGAACAGAGTATTAATCAGATGTTCTCTCTTTTCCTGTTTTCGTAATAGCATTTCTCAGGTTTTATTATACTTCTGTAGCCCAGTGTTTGTCAACATGGAGCTCTCCAGTCACTCAATCACCTGCCCCAGAAATGGCTGTTAAAAATGAAGATTCCTGACCCCTTCCCCACACCCACAGGATCAGAATTTCTGAGCTAGGAATGCTGGGGCCCTGCACATGAGCAGGTGTCTCTGGTGACTCTACTGCATGCCGAGAACCCCTGATGTAGCTCCTTGCTGCTCAGAGTGTGGTACAAGGACCAGCTGCAAGCACCCCCGGGAGCTGCTTAGAAAGGCAGTGTTCCAGGTCCCAGCCAGGACTACCAAATCACAATCTTCACCTGCACAGGATCCTCAGCTGATGCTTAGGCACATTAAAGTCTGAGAAGCCCTGCTCTAATACCTTTCCCTCACGCCACAGTAAAGTAGGAGAGTAATTGTTAAGAAGGCACGCTGACTCCCCACTCCTGTCTCCACAGAGGGACTGAAGCTAGACCAGTGTATGTTATATCCATCTAAGAAGACTTTTTAAAAACATATTGTAATTGGCCCACCCTACGATGTGCCAACTAAATAAGAATATTCATGCCAGGTGTGGTAGCTCACACCTGGAATCCCAGAACTCTGGGAGGCTGAGGAGGGAGGATTGCTTGAGGCCAGAACTTTGAGACCAGCCTGGACAACATGGAAAAACCCCATCTCTGAAAAAAAAAAAAAATTAGCCTGGCATGGTGGTGCATGCCTGTAGTCCCAGCTACTCCAGAGGCCGAGGTGGGAGGATAGCTTGAGACCAGGAGGTTGAGGCTGTAGTGAGCCATGATTGTGCCACTGCACTCCAGCCTGGGTGACAGAGTGAGACCTTGTCTCAAAATAAATAATAATAATAATAATACTATATGAGGGTGAACCCAATTATTGATTTTTTTTCGTTCCCAGGTGATACTTTAATAATATGCAGCGTGAGGCAGGAGAACCGCAGAGCTCTCTCTGGCCCCTCCCCGCCTCTTCCCCTTGTCAGAGAATCCTCTTCTGCCTCTTTCAATCAGCCTGGCTGCAGAGAGGACGCATTTTCGTGAGCTCCCCAGCCCCGGGGTTAACTGAGCTTGGTGGTTCCTACCAACAAGAATGCTGAGAGAGCCCTGCCATTGTCTGGAGCTGCTTGTGAAATTCCAGGTAGTGTCGGTGAACCCCAACCCTTCACCTGGGGACCCTGGGAACATGGAGATCCTGACGTACCAGGTCTGGAATACAGACAAGGCCCAGGGCATGCTGGCGAGGAGTGGGCTTCTAAACTGTCCCACAGACCTTGCTTTTAGCTGCTCTTCATGCTATATATACTTTGGACTCCCATGTGACATCTCTGTCCTTTTTCTGAAGTTGGGTGGAAAGAGGGGTATTATTTATTGGGGAAATCATAAAATTTTAGTAACCTAACTTGTTCCCACCTTTGTTCACAAATACTAATAAAGTGGCTATATAGTCAATCTAGGGGCCAACTCCAGGTGACAGTGATTCCTCTTCCTCTTAGAACTGGCTTCCCACAAACCCAAGGGATCCCACTCTCCTGGCCAAATCTTGAAGTTGGTAGAACACAGGAGCTCTAGAGTCAGGCCGTGTGGCCAAAGACCAGCTTTTACACTCATTAACAACTGGGCTTCTCTAAACCTCAGTTTTCTCCCCTCACTTCAAAGCGTTAACTTGCAGATTAAAGGAGATAATGTGTATGAGATGCATAGCCCAGGGAAAGGCCAGTTGTTAACATTCATTACGTGCTAGTGGTGGTGATAGTGATTTTGCTCTTTCTTGACCTGATACCGCTGGATGTCGTGGATGGATCCAGGAGTGGTAGATGCCTGACCCAAACTGGGGCAATCATGTCCCCTCTTGGAAATCTGAAATTGGGAAGTGAAAGTTTCAGAGACTGGGTTATCAAAATAGCTGCATTTGAATCTTGCTACTCAAATTGCTGTCAGGGTCAGTGGCATCAACTCACCTGGGGGCTTGTTACATGATCTATAATCCCAGACCTATTGAATGATGATGTGCCTGTTTAACAAGGTCTCCAGGTGATTCGTATGCAGTTACAGCTCGAGACTCACTTAGAGGAAAGTCTGTGATCTTCTTGGAAGGCAGTCATTGCTTCCTTTGCATCCTCACACCTGCATGTACAGATACAGTTTTTTATAAAATACCCCCAACCAGTATCTTCTTTTCTTTATGCTTCAGCTAGCTCTAGTTGGTTTCTGCTATTTTCCAGTCCTAAATCTCAATAGCACTGCAGGTTATATCCAAGAAAACTTGAAGGATGCTGTTGCTTTTCCATTGTCTTCTACAATGAAGATGAATCTAGAATCAGAGGAGAAGTTAGGTTCTAAAGTCAGCCCATAAGATGAAAATTGTGTCTTGTCAAAATTGTGCCAGAAAATCTATTAGATATGTGCTACATTAAAGAGCGATATGCCCTCTTTCATTAAGTCCAGCACAACTGACTTTGGAATACGTTGATTCTTCATTTGAGTCCCAGATGAAGTAGACTTTCTTTCATGACCATGTTGTATGAAAAGTACATATTTTTAAACCCTGGACTCATGCTCTTCTGCAACATCACACAATGGAAACTATGAAAATCCATGTGTATTTCCCAGATCACATCAACTCTGGGACATAAACTCACTGAGTGAAATGGCAACCAGGATCACTTGTACAGTTTAGTTATTTTTCTTTCTCTCTGTCTTTCTCTGTTTCTCTCTCTCTGTCTCTAGCATGTAGAGTTGACTTTTTACAAATGAAATATGAGCATGTTATGACTCTAGGTATATTTGTTCTTAAACTTTTTGTATATGTAGCATGCTCTCCAATTCTAGCATTTTTGGCAACCACTAAAATGTATCAAAAGCTCTATGCATTGTGACAAACCAGAAATGATTACCACGTGGCCACTGCTGCAGCACAATGATGCTCACCTCTAAAAGCAGCCACAGTTATCCCTCTCTTGGCTTGTTTTCTGATTTGATGTTTATGACTCCTCTCCATTCTCCCAGCAATTGTATCCCATGTTTTGCCATGTCATTATAACAGATATCAACATCGAACAGGTTTCACTATAAACCATGCATGCCCTCAGTCATAGCAAATGTAAGCTGTAGATACTGATCAAAATTTGGTGACACACTTGTAATATGTTTAGGTTTCCAGCCCCTAGAAATTAATAAAGGCTCTCTACAATAGTAAACAAGCCAGCAAGGTGCTGAAGCAACTGGAATGAGGTGCTCAACACCTCACCCGTATGCATCTTCCAACACTGTCTTTCCAAGATGTCGGTGGCTCTAAATCACTTTTCTACTTAAAAATGCCACAGCATAGATGAACCTTGACAATGTTTTGCAAAATGAAATAAAACAAATACAGAAGAACAAATGCTGTAGGATTCACTTACATGAAACATCTAAAATAGGCAAATTCAGCCAGGCATGGTGGCAAACACCTTTAATCCTAGCACTTTGGGAGGCTGAGGAGGAAGGATCGCTTTAGTGCAAGAGTTCAAGACAAGTCTGGGCAACAAGGGGAGATCTCATCTCTGCAAAAAATTTTAAAAATTAGCCAGGCATGATGGCACATTCCTGTAGCCCCAGATACTTGAGAGGTTAAGGTGGGAGGATCACTTGAGTCCAGGAGGTCAAGGCTGCAGTGAGCTGTGATTGTGCCACTGCAGTACAGGCTGGGAGACAGCGCAAAACCCTGTCTCCAAAGGAAAAAAAAACAAAAAGCAAATTAATGGAGACAAAAAGTGGGTTAGAGGTTACTAGGGACTCAGGGAAGAGAGAGAATAGGGAGTTACTGCTCTGGGGTGATGAAAAGGTTTTGGAAAAAGATTGTGGTGATGGTTGGATTACATTGTGAGTGTAATTAGTGTACAGAATTGTATATTTAAAAATGGTTAAAATGGCAAATTTTATGTAACACATATTTTACTGCAATTTTTAAATTGGAAAAAAAATGGTTCTTTACTCTCTAGATCACCAGGCCTGAATACTTAAAGTCTCCATATTCTAGCCCACCTTACTGCTTAATGTCCAAGGACCACAGTCCACCCCATCAAAAACTCTCCTCTTGTCTCCAACACAGCCATGCCCATGTAAGTGTGTTCAAACGCATCACGTATTCATTCTTATTTCCTTGGTTTGTCACATGTTGTTTGTGTGCTTATTAAATGTCTATTGATTACCTATAATGTGCTAAGCAGTGGCAATACCACAGTCTCAGACACAGGCTCCATCTCCTCGGAGTTTACAGCTTAGTCAGGGACTACGTCACACAGATAGGTAATTGTAACATAGCACAAAGTGATATGATTAGGGACACAATAGACATCTGGGCATGGGAAACCAATAGGTGAAGTCAAGGAAGGGAACTCTGACTCTGTGCGTGTGTATGCACATGCTCAAGGTTGCTGTTATCTTGTTAAATATGATAAAAAGGAGATGTACAATCATGAGTGGTTTAACGGTAGGAATACAATCTGAGAAATTAGGTGATTTTGAGCATCATAGAGTGTACTGGGAGGTTAAGGCTACAGTGAGCCATGATATTGCCCCTGCACTCCAGCATGGGCAACAGAGCAAGATCCCATCTTAAAAAAAAAAGAGTGTACTTATACAAACCTAAGTAGGATAGCCTATTACACAACAAGGCTATGTGGTATAGCCTGTTGCTTCTAGGCTACCAACCTGTACCGCATGTTACTGTCCTGAATACTACAGGTAAAAGTAACACAATGATAAGTAGTTGTGTATCTAAACATATCTAAACATAAAAGGTACAGTAAAAATATACAAACAATGAAAAAAGTAAAATATAGGAACTGAACACCTGTATAGTGAATTTATCATAAATGGAACTTACAGGACTAGAAGTTGCTCTAGGTAAGTCTGTGAGTCATGAAAGAATGTGAAGACCTAGAACATTATTGAACATTGCTGTAGACTTTATAAATACTGTACACTTAAACTGTACAAAATTTATTTTAAAAATTTTTCTTCAATAATAAATCTTAGCTTATTGTAACTTATTTCAAAACATTTTTAACTTTTTAACTCTTATAATAACATTTAGCTTAAAACACCTTATAGATAGAGTTTTGCTCTTGTCGCCGAGGCTGGAGTGCAATGGCACGATCTTTTCTTACTGCAACCTGCACCTCCCAGGTTCAAGCGATTCTCTTGCCTCAGCCTCCTGAGTAGCTGGGATTACAGGTGCCCACGACCACGCCTGGATAATTTTTTTGTATTTTTAGTAAAGACGGGGTTTCACCATGTTGGCCGGGCTGGTCTCGAACTCCTGACCCTCCAGTGATCCACCTGCCTCGGCCTCCCAAAGTGCTGGGATTACAGGTGTGAGCCACCGCACTTGGCCAATTTTTTTTAAATTTTATATCTTTGTATTTAAAGGTTTTTATTTTTCTATTACTCTTTAAACTTTCCTTTTTAAAACAAAGACATGGACACAAACAAAGACACAACACACGTATTAGCCTAGGACTGAACAAGGTCAGGATCATCAATATCACTGTCTTCCACCTCCACATCTTGTCCCACTGGAAGGTCTTCAAGGGCAGTAACACACATGGAGCTGTCATCTCCCATGACAAAAATGCCTTCTGGAACACCTCTTGAAGGACCTGCCTCAGGCTGTTTTACAGTTAACTTTTTAAAAAATAAGTAGAAGGCATGTACCCTAAAATAATGATAAAAAGAATAATAATTTACTATTACTATGTAATTATTATACTATTACTATAGTAATTACTATGCTTACATAAACCAGTAACATACTCATTTATTATCATTATCCAGTATTATGTACTGTACAAAATTGTGTATGCTATACTTTTATATGATTAGCAGCACAATAGATTTGTTTAAACCAGCATCACCACAAACAAGGATAATGCGTTGCATTGTGATATGACAGTTATGATGTCACTAGGTGTTAGGAATATTTCAGCTCCATTATAATGTTACAGGACTACTGTGGTACATGTTTTATACTGAAACAGTTTTAGGCCATGCATGATTGTTTTCCTTTTGTAATCACCACCAAGTGTCAGGCAATAGCGGGCAGTAGCTTTCCAAGAGCAAAGTCAGCAGGGAGCAGTTGGTGGTGGTCACATTACAGGTCACCAGCCAAATATAGGTTTCCTGTCTGGGAACCCTAAGGATCATCCTTCCTCTAATAGAGTTCTATGCTGCTGTAATCCAAGCACATCACACTAAAATGATCGTGATTTTCTTAAAATCTGAAGGAAAGGATGATTTAAGATTAGGGAACAGCGTGTACATGTTGCTTGGTGTGCAGGGTTTTTTTTTTTCCTTCTGTTTTGGGGGCTGGAGGTGAGTTCTGGAAATTAAATAGTTCAAATTGGGAGACTAAAAAAAGCCAGTGTGTATGGTCCATCTGAGGCAGGCCTAAGATTGCATGAAAACATTGTTACTGTAGTTTATTGCTACTGTATGTTACTGTAGTTAAAAGGTTGTACTGAAAAAATTGTTACTGTAGTTAATTGAAGGTTATGTGGAATTGTGAAAAGAAGAAAGGCTCTGGAGTCACATTCTCACACTGTAGCCTTATTAGTAGAAATTAATAACAAGACCTACCGGGCTCGGCGGTGGCTCACGCCTGTAGTCCCAGCACTCTGGGAGGCCAAGGCAGGTAGATCACTTGAGGTCAGGAGTTCAAGACCAGCCTGGCCAACACGGTGAAACCCCAGCTCTACTAAAAATACAAAAATTAGCCGGGTGTGGTTGCTCATGCCTGTAGTCCCAGCTACTCAGGAGGCTGAGGCAGGAGAATCGCTTGAACCCAGGAGGCAGAGGTTGCAGTGATCTGAGATCACAGCACTGTACCCCAACAGAGCAAAACTCTGTCTCAAAAACAAAACAAAACAAAAAACAATCAAGACCTAACAGTATTTACATTGCCATCATGTACTTTAGTTCTGCATGTGTTATCTCATTTAATCCTCACAACATGCTCATGAGGTAGGTACTATTATTACTCCCATTTTGTAGATAAATAAACGGATGCTTTATTAGGTTGCATGTTCAAGGGCATTTTCTGCATCCTTAAAATGGTAATGAGGAGTTGATTTTTTGTCATGAGAAGTAGACAGGGAAAACATACACGGTACCTAACAGAGCAGATGATTTACACTTGCTGGTTCCTCTCCCTGGGATTATGCCATCGGGCCACTTTGGAAATGAACCCAGTTTCTTAATGGTCCCCTTTGGTTACTTAAGTAAGCTTTTAGCCAAATTATCCTTTGGCTAAAGTGCCATTTGGAAAAGCCTCATGGAACTCGTTTCGTTAATAAACTTAAAATTCTCGTTCCAGCTAACACAAGCACCTTGATCATCAAATGATAATTTATAGATTTGATATATAAATAATGCTAGACTAGCAATGATGGTGCAATCGACTCTTCACAAACTGGTGGCTTGACATCCAGTGTAGATCTGGCACAGTTTCAACAGGGTAAGGTTTGGGCTAGAGATCTGGCAAGAATCTCAAGGGATATCAACATCTTTAGCCTAGCGTCTGTGTTGGGGAGTATCAAAAGATACCATGCATAGACTAGCAAGATAATCAGATAAACATTGGAAAAGAAAGAAAATAGTTCCAAACTAGATTCTGATCAACAATATATTTGTAACAGGTAGAACTATGGCTCAATTCTAGCTCTCTGCTCTCATGCATTCATTAGTGATATCAGTAAAGCAACTACTATCCCTTTAAAGATAATCTGTGAAAAGGAGCCTACATGCAAATTTAAATCAATGAACATTT
Organism: Homo sapiens; assembly: GCF_000001405.40. Taxonomy (NCBI): domain Eukaryota; kingdom Metazoa; phylum Chordata; class Mammalia; order Primates; family Hominidae; genus Homo; species Homo sapiens. The sequence goes on along the minus strand of NC_000003.12, from coordinate 69,148,097 downwards.
ATGAATAGTCATTCTCTGACACAGGCTATTCTTGAATCAAAAATGAAGCCAATCTGGGAAGATTAAATGTGTGTGCATGCTGGCCTTCTACATTTGTATCCAATATAGTGAGAAGACAATAGTAGTGCAGTTCATCCAAAAGAATCTAAATAGGCCAAGTGCGGTGGCTCATGCCTGTAATCCCTGCACTTTGGGAGGTTGAGGCAGGAGGATGGCATGAGCCCAGTAGTTTGAGACCAGTCTGGGCAACATGGTGAAATCCCATCTCTACAAAAAAATGTAAAAAATATCTGGGCATAGTGGTGTGCACCTGTAGTCTAAGCTACTTGGAAGGTTGAGGTAGGAGGATGTGGACGATGTGGATGAGGCTGCAGTGAGACATGATCACACCACTGCACTCCAGACTGGGTGACAAAGTGATATCCTGTCTAAAACACACACACACACACACACACACAAAATAATCTATACAGAATCTCTGTTTGGCTTTACAAATATGATTTTAAGCATCATATTCTACTTTTTAATTTATTTTTCTTTTTTTCATATCCCCAGAGATGGTCAGGAATACCTCTACTTTTAAAAATTTATTTTTACTTTTTTAGAGACAGGGTCTTGCTCTGTCACCCAGGCTAGAGTGCAGCAGCATGATTATAGCTCACTGTAGCCTTGCACTCCTGGACTCAAGCAATCCTCCTGTGTTGGTCTCCTGATGTGCTTGGATGACAGGTGCAAGCCACCATGCCCAGCCTTTACTTTTACTTATGATTGGCTTTAGTAAAGAAGTATAGTCATGGGCTGCATAATAATGTTTCAGTCAATGATGGACCATATATGGATGGTGGTTCTCATAAGATTATAATACTGCATTTTTACTGTGCAAGTTCTATGTTTAGATACACAAATGCTTACCATTGTGTTGCAGTTGCCTACAGTGTTTAAGACAGACAGATGCTATGCAGGTTTGCAGCCTAGGAGCAATAGGCTCTACCTTATAGCCTAAGTATACACCATCTAAAAACATCATAGAGCGCATAAGGGCACTCTATGATGTTCACACAATGAAATCTCTTAAGGACATATTTCTCAGAATATATCCCTGTCGTTAATAATAGCATGACTGTAAATGATGTTAAATTCCTTGGGCACATACCGCTATTTGTTTTAAACAAATAGTTCTATAATGGCAGTCATAACTGTTCTCATAATTTTGAACTCTAAAGTCCCTTGCAAGGGCCCTGGTCTCTCTGGCTGTAGGATATTTTTTCCTGACATATTTATTTTTGTTCCTATGCTGTAGGAAAATTTAAATTTCCAAATCTAAGCAAGAAAATAGCATGTGATCAGTTGTACTCTCAGATACAGATGTTAGGGAAATAAGCAACTAGGCCTGTCTGCAAACAGGTATTATGCAAACTGCTTACTGTTTCAATAAACAGCCAAATTGATCTCAGGATTACATCCAAGAAAAAGAGAATTTTTGGTTTTTAATATTATTTTTAAAAGATTAAGAACTAATTTCACTAATTTCAGGTTTATAGTACAGGTACCAAATTAATTTTTTCTTAAAAATATATGTGCATACCATATACTAGGCATTGTACCAGTGAAACAAATTGAGGACATTGTTCCTCGCCTCTGAGAAGCTTACAAACAAGTGGGAACTATAGGAATAAATACATTACAGTAAGATGTGCAATAATAAAGAAGATGTTAAAGTAATGTGGGCAACTTGGTAAACTTGTTTGTTCCCTCATATTGCAAAAATGAGAAGAATGCATCACCTGCATTTTTATTGGCACAGTTTTAAATAAAATGATTGTAATTTTTTTCAAAAAGATATAGATGTTAGGGGAAATCTTCTCACGTATGAGTCTTTGCCCAAGGCTGCTTTGTATTTGGGGGATATGTACTAGGGATTCTCTTCTACACTTTCTACTCATTATTTCCTTTAGAATCTCGGCATTTTGGATCAGATGCTTCTTTGCTGTGAGGGAGTGTCTTGTGCATTATAGAATATTTAGCACCATCCATGGCCTCAACTTTTAGATGCCAATAGCACTCCCCCAAGTTGTGACAACTGAAAATGTCCCTAGCAATTGCCAAGTGCCCCTCTGTGGGGTGAGGGTGGGGGGCAAACTTTCCTCTCCTCAATGGAGAGCCACTGCTCTAAGAGCTGTAGTTGCTAATCTGATTGTCAACAATCTGACTTCCATGGTGACAATCTGGCCTCTATTAGGCCATATTTCACTGGTGGGGCAGTTACTGTGTTAGAGAGCTCTTGACCTCTCTTTTGCTTTTCTGAAGCCTCTTAAGTCACAGAGGCTGATAATATAAATGCTAAAAAGCACTAGGTTTAACCTAATTCCAGCTTCAGCACTTATTAGCTATATAACCTGGTTAAATTCCTCCCTTTCTCTAAGCCTTTGCTTCTGAAACTGTAAAATGGGAATAATAGTACTCATCTGTGGCAGCTGCAGCTCATTCCATACTCAATATTTGTACCATCCTTCTTCCATAGTAAAACCCTCAATTTTGTTTGGGTGGCAATGTGCCCAGGTTAGGGTTGCCAGATTTAGAAATAAAAATATAGGCTTTCCAGTTAAATGTTATTTTAAATAAACTATGAATAATTTTTCAGTAAAAGTGTGTCCCATTTACTAAAGAGTCATTATTTATTTGAAATTCAAATTTAACTGGGTATTATGTATTTTATCTGGTGACCCTAGCTCAGTTAAAAATACTTCCCTCCCCAGGCTCCCTTTGCAGCCAGAAAAGAACCCATGACCTGGGTCTGGCCGATGAGATATAAGTAAAAATGTCCTGGGGACACTAATTGTTTTCCTGATAGACTCAGTTAGAATGTGGCTTTTGCTCTTTGCCCCTCCTCCTTTTTTCTGCCTGGAGTGTGAGTGTGGTACCCACAGCTGCAGGAGGTCTTTCCAGCATGAGCGGAGAGCTTGCAGGAGGCTGGGTTGCTAACGACTTCCCTGCTGAGCAGCTGTAACTTCTCTTTTCAATAGAAACCTGTATGGTTAAGTCACTGATGTTTGGGTTTTCTGCCACCTGCCTGTGCTGGATATTCTGCTTGCCCCTCCAGATCCAGTTCTGCCTGTGCCCTTGTGCTACATTGCAAGGGGAAGCTGCCTTGAACCACATCAAAGGGCCATTGCCCTCTGATTTCCAAAGGGATTTGGTCAATGGGAGGAACTAGCCAGAAACAGGAGAGAGAGAGAGAGAGGTTGGAGAATAGATCCCTCTAGCTCCCGCCTTCTCAGCTATGGGGCAGTAGCTGTATTCCTCTACCCAAAGCCACACCTCTGGCCAGATGGCCCTCTGCTATAGCTGCATCTCTTTCCCTGGGTTCCACAGACCTCCTGCCTCCTGCCCTAAGGTCTAGAGGGATAAGAACCTCTCCATGCCCCAACCCCTATGTCATCTAGACAGTTACCCTTATCCCTGCTCCCACCTCTGCCTTGAAGGTAACACCGATTTCCCAGGGGGATTCTGATTCTTATGCCACCCATACAATTTTTAACTGATAAACTTCCTCAGAGGGGTTTTGGAATTACCATGTAAGATGATGACATCGAGCCTAGCATTGTGCCTTGTGCCTGCTGCATAGTAAACTCTCAAGAAGTGTACTATTATTTGTAAGGAGATGTGGTAAAATCAGTAAGCTAATTCAAGGGCTCTTTTAGGGCCTGCCCTGCCTGCTCATTCTTTCCCTCTCCTTTGACTGTTCTCTTCCCTTGCCCATCTCTCCTTCCCCACTTCTCTTTCCTCCACCCCTAGCCAACAGACAGATCCCAGATGCTCATGTTCCATGATGTAGATTCTATGAGAGAAAGAAGAAGGACTCACTTTGTCCTTGAGCCTGAGCCAGGTCTGAGGATTTGCCATAGGGTGCAGTGGTCTCACCTAACAGTGAATAAACTTGCACTTTGCCTTTGGCTTTTGCTATTGATCTCTGTATATATACTCTATGGATCAGAACTTTAAAAGGGAAAAGGAGTGAATAGTATCCCAAAGCCCTAATAATAGTTGCAAAGAACAAAACCTAGTATGTTAATAAACGGTTTTAATTGCATTTGAATATAGGTTTCATCTCAGACACTGACTCGATTGATAGTGGCTGCCTACTGTGAGGCTCTGTGAAGGATTCTAAGGTTGCTCCTGGGCATAGAGAGAGTATTATGATTGATTAGTAATGTCTGCCATGAGCATGATGTAAGAGAGTGGTAATAGAAGTGCCAGGTATTTATCATTCCCGATCTGTAACATGAGCCTCAGCCAGTGGTAGTAGTTGTAATTTTCTGCTGGGTCATGCTCTAACATGGCCTTGGCAGGGTATTCAGATGGCTTGGTATAAATTGGGTAGTTCCACTGTTTATTTATCTTACCTAATGCAAGAACAAATTTTGCGCTAATTAAAATTGTATTTTAATTTAAATAACTGACTAATAAACAAATTATATACATGTATTTGGCCTCTCAAGAGAAGTGTGACTTTTTTACATACGATCTAATGCCAAGAAAGATGGAAAATCTATTAGAATAAATGCAAGAGATAGATTTACTTTAAATTAAATATTTGAGTAATTTTTTTTTCATGAAACTTTGGAATGCTATATTCATTTTTGAAACATACATTTTGGAAAAAAGAAAGATCACAATCATAGAAATCATACATGCTGTTACAAATAAATAGCCTCAAAAATTATTTTAGTAAAAACTGTAGTAGAATATCTCTTCCCAAATTAGTGCCTACACTCACATTCAACTACTGTGTCCCCGTAGCCTTGCCTCTTTCCTTGAGCCTCTCACTTTTATTCCTCTAGTTGCTGGGTGTTTGTTTTTATAAAGGCAACATCTGACCCTCTATAATCCCCAGATTACATTTCAGTGGATGGCCTCGGACAGAGACAGATAAATATTTTTTTTCAATTTTAGGAGTCTCCATCATACCTAGAAGTATTTTTTAAAGGGAGGCCAGTTTGTGCTACATGGAAATGTTTGCTGAGCAAAGTCAGGGAATGTTTAGCAACCAAAGACAATAAGCAATGATTAAATCGATCACTTAGTGATGTTTATCAGGAAAAAAACAACAACAGCAGAAATCAGTGGTGTGAAATTTGTTTTGAAGCACTTAGCATGATGCACTTTCATTAATTTAAAAATAGGACCCAGGAAGTATGTGAAATACCTAAGGAATGATGTTTGTCACAGTATTAGGGAGACAGTGACGTTAAAAAAAAAAGATGATGTTGGGGTGGCCACAAAGAAATCTCTCATTCTAATTCTCTCAATAGTTTTGTGATTGTTTCTCCTTCCTGAGTGGGTTAAGTGTCTAAACTCCTGGAAGAGAAGAGGTGTTTTCAAATATGAAATTCAGAAGATAGTAGGAACTGCGTTGCTAAAAAGTGTTTATGGCCCAGTGAAATGGTTTGCTGAGAAATGAAATATGAACCAGTGAAACTGATTAGCTCTGAAATAATCCTGCATATTGGCTATGCCTTAAAAACTGGAGGAAAAAGAATGGACTCTAACTCATTTCTGATCTTATGTGGCATTTTCTCACCTCTAGTACCATGATTTTTATTTATAATAACAACAGCTCACAAGGTGAATTCATTGTGACTTTTGCAGTTTGAAGACCAGCTACAGTATGGTTGGCTGTTTTGGACTATGATTGGTTATTTTTGGCTCAAGTTGTTTAAAAGACATCATACAACCTCCAGCAGCCTCGCTATGTAAACTGACACTCTGGTTGCTTTCCAGGCTGCGTACAATTGCAAGATGATGAGATCTGTGTCCTGATAGAGTGGGAGGTGAAATCCCCTGTGTATGTTCTGTTGCTTGGTAGAAACTCTGAGAAAGGCCAGTTTCTTCAGGGTAGATAAGGGGACACATGAGTCGTGGCTTTTTTGTGTGTTCCTATTGACCTTGTAAATTTATCAAATTATTTTTACTACTCATATCTTCCATTTCTTCCTAAGTGGCTAATTCATTCACTTAGCCAAAATATTTGGTTATCTTCTATGTGCACTGAACAATGTGAATACATAAAGAACAGATATAGCCTTTGTCTTTATAAAGTTGTTTGATGCTTGAGACATTGGTACATCTTTTGTTAAAAGAACATTAGGAATAACCAAGTAAACTTTAGATCATTTTACTAATAGTTATCTTTCATCTATTAGAATGTCATTTCTCCTCCCTTCTACATAATGTAGAAAAGGAAAAAAATGTCAACTGAAGACATTGCCATTGAGAAAACTAACTACTGGCATATCTTGCTGACTTAGTCTGTTTAGTGCTGTTATAAAAGAATACTTGAGACTGGGTGATTTATAATAAATAGAAATTTATTTGGCTCATGGTTCTGGAGGCTGAGAAGTCCAATCTTGAGGGGCTACATCTGGTGAGGACCTCTTTGTTGCATTATAACATGGCAGAAGGCATCACATGGCAAGAGAGATCAAGATAGAGCCAAGCTCACTTTTATAACAAACCCACTCTCAAGATGACAAATCCATTCCTACAATAACAACAAGAACCCATTCATGAGAGCAGAGCCCTCATGACCTTATCACCTCTCAAAGGTGCCATCTCTCAACACTGTTAGACTGGGAATTAAGTTTCCAACACATGAACTTTAGAGGACACATGCAAATTTTAGAACCTGTACATCACTTACTAAAAATCACTATAGTCAAGTCTTCAGTAAGGAGATAATTAGCATTCACAATAGTCTAACAGTTAATCTCAAAGTCAAAGGTGGGCACACATAGAAACTATCAAACAGGTGAGAAAACTAACATCGTAAAAGGAAGACAACAAAATCATGAAATGGAAGAACTAACGTAGGAGGAAATCAAGTTAATCAGAGAAGTCCTTTTATCTAAGAAATCGTACAATATGACATGTGTTTTAATAAAGGTAGCACAGGTTATTGAGAGTTTAAAGAGAAAATACCTCACACAGGGAAAGAATAGAAAAGGCTTCTTGGAGGAGGTGCTAAAAGCTGCTTTTCAAAATTTAGATTGGGGTCAGCCAGGAAAATATGGCACCAATGATATTCTAGTCCAAATATATAAACAAGGGAGGGTAAGACAGATAACCTTATAGGAAATATAAAGGGATCGGGAGTCCTGATCCTGAAATAGTCTAAATTAATAATCATGCCTTGCATTTGGACAGTTCTTCACAATTTTCTAAGTGCTTTCACAGACACTCCCACTTGGTTCCAACAACAACCTGTTGGATATACACATTCGACAACATTTAACAGAGGAGGAAGCTCCATTTTGAGAGGGTAAGTGATTTGCTTGTGGAATCACATCTTGTGAGAGGCAGGCTTTAGGCTTCTGGTGCCCAACTAAGTGGTTTGTCTACTACTTTATGGCTGCCTCCACTTTGCATTTATTGGCAGAATATAAAGTGCCATGTTTTATGCCAGCTAAGCAAGTACAGAACAGAAAGAGAAAGAGATGGAGAAGGCAACTCCTGGGATGCTCTAAAGAAAATGTGACTTTTGGCCAGGCACAGTGGCTCACGTCTGTAATCCCAGCACTTTGGGAGGCTGAGGCCGGTGGATCACTTGAGGCCAGGAGTTCAGGACCAGCCTGGCCAAAATGGTGAAACCCCTGTATGTAAAATTAGCCGGGCATGGCGGTGCATGTCTGTAGTCCCAGCTACTCTGGAGGCTGAGGCACGAAAACAGCTTGAACCCAGGAGGTAGAGGTTACAGTGAACCAAAATTGTGCTACTGCACTCCAACCTGGGCAACAGAGCGAGACCCCAACAAAAAGAAGGAAAGAGAGAAAGGAAGGAAGGAAGGAAGGAAGGAAGGAAGGAAGGAAGGAAGGAAGGAAGGAGGCAGGGAAAGAGAAAATGTGACTTTTAACTTTGAGCTTAGAGCTCTCACCTGAGTTCTGGAAAAAAGTGCAATGTAAAGGACTTAAACTTTTAAATTAATATGGAAACGTTTGTCAATTTGAACTTAATTTTGGGAAGAGCTCAGGCACAGAAGAAAATATTCGGTTTTAATATCTTAATTTTTATATTGCTATTTTGCTTATATGCTTTAATGTTTTATAAGCTAGGATTAATGTGTTCAATAATGTGATATGCTGTGATATTTTTCTACAAAGAATCGATTAGGTGATTATAAATTTAGCACGCATGTAGGAGACATGTTGTATTTTTGTCAACCCAGCAGCTATTCCTTCTTCTCCTGTGTTGTGTTGAACCCCTATGTACTCCACTGGGGATGGCATTAGGTTCCAGAGACTAAAGAATAGACCCAGAGCCAGCAAAAGAGACATGTGGTTTTACTTGGGGGTTACATAGAGGGGAGAGAGTCCAGTGGTGGTGGGCTGGACAGGAGGACCACACAGCCCAGTGGCAGCAGACTGGGCAGTTTAACCTCAACCACTTACAAAAGGCATGCAGTTTATATAGCATTTTTACTTAGCATCCTTTCCCTAGCAACCTCCATCTGGAAACTTACATTTAACCCAAAACTTGGGGCCTTGATCCCCTGTACAGCCAGTATTCCATGGGACTGGGCAGGGGCTCAAATGTTCCTCATAGACAAGGAATAAATCTCCAGGTCAGCCACTTCCAGATTTCCTAGCTCAGAACATGCATTCAGGTGTGTCTGCCGTACAGGGTCATTCTCAGGGTATGCTTAACTTATTGCTATCAAGTGTGTTTACCATACATCCTAAGAACAGCACATCAATAATTTTTAGAGTACCAGATGGTGCTCTAAGATCTTCCCCAATAGATAGGAGTGTTTGTGGAGCAGCCAGTCATGGTGTCCTAGCTAAGCCAATCAGATGCCTGTTTGCTGGAATTTGAGTTTTAAACTGTGAAATTTGAAGGCTGAGATAGTAGGAATTTATTCATCTCTATAAGGCATGTAGAAGTCGCCCTCCGACTAGTTCCTCCTAACTAGATTGCTGGTGCCCTGTGTGTCCTACCACCAAAATACATGCAGAAGCAATCCACTTTTCACTTTTGCTGTTGTGACCTCTCTAGTACATGTCGCCACCTCTGTCTTCTGGATTTTCACAGTAACTTCTTAAATGTCTCCCTCCTTCCACTTTTGTCCTCACAGAATTGATTCTCTTCATACAGTCACGGGGATTTTTTTAAAACACGAATCATCCAGGCATGGTGGTGCACACCTGTGTTCCCAGCTACACAAGAGACTGAGGCAGGAGGATCGCTTGAGCATGGGAGGTTGAGGCTATAATGAGCCATGTTTATACCAGCACACTACAGCCTGGGTGTGAGAGTGTGAGACCCTGTCTCAAAAATAAATTAATAAATAACTTAAAAACTCATTTCATTCCCTTGGAATTCTCTTCAGTAGCTTTCAATTGCATTTAGAATAGAGAATAAACCTGATAAAATTGTAAAGTCCACAAGGCTTTACAATTAGACACTGCCTACCTTCCCAAACCTGCTACATATCACCCTAAACCTTATTCATGAACCTGCAATCACAATGGAAAGAGGGAGAGGATAGGGGTGGGAGGGAGAATAATCATCATCTTGGGAGACTACAAATTATTTCAATAAAAACTTGACCTTAGTAAGTGAAAATTTATTACCATTTATTCGTTCATTCACTCAACACATCAGTTTTGAGTCCCTCTTCATGTTTTCTAGGCACTGGGGATAACAAAGTAAATGAGGCAGGTATACCTCCTGATCTTACATAGCTTGTACTCTAATGAAGAACAGCCTGATTGAAAATATTTTACAGAATTCTCCATAGTCTAAAGGCAGCTCTCAGAGAGGCATTGTGTAGATGGTTGGATGAATTGGCAGAACCATTTGGATAAGTGCACGTCTAAAGACTATAGAAGGGAATAGGCACATTTAGATGTGTAAACTCTGGTATATTCATTTTTTTAAATCATGTTCATCAGCAATTTGTGGTCATGTTTCATATACAAGTATAGGTATCAGTAATTTTATATTCATAGGAAAGAAACATTCATGGAGAAATACTTCTCCCTTAAAATTAAAGAAAACATTCTAAGTCAAATTTAATTTCTCTTAAATGACAATTTGACTCATCTTCAGAAAAAGAGAAAATGTAAAAAGCATTTTAAGATCATACCAGCTAAGTGTGGTGGCTCATACCTGTAATCCTAGTACTTTGGGAGGCCAAGGCAGGAGGATCACTTGGGCCCAGGAACTTGAGACCAACCTGGGCAACATAGCAAGACCTCATCTCTACAAAAAATAAAAAATGAAAATAGCCAGGTGTGTTGGCGCTTACCCATAGTTCTAGCTACTTGGGAGGCTGATGTGGGAGGATTGCTTCAGCCCGGGAGGTCAAGGCTGCAGCAGGCTATAATTGTGCATTGCACTCCAGCCTGGGTGACAGAGTGAGACCCTGCCTCAAAAAAAGGGGGGGAAAAAACTTGCAGATGTTTTCTTGTGGGAAGAAAAAGATTACATCATAGTCTAGGAAGCAAATATGAGTAGTTAGACAATCTGATTGTTAGATCTTCCCTAACAAAGATAGCCACAGGCTTCTGCAAAGTGAGATTTGCCCACATGATCAAGAAGATTGGAAATGATCTTAACAGGAAAAAAATACAGCATTTAAATAAAAAGGGCATGGAGGAAAAACATGCAACATGTTAAGAATGTTTACCTGTTGTGATTTCAATTTATTTTTTTCTGCTTATCTGTATTTTCTATTTTTCTGTGATGAACATGTATGATATATACTTAAAGCCAAGTTATTTTAAAGAGAGAATTAACTTGTTTCCAGTGACCATATTCTTCAGCCATCTCTTTGGAAAAGGACCAAAGAGGAGGCTTGTTTGTACTTTAGTGAGATTTGATAAAATTCTTGAAACATTGCATATGGTTTCAGGTTACTCTTCTAAAGTTTCTGGAAGCTCTGGCCTTTTCTCCAATGTCCTGAATGCTTCTTGAGTAACAGAATTGTGCTATCTAAATTTCTCCTTGCATTTCAATCAACTGAAGTGCCCTTTGCCTTTGTCCTCTGGTGTTCCATGTCACCAAAGCTGCATTTCTTTTTTCCACTTGTAAATAGCCTATATATATATTTTTTGCTTCACCTTTTGGTTTAGAATGTATGTATACATTGAGGCAAAATTTACACTGAACAAAATGCTCACATCTTAAATGTAAAAACAGATTATTTTTGAGAAATGTATTCACTTATGTAACCAACACCCCAATAAGATGTAGCTACCACCCCAGAATGTTCCCTGGTGCCAATTTTCCAGTCAATCTACACTCCTCATAAGCAACTACTCTTAATTTCTAATTCCATGGCTTCACTTTGCCTGCTCTTTTTTTCATGATCACAGCTTACTGCAGCTTCAACCTCCTGGGCTTGAGCAATCCTCCTGCCTCAGCCTCCCATGTAGCTGAGACTACAAGGCACACGCCACTGCACCAGGCCAATTTTTCTGTTTTTTGTAGAGATGGAGTCTATTTTGCCTCGCCTGGTCTTGAACTCCCGGGCTCAAGCCATTCTCCTGCCTCAGCCTCACAAAGTGCTGGGAATTTAGGCGTGAGCCATTGCGCCCAGCCTCACTTTGCCTGCTCTTGATTTTCACAGAAATGGAATCTTACTGCATGTGTACTTCTGTCTAGCTTCTCTGACTCAATCTGTTTTTATTTTTATAGCAAAAATCTGTTTTTATTGCTTAGTAGTCAGTCTTCCTTTGTATCCCTATAACATAATTTGTTTATTCATTCTTCTGTTGATGGACTTAATACCATCAATTTTTTTTAAAAAAATTTCAATTCTAAAAAAATTCAGAAAAAATGACTAGAAGGGTATATAATAAATACTAGTAGTCATATCATGCAGCTTTGTCAATCTAATTATTTGCTTTAAATATTTTTTAATATTCATCTTTTTTGATATTTTAAAAATTGTGGTTAAAAAACCCCACATAACATAAAATTTACCATCTAATCATTTTTAAGTGTACATTTTAGTAGTGTTAAGTACATTCACGTGGTTGTGCAGTGGATCTCCAGAACTTTCTCATCTGGCAAAACTGAAACTCTGTCTGCATTAAACAACAACTCCCGATTCCCTCCCTGCCCAAGCCCTGGTAATCTCAATCCTACTTCCCATCTCTATGAATTTCACTACTCTGGGTCCTTCATATAAGTGAAATCATAGAGTGGTTGTCTTTTTGTGACTGACTTATTTTACTTAGTGTCCTCAAGCTGCATCCGTGTTGTAGCATGTGACAGAATTTTCTTTTTAAGTCTGAATAATATTCCATTACATGTATGTAGCACATTTTTTGTTTCCTTTTATCTGTTGACAGACATTTGGGTGGCTTCCATCTCTTGGTTATTGTGAATAATGTTGCTACGAACATAAGTGTGCATGTGTGAGACCCCGCTTTCAATTCTTTAGGAAGTATACCCAGCGGTGGAGTTGTCAGACCATGTGATAATTTTATTTTTAACTTTTTGAGAATTGCCATGCTGTTTTCCATAGTGGCTGCACCATTTTATATTCTCACTAACAGTGCTCAATTTTTATTATTATTATTTTTTTTTGAGGTGGAGTCTTACTGTGTCACCCAGGCTGGGATGCAATGGTGTGATCTCTGCTCACTGCAACCTCCATCTCCCAGGTTCAAGTGATTATCCTGCCTCAGCTTTCTGAGTAGCTAGGATTACAGGCACCCGCCACCACGCCTGGCTGATTTTTGTGTTTTTAGTAGAGACAGGGTTTTGTCATGTTGGCCAGGCTGGTCTCGAACCCCTGACCTTAAGTGATCCATCTGCCTTGGCTTCCCAAAGCGTTGGGATTACAGGCGTGAGCCACCATGCCCGGCCTCAAACATTTGTTTTAAGAAAATGAAATATTGCAGTTATAGTTGGGCCCTTGCTTCCCTCTTCCTTTGACTCTACTCTTTCTCTGCCCAGAGAGGCCACTGTACTGAACTTGGAGCTTCTCTTGCCCAGACATGTGTTTATATTACTCTACTGAATTTTTGCATCTATTATGAGGTATAAGACCTCCCCTTAAATCCCCCAAAAGCTGTTGTCACTCACATTTTTGTTATTCTGTAGATAATGTCTTTTCTCTCTGGTAGTTTATCTCAAATCCTGTAGTTTTACTACAAGAATTGTCTAGGTATGGCCAGGTGCAAATTTTTTTTTAAACTGCAGTTGGTTTAAGATGTTTTCAATTTTATTTTGCTCAGTATTCAGAAAATACTTTCACTCTAAGGACTTAGGTCTGTCTTCAGTTCTGGAAAATTAGCAATAATTCTCTTTACATATTGCTTCTTCAACATTGCCTCCAATCTCTTATTCTGGAATTCTTATTTCAAACATGTGGGAGCCTTAGAATCATTCTCTATGCCTCAATCAACCTTTCAACCTTTTGGCTCCCCTCCGCATTCTGGACATCTCAGTTCTGTGTCCCAATTCAAAATCCCACTCATTTTTCTTTCATTGCATGGTTTATCTCAATAACTATATTGTTTAATTCTAATATCTTAAATTTATTTTTTCATGTTTACCTATTCATACATTAAAATTATACTTTATCTTAACATGTTAAAATGATTCAAGTTCATCTAAGTCTATAAGTTGGTTTATTCTAAAGTGAAACAATATTCAAAATGCCGATTTTGTTCATTATAGGGTTATTCCCCTACGTAATTTGACTCCCTGACCCACCTACTTTTTGTCGTTTTCTTAAAATTTTTTTCTCTCTCTTCTTAAGTTTTCTTTCCTTTAAAGAGAAGAAAGCAGAGGAGTCTTCTAGCCCTCCTACTGTGCTAATGCCAGTACATAACGTCCTACATTTAATAACATAAAATGGCCCCCATAAAGATATTACCTCTGTATCAACACACTTAAAATATAGTTGAAGGTTTTTCTGATCATAAAATCCTATCTACATTAGCAAAATAGTCACATGATTTGGGAATATTTAAGAAGAAAACAAAGATCACTGTTTCATATTGATATAGATTCTGTCAGATTTTTTTCTGTGCTTATATACAACATATACGTACATGGAATATGTTTTTATGTTTTTAAAATTTTGTAACAAAATATGCCACTTAATAGCAAGCATTTTTCACTTAATAAATTACAGACACCATTCCATAACCCTATGTCAATTTTTAAATTAGGTTTTGTGGCATTAGTTTGCAGAAATAAGATCAGAACCCATTGCTGGGCATTTAGGTCATTTTCAGCATTGTCCCATGAACAATGCTACGAATGCACTTTTAAATTCCTCAAGTTGTGAGGATCATTCAAAATAAAATATTTTACCTAAATATATTTATTTACTCTTGCTTTTAAGAAAATATGGTTAAAAAATATACATAAAATAGGCCAGGTGCAGCGGCTCACGCCTGTAATCCCAACACTTTGGGAGGCCAAGGCAGGCAGAGGTCAGGAGTTCATGACCAGGCTGGTCAACATGGAAAAACCACATCTCTACTAAAAATACAAAAATTAGCTGGGTGTGGTGGCACACGCCTGTAATCCCAGCTACTAGGGAGGCTGAGGTAGGAGAATCTCTCAAACCTGGGAGGCAGAAGTTGCAATGAGCCAAGATTGTGCCTCTGCACTCCAGCCTGGGAGACAGAGTGAGACTCCATCTCAAAAACAAAATGTTTATATATATATATATAAACACACGCATACATATACACATATACATATATACATATATATACACACACATATATATACACACAAAATAAAATTACCAAATAATCATTTTTAAGCGTACAGTTCAGTGGGTGGCTTTAAGTACATTCACACTGTGGTGTAACCACCCTGGCTTTGAATTAATTGTAAATTCCCATTAATTCCACAGCTTGATTGAAGAAATCAATTTGTGTGGTAAAATGTGTTGGGGACAACATTCAGGAAATCATAGATTTGCTAGTTTAAAAACATTTTTGTATCTTTGTCTTCGGTAAGGTGGACTCTTGTCAAAGTAGTTGGGAAATGTCTTATCTTTGAGATATTCAAAAAGAAAGACTTGATATTTGCCTGCAGTTTTTACTAATGTCAAAGAAAAATATGAATGGGTTTTTATTAGTTCTCACACTGCTATAAAGAGCTACCTGAGACTAGATAATTTATGAAGAAAAGAGGTTTAATTGACTCACAGTTTCCCAGGCTGTACAGGAAGCATGCCTGGGAGGCCTCAGGAAACTTACAATCATGGCTGACGGTGAAGGGGAAGCAAGTACATATTACTACGGCAGAGCAGGGTGGGGGGAATTGCCACGCACTTTCAAACCAGATCTCTTGAGAACTCACTATCACAAGAACAGCAAGGGATAAGTTTGCCCCATTATTCATTCACCTTCCACCAGGCCCCTCCTTGGACACGTGGAGATTACAATTCGAGATGAGATTTGGGTGGGGACACAGCCAAACCATATCAGGGTTATTTTAAAGATGCCAGAGAGTTAAGAGTTACAGTATTTTGTTCTGCAAATCTGATCAGACCCACATTTATTTTTCACCTGTTTTAGTAGGCTGCTCATAGCCCAGGTTAGTAGGAAAATTAAAGCAGTTATTCTGAAATCAACTTAAAGATTATTTGCAGTTATTTTCTGTGCTTTAAAATGTAAGCAGCATTTATTTGTTCTATGGAAATACAAAAATGGTTTGATCGCAAAATAAAAATCATTGGTAATTCCTCCAGCTGGATTGTAACATTTTAGAGTATTTCCTTCCAATCTTTTTTTCTATGCAAGCACATAATATATATTGTTTTCTTGACTTCATTTGACTTAGATCAACATTCACAAAATGTGTTCTAAGGAATAGTAGTCATAATATGTCCCATAGAATAAAGCTTTTTTTTGTGGTCATCAGTTCAAAAAAGGCTATTTTTCTCGGTTTAGAAATTCATAATTCTCATTGGCATGTTTAAGTCTTTTTGGTTAAGTAAGCTCTCTAGCTTGTGTGTGTGTGTGTTTGTGTGTGTGTGTGTGTGAGAGAGAGAGAGAGAGAGAGAGAGAGACAGGGTCTTACTTTGACAACCAGGCTGGCGTGCAAGTGGCTCGATCACAGCTCACTGCAATCCCACCCACCAGGCTCAGGTGATCCTCCCACCTCAACCTCCCAGGTAGCTGGGTCTGCAGGCATGTCCCACCACAGCTGGCTAATTTTTTTGTAGAGAGGGGGTTTTGCCATGTTGCCAGAACTGGTCTTGAACTCCTAGGCTCAAGTAGTCTGCCCGTCTTGGCCTCCTAAAGTGCTGGGAAGACAGGTGTGGGCCACCACGCCTGGCCTTTCTAGCTTTCTTGAACCCAACATTCTCCCGAATAATTTGATCCAATAATATTTACAGCCAATGTCTCAACATTCTCAATAGGTGTCTGACGACAGTAGCATTTCTGCTGCTGATTACTCAAATTCTGCCAGACTTCACCGTTTTTTATTTGTACCAACAAGAGCAGTTGCTTCCTGTGCTTTGTAATTCCAGCCTTTTAGGTATGTGAGTGCCATCTCTGCTAAACTGAGGAAGCAATAGAGGACACTGATTAAGAGCTTTGACTTTTAGAGACTGTCTTCAGTTCAAATGCCTATGCCTCAGCTTTAGTATCTATGAAAGAAGGTTAACAAAAATATCCATCTTTCAGCCATGCGCAGTGGCTCGCACCTGTAATCCCAGCACTTTGGGAGGCTGAGGTGGGTGGATCACCAGAGGTCAGGAGTTCAAGACCAGCCTGGCCAATATGGTGAAACCCTGTCTCTACAAAAATACAAAAATAAGCTGAGCATGATGGCAGGCGCCTGTAATCTCAGCTATTCGGGAGGCTGGGGCAGGAGAATTGCTTGAACCTGGGAGGCGGAGGTTGCAGTGAGCCAAGATTGCACCATTGCATTCCAGCCTGGGTGACTGAGTGAGAGTCCATCTCAAAAAAAAAAAAAAAAAATCCATATTTCAAGGTTGTTGTGTGAAGAAATTGATATGTCATATATAAAGCACTTATCACAAGCTTAGCAATGTTAAGTGATCAATAAATGTTAGCAGTGAAACTGTAAAATTAACAGCACCAGTAGTAGCAGCAGCAGGAGGAATGTCATAATGATATTAATAATTGTAGCAACAGCAGCAGTAGCAGCAGCAATAGCTGTGGTAACAGTTGCAGTTGGTAACAGTTCCAGTTTCAGTAGCAGAGGTTGTAATAATAATAGTACCAGTAGTGGTGGTGATGATAGCAGTAATGGTATTAGCAGTACTATTTAGTATAATAACTATATTAGTAGCACTGAAGCAACATCCTAACACACTTCAGAAATACATAGAATTGATCTACCTGTGAAACTAAACCAAACAACAGGTGCTGGAGAGGATGTGGAGAAATAGGCACACTTTTACACTGTTGGTGGGACTGTAAACTAGTTCAACCCTTGTGGAAGTCAGTGTGGGGATTCCTCAGGGATCTAGAACTAGAAATACCATTTGACCCAGCCATCCCATTACTGGGTATGTACCCAAAGGACTATAAATCGTGCTGCTATAAAGACACATGCACACGTATGTTTATTGCAGCACTATTCACAATAGCAAAGACTTGGAACCAACTCAACTGTCCAACAATGATAGACTGGATTAAGAAAAGATGGCACATATACACCATGGAATACTATGTAGCCATAAAAAATGATGAGTTCATGTCCTTTGTAGGGACATGGATGAAATTGGAAATCATCATTCTCAGTAAACTATCACAAGGACAAAAAACCAAACACCGCATATTCTCACTCATAGGTGGGAATTGAACAATGAGAACACATGGACACAGGAAGGGGAACATCACACTCTGGGGATTGTTGTGGGGTGGGGGGAGGGGGGAGGGATAGCTTTAGGAGGTATACCTAATGCTAAATGATGAGTTAATGGGTGCAGCACACCAGCATGGCCCATGTATACATATGTAATTAACCTGCACATTGTGCACATGTACCCTAAAACTTAAAGTATAATAATTATAAAATTAAAAAAATAAAAAATAAAACCAATTTAATTTAAGAATTTTTGAGATGGCTTACAAAAAAAATTAAGGTAAAGTAATACATAACCTCTTGTAATTCAAGCTATCCTGGGGGCTGGTGGAGGCAAGGCAGTCTGGGTGTCTTAACTTTAGAGAAGCACTTGCCTCATACATTTCAGAGCCCATCCTGAGGCCTTGCAGCTATGGGTCAGGGAAATTTGAGGAGAGAGCTAGGCATTTATATTACACTCACAAAATCTTCAGGCAATTTGCAGCCAGTGGGCAGAACCTTGGTGATCCAGATGGAATTGCACAAGAGAATAGCATACCACAAACAGGACAGAACTGATTTATTTAGTGACATTTGGAAACCGTTTATAGTTGTGTCAATTTATAGCCAGTGGTTTGAAGCTGAAGAAAGAGATGGGATGACTTATCCACAGCCTTCACATCCTGAGTGAATGTAGAATGGAAAAATAAGTGGATACAAGAAAGAAGTGCTTCCTCTTATCAGAACTTTTCATAAATGTATTAACCTTTAAACATTTTTATGCATATATTATATGTGCTGTTTTAGAAAAAGTAAAATGGAAAAGTCACTCATTTTTCAGTCATGGACAAATATTTGTGAGATATCAGGCACTTTCTAGGCAGAAAAGAGTGACACAATTTACTTGTGAAAGTATAGTAATGTTTACTAAGAGTTTACTATGGATTGTCACTTAGTTTTTTTCAAAAATCCTATAAAGTAGGTATGTTTATTATCTCATATTTACAGATGAAGTAACCGAGAAGGGAGAGATTGACTTGACCCAAATGGCACAGTTAGGATGGGGCAGAGTTGGTATCTGAAACCAGACATCCTAAATCTGAAGCCTCTGGGTTTAACCAATGAATTAAACTGCTTTTCCACTGTTCAAACAGAGCCAACGGACACAGTTGGGAGAAGGAACTTCCTAGGTTTCCCAGTCAGTGGCACAACCAGGATTTGGATCCAGTCTGACTCCCAAGTCTTATGTTCGAAGCATCTTGCTTTATTGACTTCAAGTTATTATTTCAGGTTTTCAGATATGAAGACCAAATGAAGCAGATGTCAGATGTTTTGAAATGCCCACTATTTTGCACAGTTTGGATATTTCTGTGGTTAAAAAATTAAGAGATTAGCTGCAAAAAAATTATATCACTAAATACTATGCTAGGCATTACTGATGACATGATAAAGAAGGTCAACTTTGTTTTCACAGAGTTACAGTCCCTAGGGGAAAGATTGATCAGTGAAATGGCAATGACAACACCATGGGGACACATGCCCAGCTCTAGGCAAGGACATCAGAGCAATACCAAGCCCAGTTTTCAGGTCCAGGAGGGCTTCCTGGAGGAGGTAACTTCAGAACTGGAACAAGCTGCACAAAACTTGGGCATGACAGGGAGTTTCACCCCTTGGGGTCCTCAAGTTGGTTGTGTTTGAAACAGCATGAGACAGGGACTGAGAAACACAACTGGGAAAGGAAGCAGAGTCTAGATCTTGAGGCCATGTCAGGAAATTAGGATTCATCCTTAGGCTATAGAAAATCATTGAAGGGACTTAAGTGGGAGAGTATATTAGGACTCCTTCAAGCTGCAAGTCACAAAAAATCCTAATTGAACTTGAGCAAAAAATGAGGAAATCTGCAGGCTGGTACAAGAAAAGAGACAGTTGTTTTTTCAAAGTACAAAACAGTATTCAGGCCAGGCATGGTGGCTCATGCCTGTAATTCTAGCACTTTGGGAGGTCGAGGCAGACAGATTGCTTGAGCTCAGGAGTTTGAGACCAGCCCGGGCAACATGGCAAAAACCCATCTCTACTAAGAAAAAAAAAAGTTAACCTTCCGTGGTGGCTTGTACCTGTAGTCTGAGCTACCTGTGGTGCTGATGCAGGAGGATCCCTTGAGTCTGGAAAGCCAAGGCTGCAGTGAGCCATGTTTGTGCTATTGCACTCCAGCCTGGGTGACAACGTGAGACCTTGTCTCAAAAACAAAACAAAACAAAACAAAAATAGTATTCAGTGGAAACTCTCCCTCTTAAACTTGTCTTCCAGCCGCCCACTTCCCCTCCCCACTCCAGATAACCTTACTTCAGGACATAACCATTATTGTGTATCCTGCTAGGACTATTCTATGCATCTTCAAGCATATATCTCTGTGTGTGTGTGTGTGTGTGTGTGTGTGTGTGTGTGTGTGTGTGTATAATTTTTCTACATAAATATATGTTATTACTATGAACTAATGTTAATCTTTCACCAGAGATCAGTTAACATGCATGTAACTCTTTTTTCTAGTTTATTTTAAAATATTAGAATTTCTCAGTTGTAGATTTAGCCAGAAATTATTATTATTTGGCATGAGCTTTTTCTCTATTAAAATTTAGTATACTCCTTGCAGGGGGTGGGTGTGTGAAGCAGGGGGTATGGGGATGTGGCAAAACACTGTAATCACTGAAGATCAGAGCTGTAGAAAGAAACATTGGTGTTTCCTCAGCACACTATAAGCCTTATTTGTGACGACAAAACAAAACACCCAGGGCCTCTGAGATCATCTAAACACTGAAAGAGCCTTGAGTGTTAAGAGCTGTCAGGAGACTGGGGTCTTCACTTATCTCCTGATTTTATTCTTGCCTGTTCCCTAACCCTTCCAGTCCATTTTCCAGCCTGCAGCAAAAGTGATCTTTTAGAAATGTAAATCATCTGTTAGTCCTGTGCTTCAAACTCTCCAATGGTTTCCAATGACACTTAGAATGAAATCCAACTCACTCCAGGTCATAAAGACTTATCTGATCTAGCCCCTGCCTAGGTCCCTGTCCTCATCTCCTCCTTGCACAACAGAGTCCAGTTATGTGAGTGTCACCTTGCGTCACTGCCTAGAAAAGCCCAAGATCTTGCCTGTCTAAAGGACTTTGCACTTGGTTCCCTCTGCATAGATTGCTGTTCCCTCCTATCCTACGGTTGATTTCATTCATTAGGTGTTACCACCTCAGAGAGGCTTTTCCTAACTTCCCTAACCAAGGTAGGTCTCCCCTGTGATTATCTAAAATGTAGTTTTCATCTCCTTCCACAGCATTTAATGCAACCAGCAATTATTTACTTGTCTTCATCACTGGAAAGTGACTTTGTCTCAACCACTCTTGTATTCCTAGCGCCTAGCACAGCATATAGCACAACTAGGCACTTGGCAAATACTGCTGAATAAATGAATGAGTGCAATGTGTCTTAAGCTCACTGAGCCTGATCTATAAAATGAGTGGCTTGCAGTAGCTCTGTGACTCTCACACTTATTTACACATCAGGATCACCTGGAGCGCTTTCACAAAATACAGATTCCTGGGCCCAGACCTGAGTTGCTTCTGGGTGGGGTCCAGAGAGACAATATACTTAATAACTTCCCCTGAAGACTCTGATTCAAAACCAGATGATCTGTGATGCCCTATCTGGCTCTAATATTCTGTCGATTATCCTACAGCTAGCTACATTCTTTTGGTATCATAGCTGGATTCTGATGTGAGAAGCTGTTGAGGTGGCAGCACTGGAACATCATTAAGAGAAAGCACAACTAAATCATCTCTGTGTCAAATGAGGCTAATTACACCAGCAAAACCCTCCCTGTCAGCATATGGATAAAATGCACAGTAGAAGCAGCTGGGAGAGATTTACCCACTGCCTACGCTCATTCAGCAAGATGCAAGTCAGATGAAGGAGCACTCCTTACAGAAATTCCTAAATCAGCTCGATCATCAAAAGCATTTTGATCACATTAAAATAAGTGGAATTCATCAGAAGAGAATTTGAATCTAAAAGCTTACAAGCCACCTTTCAGATCATTTTCTTGGGGGAGCTTCATATTTATATGCAAATGGTGGTTTTCTATTTTCTTTATACATAATTCCACCTAAAAGTCTCTCAGTTCCTTTCTGTAAAAGCAACAAGATTTTGAAAGCTCTTTTGTTTATTGCCATTAATATAACGGTTTCTATCTTGAAAATGGTTTTTAAAATGTAGTACATGTAAATGTACTGCATTATGTAAACATACTGCATTTTATCATTGCCTTTGTTTTTCTTTAAATATTTCTGCAGTTAACCATGAGTTATGAGAATAATACTGTTTAACATTTATTGAGGGTTACTCTGTGCCATGTACCATCCTACCACATATATCTATGGATATAGATATAATAAAGCCTCATATATATGTATAAAACCTCATTTAATTTTCTCAATAATTGCATATGGTAGACATTATTATCAGATATGGGCTAAGTTGCTCAGTATCACCTAAGTTAGGAATGGAGCTGACACTGAAATCCAGGTATACTGACTCCAGAGGCTGCTCTTTAATATTTAGCTCTGTATTTCCCAAAATATGAATTATTTAAGATTGGGGAGGGTTAGGTTAAAAAACTGGTTTCTTTAGTGTAGAATTTCTCAGAGTTTCTCAAAGCTAATTGTGCTTTACAAATATCTAAAACACAAATGCAGAATATAACATTTCCCAAGCCTCCCTGAACAAAATTGATTTGTTGTTCTTGTTTTGTTTTGTTTTGTTTTTGTTTTGACTGAATCTCTTTAGATCATTGTTCTGCAAAGAAAACTCTATGAAATGATGGTCCACAAATCAGTGGTCTACAAAGTGGTCTACCTCCCTGCCCACCAAGGCTCAACTCTTCCCCCTTTTACAGGGACTAAAAGAAGACCTGGCCAGGCATGGTGGCTCACGCCTGTAATCCAGCACTTTGGAAGGCCGAGATGGGCAGATCACCTGAGGTCAGGAGTTCAAGACCAGCCTGGCCAACATGGTGAAAACCCATCTCTACTAAAAATACAAAAATTAGCCGGGTGTGGTGGTACACGCCTGTAGTCTCAACTACTGGGGAGGCTGAAGCACAAGAATCACTTGAACCCAGGAGGCAGAGGTTGCAGTGAGCCGAGATCATACCACCGTACTCCAGCCTGGGCAATAGAGTGAGACTCAGTCTCAAAAAAAAAAAAAAAAAAAAAAAAGAAGAAGAGAAGACCTGATAGGCGAGAGGCCAGGGATAAGTTGCCAGTACATAACTGTGTCCTTTGAAAATTCTCATTCAAGTAAATTGGAAATACCTTTCTGGGGCATTAATTACATATGAAAAGCCTTTCAACCTGGAATGCTCAAGATAAAACACTAGGGTAGGAAGAAAATATTATAACTTTCATTTCAAACTCACACTTGATTTGATTTTTTTTTTCTTCCTTTTTCACAAATTTTATCAATAAAATATCCTTGGACAGATACACAAGAAACTAAAATCCTTGGATACTTTTGGAGAAAGGAATGGGGGTGTCTCAAGTTTCAAACTTACATATATATGAAATGTTGGAATGGTAACATGTATATCTGTTTGTTTGTTTTTATTTATTTATTTTAAGATGGAGTCTTGCTCTGCCACCCAGGCTGGAATGCAGTTGTGTGATCTCAGCTCACTGCAGCCTCTGCCTCCCAGGTTCAGGTGATTCTCTGCCTCAGCTTCCCGGGTAGCTGGGGCTACAGGTGCCTGCTACCACGCCTGGCTAATTTTTGTATTTTTAGTAGAGATAGAGTTTTGCTATATTGGCCAGGCTGGTCTTGAACTCCTGACCTCAGGTGATCTGCCCGCCTCGGCCTCCCAAAGTGCTGGGATTACAGGCATGAGCACGGCGCCCGGCCAACATGTATAGTATTTGTAAATATTTAATATAAGTAGATTGGAGATGGGTCCTAGTAGGTTGGTGCAAAAGTAATTGTGATTTTTGCTGTTACTTTAATCTACATATAAAAAGTATTTAATTTCTTCGTATTCTGTGACCTAGCAATTTCACTTTTTAGAATTTGTTCAATTTACTCTAAAGAAATAAACTTGTGTGTTTATAAACTATTTAGGTATAGGGATATTTATTAAAGAACTATTTGTGCTTGTGAGAATTGAAAACATTCTAAATATCCAACAATTGAGGATTGGTTATACAAATTATGGTACATCCATATAAAGAATCCTAACAGAGGGCAATAAAAAATTATTTAGTAGTAGAGTACACAGTTGCCTAGAAAAAAAGAATCCTGACTTTCTCAGTCAAAAAAACAGATGAGAAAAAATGATAGAGTTTGTATGCCTAAAAGAAAGGACTGGAATGAAAAAACTGAAATGTTAATAGTGGTAGCTTCACAGTGAGGTAAGGGGAAGATTTTGTTCTGTGCCTTTCTATGTTATCCTAACTCTTGTACAATGAATGTATATTTCGGAATAAGAATATATTTACGAGCCAGGCACGGTGGCTCACGCCTGTAATCCCAGAACTTTGGGACACCGAGGCAGGTGGATTGCTTGAACTCAGAAATTCGAGACCAGCCTGAGCAATATGGCAAAACCCTGTCTCTACAAAAAATACAATTAGCTGGGTGTAGTGGTGCATGCCTGTGGTCCCAGCTTGATCCTGGGAGGCAGAGGTTGCAGTGAGCTGAGATCGCAGCACTGCCCTCCAGCCTGGGTGACAGAGCCAGACCCTGTCTTAAATATATATATAATAAAACTTGTATATTATATATTATTGTACCCTTTGTCACACAAATAATGGCATGTAAAACACACTGTTTTGTACTTTGCTATATTGTGTAACCTTGTACACACGTTGTTTCACCCATGTAGGGGTATATCTGTAGGATACACTTCTCAAAGTGGAATTGCTGGGTCAAAGGAAATGGGCATTTGTAATTTGGACAAATGTTGCATATTGCCCCTTCAGGGTTTGAAAACAAAATCTTCTCATAGTTTCTTTTAGTATATTAGTGGTCTGGATTTCTTTTTTAACACTTCACTTTAGAGCCATTTTCATTGATATTGGCTTAATGGATACTTAATAAGAAAAGCAAATAATTTAAAATATTAAACTCACTTATAGTGGAAATCCAAGTGCTGGTTGTCCCCATCTGTTAGATCACAGGATCTAGATGCAAACAGGACATCTTGCAAAGGTTCGGCTTACACAGAGGATGAGTGACATAGCAAGACCTCTGTTCCACTGTGCACCACTTTATTTGCTTCCACACTCACCTTGTAGGGAAGAGGCAGACCCTAAGAGCTTGATTTCTACCTTCAAGTGAATTCTTTACTTCAGAAACAACTCAGGTTGCTGGTTGGATTTCCCTTCTGAAATATTGTAAGTTGCTTTAATATTTAAATAAAAACAAGTGGAATCCCCTGGAGTATTGGGGTATGTATGTATGAGCTGCATGAATTTGTGTATGGCAATATGATGGCATATAGGAAGATAATTAATTTTATTCCTGCAGAGATTCTGTAGTCTCTGCTAGTCTCTGGCAAACATAGCAGCTGTACTGAAATGTCAGATGGATTTGCGCAGCTGACTCAAGTTGCCAAAAAGAGAGCAGCATAGTTGTTCCATAAATTGACCCCATCCAGCCAAGCCCTGCTTAATATAGATCCGGCAAGAGCTTAGCTGTGATCACTCCTAGCTGCTCAGCAAACCACTGAGGTTCCTGGGAAAAAAAAAAAAATATCTCAAGGGTGTGTTAACTTGGGACACTCGTTAACTGGGGGACCTTCTTGAGGCTTTTTTCCTTCTTTTTAAAAATCATCTTTGATTATTCTTCTTTTCTAGTAAAATAATATTTAGAAAAAATAATGTCAGAGCACAGCAGAAATTCAGATCAAGAAGAACTTCTCGATGAGGAGATTAATGAAGATGAAATCTTGGCCAACTTGTCTGCTGAAGAACTGAAAGAACTGCAGTCGGAAATGGAAGTCATGGCCCCTGACCCCAGCCTTCCCGTGGGAATGATTCAGAAAGATCAAACTGACAAGCCACCGACAGGAAACTTCAATCATAAATCTCTTGTTGATTATATGTATTGGGAAAAGGCATCCAGGCGCATGCTGGAAGAGGAACGAGTTCCTGTCACCTTTGTGAAATCCGAGGTAACCAGAGATTTGTGTACAACCGAGAAATGGCTGCCTGGGATGGGCTGTTAGGTCTCTCTGTTGTAACTGTGATTTCTCAAGACTCCAGGGTTTGGTTCTGCTTTGTTTTTGCCATATCTAGATTAAACCATAATATTTAATCCTACTCCGACTGGAACTTTCTGAAACACATTTATATTTACAAGGGGAAAATTGGGTAATTTCTTGCAAATGTCTCTTTTTAAAAATTGCTGTCGGGTTTGCTGTGTCAGAAAGCCTGTGTTCTATTGCCACGATACTTAGTGACTTAACTCATAACCCAGAGGCAGTTGTCCTTACCTCTCTCTTTCTTTTTTATTGCAGGCCCCTTTGAGAAAGTAATGACAGCTCTGTAGCCTCTGTCTCTCTGGCACATCCAAACATACGCAGTGTTTCGCACACAGTGTCAAACATTTCAGTCCTCCTGAAGTCTGGCCACACAACCTGCAATTAAACCAAGTCGAATAACCAGAAAATGTCTTATATTATTACTATGTATTGGCTGTCAGTGATGACATTTAGAAATCGATGGCTATTAAGTGGTTTTGAAGCTAGTTCTTCACTTTCTAAAACCTGAAAGCTAGAATTGTTAACTCTGCAAACTTACTGTGCATGAGCATAATTTTTTTTTTTATGTTCCACTTGAAAATGACTTAACAAAAAGAGGACAGAGATGCCTCCTAGGTAAAGTCTCTTTAGGTTATGCCTGTTTACAAAGATACATCTTGTTAAATTACTCTGAAGCTGGCTGTAATTAAGGAAAGTTGTCAATTGGTTTTACAGTCAGTAGAGTTTAAACATGTGCTAAGATTAAGAAAAGAAACAGCTGGATTGATCAGGTTAGAGTTCAAGGTACAATTTGCAGATTTTTTACAACTGGAGATCAATGGATGAAAAGCCAATTCTATGTGAATGCCAGTTTCAGGGGGTAAAAACGAGTACTTGCAACATGTTTTTCCTTCCTCTGGTATAACTTGAACAGCTTGATGGTTGGCTCCCCCTTCTGGTCAAGGTGAGAAATGCAGTGGTGAAGACTTCAGGTGGTTAAGGTGACTTGTCACTGTCTCTTCTGACCTATGTTATGAGCATGAAATTTTTGCTCAAATGAACCTGTGTCTCAACTTGCTATACTGGCTTTCAAAATGATATCTATGAGGCCCACAAGTTGCATAGAAAAGCATTATAATTGATGTGCAAGAATCTAATACATATTATTGATAAAAGGCCCATTTTATTTCCCAGACTAAGCAATTATTTCTCAATGTCTGCATAATCCTGTTTCATCTTACAGCTGGCCCTGGTTCCTAGGCACTTTCTTTCACAAGAAACTGGGATAGTAAACTTGTCCTAGACAGAGTATCATGGCAGTTGTCAAAGAACTGAAAAAATAGAATCAAAATTGAGGTTTTAAATATATATATGTATATATATATATTCAAAATCAAAATTGAGGTTTTTAAATATATATATATTCCAAAATGTCAAACGTATCTAATTTCCCATACATTATGTTATGTTCTCAGAGGAAGTTCATGTACATTCTATACTAGATTAGTAGACATTGTAGGGATGTTAATTTTAGGGCAATAATTTCCTTATTCTAATATATTTATAGTATCACATTTATAATATATTGGAATAATAAGGAAATTATTGCCCTAACTCAGGACTGTTGGGTACTAGATGCCTATTTGGTAGATACAAAATCAAAGCTTCAGTGTATCGATGAACAATTCTATGAGGTTTTCAAAACAATTTTTAACTGCTTCTGAAATTAAACACCATTAAAAAGTACAGAATATTAAAATTAATAAGGTTTCCTTTTAATACTCATTTTAATTTATGGGATAGAATAACCACCCATTTTTAGCAATCAGCTATTTAAATAAGGATTATTTAAAATAGCAACCAGCTCTTTTAAATAAGCATTTTTATTATCTCCACTAGCTGATGCTCCACTTCATATTTCTTCTCTGCTATGTATTCTAACCCTCATAAACCTCTCTTGTAGGAAAAGACTCAAGAAGAGCATGAAGAAATAGAAAAACGTAATAAAAATATGGCCCAGTATTTAAAAGAAAAGCTCAATAATGAAATAGTTGCAAATAAAAGAGAATCAAAGGGCAGCAGCAATATCCAAGAAACAGATGAAGAAGATGAAGAAGAAGAAGATGATGATGATGACGACGAAGGAGAAGATGATGGTGAAGAGAGTGAAGAAACGAACAGAGAAGAGGAAGGCAAAGCAAAGGAACAAATTAGAAATTGTGAGAACAACTGCCAGCAGGTAACTGACAAAGCATTCAAAGAACAGAGAGACAGACCAGAGGCCCAAGAACAAAGTGAGAAAAAAATATCGAAATTAGATCCTAAGAAGTTAGCTCTAGACACCAGCTTTTTGAAGGTAAGTACAAGGCCTTCAGGAAACCAGACAGACCTGGATGGGAGCTTGAGGAGAGTTAGGAAAAATGATCCTGACATGAAGGAACTCAACCTGAACAACATTGAAAACATCCCCAAAGAAATGTTACTGGACTTTGTCAATGCAATGAAGAAAAACAAGCACATCAAAACATTCAGTTTAGCCAATGTGGGTGCAGATGAGAATGTAGCATTTGCCTTGGCTAACATGTTGCGTGAAAATAGAAGCATCACCACTCTCAACATCGAGTCCAATTTCATCACAGGTAAAGGGATTGTGGCCATCATGAGGTGTCTCCAGTTTAATGAGACGCTAACTGAGCTTCGGTTTCACAATCAGAGGCACATGTTGGGTCACCATGCTGAAATGGAAATAGCCAGGCTTTTGAAGGCAAACAACACTCTCCTGAAGATGGGCTACCATTTTGAGCTTCCGGGTCCCAGAATGGTGGTCACTAATCTGCTCACCAGGAATCAGGATAAACAAAGGCAGAAACGACAGGAAGAGCAAAAACAGCAGCAACTCAAGGAACAGAAGAAGCTGATAGCCATGTTAGAGAATGGGTTGGGGCTGCCCCCTGGGATGTGGGAGCTGTTGGGAGGACCCAAGCCAGATTCCAGAATGCAGGAATTCTTCCAGCCACCGCCACCTCGGCCTCCCAACCCCCAAAATGTCCCCTTTAGTCAACGCAGTGAAATGATGAAAAAGCCATCGCAGGCCCCGAAGTACAGGACAGACCCTGACTCCTTCCGGGTGGTGAAGCTGAAGAGAATCCAGCGCAAATCTCGGATGCCGGAAGCCAGAGAACCACCCGAGAAAACCAACCTCAAAGATGTCATCAAAACGCTCAAGCCAGTGCCGAGAAACAGGCCACCCCCATTGGTGGAAATCACTCCCAGAGATCAGCTGCTAAACGACATTCGTCACAGCAGTGTCGCCTATCTTAAACCTGTAAGTAGAAGGAGGGAGAAATGGTGACTGAGCACCCTCCATAGTAAATGCATCCCAACTTTATTCCCTCTCTGTTTTAACATAAGGGGATACTCACTAATTGAGACCAACTGGGGGAAGCCAATGAGCATTACCAATAGAACTAAATTACTGCTATCCCTAAGGATGTACACCTGTAGCACCCCATCTCTAGGTACGCCTATATGACTTCTGTAACAACGATATTAGCAGCTAACATTTAGGGAGCATTTACTATAGGCTGGAGTTGTTATATGAATTAACTCATGTAATCATCTTACTAACCCTATAAGCTAGGTACTGTTATTCTCCCCATTTAATAAAAAGGATACTGAGGCTTAGAGAATTTAATAACATGTGGAGGAGACACAGCTAGGAAGTGGTAGAGCTGACATTGAAACCCGGTTCTGAGTCTAGAGTCAAGCTTTAATTCACCTCTTCTTCTGACCTCTTCAAGTGCATATTCAAAAGAACACCATTCCAGCCACAATGGAGCTGACACTCAGAGATCCCTAGGAACCTACAGTGAGGAATAAATAAGAATGAGGCCAGGCCGGGCGCATTGGCTCACGCCTGTAATCCCAGCACTTTGGGAGGCCAAAGCAGGTGGATCACAAGGTCAAGAGATCAAGATCATTCTGGCCAACATGGTGAAACCCCATCTCTACTAAAAATACAAAAATTATCTGGGCATGGTGGCGGGCACCTGTAGTCCCAGCTACTCAGGAGGCTGAGGCAGGAGAGTCACTTGAACTTGGGAGGCGGATGGTGCAGTGAGCGGAGATTGCACCACTGTACTCCAGCCTGGTGACAGAGCGAGACTCCATCTAAAAAAAAAAAAAAAAAACCACCCAAATTGGGCCAGTTGTTTGTAGATAATGGAATGCTTCCAAAATGCATAGAAACAGTTCTTTTTAGTAGATGAAGAGAGACTGTTCGAAATTGCATTTGTATTGCTCACTTTTTAGGCAGATAAATGTTGAACTTCAGGTTGGTGTCACCATGAATTCACGGAGTTTTAAAATCACTATTTCAATTTAACATTTACCATGATCCACGATTACTGCCGAGTGGAAAAGTTATTTTCCGTGCAACTTAAGTTGCAGAAATGAAGATATTTTGGTCATTATTATGATGGCGTTTATTGAGGTTGAAAGATGTGTTCAGAGGCCGCAGGTGATTGATAATTAACTATATTATTTTAAAATCTCCTGTAATATAGCCACGAGATTATGTTGGCAGAATAGTCTGTATATTATTTTGTTACACAGATTCATGTTTTTTCAAAACATGTTGAATTTTTATGCATGCTTGCTCTTTTTCTGCTTTAAAGAGCTTGATATTCTGAAATAATTGCTAGTCTTTCACATATGTATCGTCCTTATTCCCAACTCCTAGAATGGAGAATTATCAATAGCCCATTCTTCTAAATCAAAGCTGACTTTCATCTATGATTTAGAGAGGCTCTGATTCTTCCTGGAGCAGTGGCCAGGGTGAGAACGCTGGAGGTCACATGAGGTCAGACAATGGTTCTTTGCCTGCCCTTGGGCACAACATCAAGACTTTCTGCACCTGCTCTTCTCTGGACAGCCAGAACTCCCCTAGGAATGAATTGGGGTATTGTTTGAGAGAAACTAGTTCTACCACTTTTCCAGTAACTAGTCATTGGCAAAGAATATTCAAGCCACCTTGGTGGCTGTACATTCAGAAAAGAGCAGTCTGAAAAGAATGATGAGACGTCTTTTGAAAAAATCTGTGCCAAAGGTGGCATGTAAGTTCGGAGTAGAAGAGGGAATGAAGTTCAGAAGAGCATCTGAACCAACTCCCTGACTTCTGAGTGCTCTGCTGAGCAAATCCATTTTTCCTGGGTCAATTCCATTCTATCCATTCACTTATTTGTTAATCTAACAAATATATATGTCAGGCAGATGAGAAGGATTGGGGATATAGTGGTAAGTCAGGTTCAGTCTCGACCGCACACAGAGCTTACAGTGTAGGTTTAATTTTTCACCCCTCTGCCTTTTACTCAACTGAGAACACTACAGTTTTGGGTCTAGAGTCTAGGACAAAAGACATTAAAATAAATTCATGATGATAATTGCAAGAATAAAACACCCCACCAAGCACTGCATTTTTCATATTTTAATCAATTCAAAACTACTACCAATTTTAAGTGTATTTGGTGGTGGTGTTTTAAAAAAAATAATTCAAGAAAAACATGCCGCAAAGTGAACTCTGACATGCTTTTTGAATGACAATCTTGCATATCACCCTCGGTTTTGAAAGGGCTTCATTTATTCTGAAGGATTGGCAATTTCTCCTGCCTTCAGTTGCCTGGCTTGGCCTGTGACAGATCTGTTTGCATGTGTCTCAGTTACAAAATGTCACACAACTTCATCTATTCGGTCCTGGAAAACACTCGGCAAGAAAAATATGAAAATGCCTCCTTGCACTAATGAAAATTTGCTTCACTAATATCAGATTGCTTCCCAGCACTCTGTTTCTGTGCCTTTCTGCATGTACTATAAATTTCTGCTTTAAAGCCAAAACATAGTATAATCTTTTAAAAGATATTTTAATTTTTTTGTTTTGTTTTGAGGTCATTTTAGACTTACAGAAGGTCAAAAGTAGTACAAAGAATTCTTGCATACCCGTCTCACTTTACCACATTTGCTTACTTATCTTTCTTTAAAAGCTATTTTAAGAGGCAATACATCTGTGTGTGTAGTATCAACAGGGCACATGACTCAATGGAGGTAATAATAGTATGAGTAGCTATGATGTGTTCACACTTGGGTCTCCAGCCAACTATTGTAAAACACCATCGATTTTAAGATGGATTCTGATTTCAGAGCTGTTGAAATGTCCCAAAATATACATCTTAGACTCAAAGTACAGTAAACACTATAAATGGTAATGTCACAAAATCTCAGCAGAAAGGGATAGTTTTAGCCAATCAAGTGAGACAAGACAATGTTCACTTGATAGAGGTGAAATGAAGGGTTTTGGGGATTTGGGACAGATACCCTCCAAATCCCTGGATTTTCAAGAACGAGGTTAAAATTAAAACACAGTTTTGAAACCTTGTGGGGTTCTCTGTGTGTGTATGATGTTACTAAAGAGAACATTATTCAGAAACAAATTTTTTTCTTAGAAAAGTTTTGTGTGTGTGTGTGTGTGTGTGTGTGTGTGTGTGTTTGAGGCAGGATCTCACTCTATCACCCAGGCTGGAGTGCAGTAGCTCAATTATGGCTCACTGCAGCCTCAACCTCCAGGGCTCAAGTGATCCTCCCACCTCAGACTCCTGAGTAGCTGGGACCGCACTCACCACACACGGCTAATTTTTTTTTGTTTTTTAATTTGTAGGGATGAGATCTCACTATGTTGCCCTGGCTGGTCTCAAATTCTTGAGCTCAAGTGATCCTTCCGCTTCAGCCTCCCAAAGTGGCGGGATTACAGGCATCAGCCACCATGCTCGACAGAAAAATTTTTTTAAATTGTAGTTACTGGCTGGGAGCGGTGGTTCATACCTGTAATCTCAACAGTTTGGGAGGCCAAGGCAGAAGGATTGCTTGAGCCCAGGAATTCAAGACCAACATGAGCAACAAAACAAAGTGAGATCCTGTTTCTACAAAACATTTTTAAAAGTTAGCCTGGTGTGATGGCATGCACCTGTGGTACCAGCTACACAAGAGGCTGAGGCAGGAGGATCACTTGAGCTCAGGAAGTCAAGGCTGCAGTGAGCCATGTTTGTGCCACTGCACTACAGCCTGGGCAACAGAGTGAGACCCTGTGTGAAAAATAAAAGTAGTTATTTTCCTTATAGATTTGGAAATATTACTTTTGTATTTGATAGAGCACATGTATTTTAAAATTCTTTTTTAGGCTGGGTGCGGTGGCTCACACCTGTGATCCCAGCACTTTGGGAGGTCGATCACTTGAGGCCAGGAGTTTGAGACCAACCTGGCCAACGTGGTGAAAACCCATCTCTACTAAAAATACAAAAATATTCGGGTGTGGTGGTGCTCGCCTGTAATCCCAGCTACTTGGGAGGCTGAGGTATGAGAATCACTAGAACCTGGGAGGTGGAGTTTGCAGTGAGCCAAGATGGTGCCACTGCACTCCAGCCTGGGCGACAGAGCGAGATTCTGTCTCAAAAATTTTAAATTAATGCTTATTCTCTCCCTACCCCACGCTTCTGGCCTGGGATACCTGAAATGAAGTTGCTGGCAAAAAAATAAAGGAAAATCCATATACTTGCTTTGCTCAAATGCTTCCTCCTCTGAGAAATTACCCATTCAATTCAGTTTAAAAGAAGTTTACTCCGTGGGCCAGGTATTGAAAACTGGTAAAGCATGAGGTCAGATCTGGTAAAGCATGAGGTAAAGCAGGCCCACTTTATTTAGCTTGGGTATCATTGTGTAAGTTTTTGAATGTCACATGCAAAAAAATCCAGATATCTAGCACCACTTGGAACATCAGATCTGGCCACACTGCACTTGCATGGAAAAAATTAGCTGTTTCTATGCATTGGTTTCATCCTTGAGAATGCTCATGGACCCTCTAGTTTTTCTCTTTTGCCCTTACTGCTTTGTACCTGGCATGCTTCACTCATTTACATGACTTATCTGGCTTCTGTAGAATTTTTTTATTATGCTCTTGTTGTTTTTAGCTATGTTTTTAAAAATCTTTGTCTTATCTAACAAACTGAATTTATTGGATAATGACTAAATCATTTCCCTATGAGTTAATAAAGCTGAGTCGTATGATAACACAAAGACATTAGGCTGGTATAGGCCTATCCCTCCCTGACAAATGTGTGATATTCTTTCATCTTCAAAAATCTTGTGGTCTGCTCACTCCTACCATCTCAAATGAGTGTTTGTACTTTTCACTGAGATAAAATCCCATTTGCAGCAACTGTCTAATTCCCTGAGGCCAGCTGCATTTTGTATCATATCCAAGCTTCTGTGCCAATCACGCAAGATAACTATTTTAACATTCACTCAATTTCACTTCAGGCTTACTCATGTATATCTGGACTGCTCCCATCCAGTTGGCTAAAGCCATTGCTAAATTTTCCTCCAGAAAGACTTCAGTATAATAATATCATGGGCCGCCTTAGTACATCAAAAGACTCCATGACACATTAGGGGTTGTTATGATTACAGAACTGAAGTTTACAAACCCTTCAGCATTCATCTTCATCACTGGCCATTTCTTCTTTGCCTCATTTATGAGGTCTTCTTTCTCTTTAGCCAGATTCTCTAGATTCTCTCCTTTTGTACTTTTCTCCTCTTTCTCATCACATAATGGGAAATTTTCTCCTCTTTCTCTTGTCACATAATCTAGAACAATTCCCAAATCTCCCTTTCCCTTTAGATCACTCAGGGTTTTCTTAGCACGTTCAATCTGTCCCCAAACCAAGCTGCTCATTTTTAGGCCTAGTGGTTGCTTCTGGTTCCCAGTTTTCTGTCTTATCTCCATTCTGTCACGCATTCAGGTCTGAAACTCCAGGGTTACCTTCTACTTCTTTTTCTTCCTTCGACCCCTCCTCCCCCATTTTTAGGACCTCCAATAAAGAAACCAGGATGATCTATAAAAGCCAAAGCCAAACATAGATCATAGCTTTGGAAATGTTACAATTCTAATGAAGGGAGCCTCCATAGGAAAAAAGCAATGTAACATTTCAAGCTCATCAAGAGCACGTATAATCCAGGAATTATATAAACCAGAATTGCTTGCCTTTGATGTGTAGTGGGAAAAAAGGTTTTTTATACACTTTTCTAAAGTCCATATAGTGATTCTCAAATGTTATTGTGGATCAAAATCACCTAAAGGGCTAAATACAGATTACTGAGTCCACTGACAGAGTCTCTGATTCAGTAGGTCTTGGATGGGGCCTAAATATTTGCATTTCTGACAAATTCCCTGGTAATGCTGCTGCTGCTTATTCTGGGACCACATTTGACAATCACGACTCGGTGACATCTATGGTAAACCATGTCTGCTGCTGTCTTCCCTGAAGGGCCTTGCTTTCTTGCCTCTGTACCACCCTTTGCCTCAAATTACCTTTTCTTCTATCTCTGTTAGAATCTATCCAATTTCCAAGGCTTGACTCAAATGCTACTTCTTACAAAAAAACGTTAGGGGTACTCTGCCTGTGTATTTCCATTACCTTTTTTGTCCACACCTCTTTTATAGCACCTCCCACATTCTGCTTCAGGTTGACAGCCCTTCTGGCCACAGTGGTGGAAAGACTTTGAGCCTTACAGGATTCTGAGTTCTTCAAAGCAGGTCTTGCTCATCTCTGTCCTGGACATCCACTGAGGTGTTGGTCCAGAGCAGGAACTTAATACAGGTAGACCAAATTAAATAGCCTGTGCTGAAACCAACTTTCCCACCCGCTCTGCCTCCAAGCCTCTGAGTGTATGCGTATGTGTGCACTGTGTGATGCTAGACACACACACACACACAAGCACACTAGACATACTTTCTTTGAAAACTAACAAGCAAAGGGGAAAAAGGCTCCCTACCAATAACACAAGTTGATTTTCTTCTGTTTGTAAGTTTTACATTTTTATGACATCATATCTAGCTATTTTTATGATTTCTACCTTTTGTATTCTGCTTAGAAATGGCCTCTTTGAAAATGATTAAAATGTGTGCCTGCCTTTTCTTGCAACTTTTATAGTTTTTGGTTTTTAAAAAATATTTGATATTATGGATAGATTAAAGGGTTAATTTTTAAAGTCAGTAGAAAGCAAGAAGGCTATTTCATTATTTCTTTTCCAAATAGTTAACCAGTGATCATTTAGTGACTGATTCCTCTTTTCCCCAGTGATCTGAACTACCAGCTTGGTCATACTTTAAAGTAAATATGTGTCTGGGTTTACTATTCTGGGTCAGTGCCACATTTTCTTTTTAAAATATTATTCTGGGCTGGGCATGGTGGCTCACACCTGTAATACCAGTACTTTGGGAGGCCAAGGCAAGAGGATCACTTGAGTCCAGGAGGGCCTGGCTGCTTTGAGTTATCATTGCACCACTGCGCTCCAGCCTGGGTGACAGTGAGATCCTCATCTCTCTAAATAATTAAAAAATTTTTAAATTTAAAATATTATTTTGGAACTCTTCCATGCATATATAAACAAATACAGGGAATAACTTATATAAAATGCTTCTTTTTCCATTCCATAATACAAAGAACACAGTGTTTTAACTATTTATTGCAGCTTTACAGTTATTTTAAATACCTGGCTCATGGTTTCTCTTAACTACTGGTGTTCTCCATGGGAGAGCCCTGCAGGGTGCAGTCATACCCCTCTCTTCTCAAAGTTTGGCACAAGGGAGGTAGAGGGTCAGAAGCCATGGAAGTCCCCTTGGCTTGAAGGCTGGCAGGCAGCAGCACATCAAAGGTCCTCTCTGGTGGGCAGAATATTGGAAAAACATTCCTAGCCAAAGATCGTGGGCTGAGAACTGGCTGCAAGAGGAGCCAGAGCAGATGACCAAAATGGTTCATCACACTGGCAGGTGGACATTAGCAATACAGGGAGAAACATTCCTAGTCATTGTTATACAAATGCCCTGGGGACACTGGGCATCTTCAGTGTCCTCTGGAAGGTACATACATGATGGATGAGTTGATGAGTTACTTTCCTAAGATACAATGACACTTGAAACCCTTTAAAAACTTGCTTTGTCCTTAAGGTTTTCCTATGAGGCAGAAGTATGAAGTGGGTTTGCAGTGTTGGACTTCTGTTGTTGTTTTATAATTTTTTTTTGTCTTGGGGGATGCTTTAAATATATATATATATATATATATATTTTTTTTTTTTTTTTGAGATGGTGTCTCTGTTGCCCAGGCTGGAGTGCAGTGGTGGGATCCCAGCTCAAGGCAACCTCTGCCTCCCGGGTTCAAGCAATTCTCCTGCCTCAGCTCCCTGAGTAGCTGGGATTACAGGCACGTGCCACCACGCCCAGCTAATTTTTGTATTTTTAGTAAAGACAGGGTTTCACCCTGTTGGCCAGGCTTGTCTTGAACTCCTGACCTCAGGAGAACCGCCCACCTCGGCCTCCCAAAGTGCTGGAATTACAGGCGTCAGCCACCGCGCCCAGCCTTGTTATAAAACTCTTTTAAGAAAATCAGGTGGCTGGGTGCGGTGGCTCACACCTGTAATCCCAGCACTCTGGGAGGCCAAGGTGGGTGGAGCACCTGAGGTCAGGAGTTCACGACAAGCCTGGCCGACATGGTGAAACCCCGTCTCTACTAAAAATACAAAAATTAGCTGGGCGTGGTGGCATGCACCTGTAGTCCCAGCTACTTGGGAGTCTGAGGCAGGAGAATCGCTTGAACCTGGGAGGCAGAGGTTGTCTTGAGCCGGGATCATGCCACTCCACTCCAGCCTGGGTGACAGAGTAAGACTTTGTCTAAAAAAAATAAAATAAAAATCCTAACAAGGTGAGATGGGTCTCACTTTGTTGTTCAAGCTGGTCTCGAACTCCTGGCCACAAGTGATTCTCCCATCTCAATCTCCTGAGTAGCCAGGATTACAGGTGCATGCCCCCTTGCCTGGCTTATATTTCATGTTTAAATATTTCTGACCATCAGATTAGGAGTGTGCTTCAAAGAGGAAAGACATGTTTTAAAAAGAACATATATTTTATATTCTTATAGTGATATTTTTACAGGCAGTGTATAATAATGAGCACTGAAATCAGGCAGACCTGGTTCAAATCCTGCTCTGCCACTTCCTAGCTGTATGATCTTAGGCAAGTTATTGTCTTCTCTGAGCCATTTCTCTCCCTACAAGGCTTTTGTAGGATGTAATGAGATACTGTTTTAAAAATAAGTGTTAGGCCGGGTGCTCATGCCTGTAATCTCAGCACTTTGAGAGTCCGAAGCAAGTGAATCACTTGAGGCCAGGAGTTTGAGACCAGCCAGGCCAACATGGTGAAACCCTGTCTCTACTAAAAATACAAAAATTAGCTGGGCATTGGTGGCACATGCCTGTAATCCAAGCTACTTGGGAGGCTGAGGCAGGAGAATCGCTTGAACCCGGGAGTTGGAGGTTGCAGTGAGCCAAGATGGTGTCACTGCACTCCAGCCTGGAAGATAGACTGAGACTCCATCTCAAAAAAAAAAAAAAAAAAAAAAAAAGTGTTAACATGGATTACTCACTTGTATAATAGCCTTGTGAATTAGATACTGTTATTATCATTTTACAGCTGAGAAAACTGATGCCCAACACCACATAACTACTACATGCTAGTGCCAGTCTTTGAACCCAGGCCAACTTAGGCACCCGCCCTCTTATTTCCATGATGTTACTTTGCCATGTGCTCAAAGCTCTTGGAACAGTCCCTGGCATTAGTAAATGTCTAATAAATGGTGGCTGTGGTTATGATTGTTGTTTTATCTTGATTTTGGAGGTGCTTTGGCCAGAATTTCAAACCTATTCTGTATCTTTTAAGGCATGTAAATTTTGTAAATTTTGCTGCAAAGCTCTTAAATTTCCAGGATTAATTTCCCCCGTTTCCTCAAATGCTTAAATCGCAGGTGCAACTGCCAAAAGAACTGGCGTAAGAGGCAACAGAGCCATCTAGAAGAACAAGAAATGGAAATAGTGACTCTTGGATTACAGCATGGAGACTATGTCAGCAGCAATACTTTAGGATCCACGTGGCAGAACTGGAAACAATGCTACCATCTGATAAGGGTATTTGTAAAAGGCAGAATGTTTGGGCCATGAAGAAGTAGGGGCTGAAGAGGAAGGTGGAAGGAGATAAAATATAATATTTAGAGGCAATATTTTCTACTTGCAATCAATTTGAGTGACTCAGGTGAAATTTAGAGTCATATTTCCCGAAGCAGAAGTTAAAGAAAATTTTTTAAACATTTGCTTTATTATTGTTTTCTTCTGGTAAATAATAAATATAACAGAAGTGTTAACTATTGTATTCCCATTTTTTTCTCCTTCCATCTCTTCTGCGGTAATTCATCACATAGTATCTTAAAGGGAACAAATAATGTTTCATCCTATGGAAATGTGAAGGATGAATTGAGCTCCTGGCCCTTCTGATGCTTTGAAATGGAAGGATTGTTCCTTAGAGCTTCTCTGCAGAATCAGTGGAGATTTTCAGTTTCCCACCCTGCCTGGCTTTCTCTCTTGGTGACTCCCTTGGTGTTTTGGAGTATTCTTTCTATAGGGGTACCTGTGAGGGGCAGAACACGTAAGCCACAGAACATGGTGAAAACTAAGTGTCACTAGGAAAAGTAATGGGAAAGTAAACCCTGCATATATGAAAACTTCCTGGCAGCAAGTTTTCATATATAGAGGGACAATGGGAGACAGCATGCTGTTTTTATAGAAAAGAAGTTTTACATAATATAGTTATTGACAAGCTTTTGGTTTTGGCTAAATACACACACACACACACACGCTCATATGTGTTTACTCTGTAAGTCTAATTTGATTTTATCACTCTCAAACATATTTTAAAGGAAACTTGCTTACAGGAAGGATTAAACTTGAACTACTTATCCTATTCTTTAAGGCACTCCATTGCCTGGCCCCAATTTACTAATCCTGTCTTATTTCCCACAAATCCTTTATACTCTACTCGATGAAACATCCTTGTGCACACCCTTGTGCCTTTGCTCGCATTAATCCTTCCAAGAGACTTCCCTCCTGTTCTCCATTAATGAACGTCCTACCCAGTCTTCAACTCCCGGGTCAGATCCTGTGTCCTCCATAAAAAATTTTCCAGACAACTCCAATCTGTCCTTCTTCCAAGTTCCTAGAGGCCTTAATTATTCATTCTAGCCACTAGGTGCATAGAATTTGAGATTTTTGTAATAATAGAAGTAGTGTGAACCCTAGAAATTAGAAAATCAAGCTTTGGGCCAGGTGCGGTGGCTCATGCCTGTAATCCCAGCACTATGGGAGGCCAGGGAGGGAGGATCTCCAGAGGTCAGGAGTTCGAGACCAGCCTGGCCAACATGGTGAAACCCCGTCTCTATTAAAAATACAAAAATTAGCTGGGCATGATGGCAGGCACCTGTAATCCCAGCTACTCGGGAGGCTGAGGCAGGAGAATTGCTTGAACTGGGGAGGCAGAGGTTGCAGTGAGACAAGATCACGTCACTGTACTCCAGCCTGGGTGACAGAGTGATACTCCATCTCAAAAAAAAAAAAAAAAAAAAAAAAAAAAAAAAAAAAAAAAACCTTTGGTGCCTTTTCTCTCTTCTTTACCTGAGTAAATAATTGGCACCTGCCTTCTTTCTCCTTTTATGTTATCATAAGTGGCATGTATCAAACCAAACAGGCTAGGGGAGAATAGGTCTAATTGTGACAGACTTAAAAACAACACATTATTTGGAAAGACAAGCCATGGGAAAGAAATATGGCGTTTCTATTTTTTTAAGATAATTTAGTATGTACAAAAGTATCCAAATTTAAATATAGTTTTCAATGGCTGATAGTTTTGTTTTCTCACCCTTCAATATTTCTAGAAAACATCCTTGCATACAAAGCAGGATAGCTAAGAAAGGGCTGTAACAAACAAAACTTCAAGTGTCTAGCACATACTACATCTAAGAGGCTAAACTCTGATAGGAAAAGCACTTTAAACATAATTAAAAGCTTAATGTAAATTAGTAGTTGAAATTCTAGGCCGGTGCGGTGGCTCATGCCTGTAATCCCAGCACTGTAGGCGGCCGAGGTGGGTGAATCACATGAGGTCAGGAGTTCAAGACCAGCCTGACCAACATGGTGAAACCCCATTTCTACTAAAAAAAAAAAAAAAAAAAAAAAAAAATACAAAATTAGCCAGGCATGGTAGCTCATGCCTGTAATCCCAGCTACTTGGGAGGCAGGAGAATCACCTGAACATGGGAGGTGGAGGTTGCAGTGAGCTGAGATTGCACCATTGCACTCCAGCCTGGGCAACAAGAGCGAAACCTCATCTCAAAAAAAAAAAAAAAATTCTAGAAAGCCCCTATGCATTTGTTTGTATAGCCACAGTATTATTAAAGTCAGGAATTTCAAAATGCACAGTAAGAGGGTTTTTATCTTAGATATACAAGAAGAAAAGATGATCCAATTTCATAGCTTATGGCCTCAATACACAGGTTTTGCCAAAAGAGGTGAAGCAGTTCACATTATGCTTTTTCTACCACCCAACCCTAAAGATCTTAGTTGCAGATTTTAGCTTGTTTTTAAATGTAATCATAATTTACAACATTTATATGTTACATTTTTCTGTTATTACCCTTCCAGAATTGACTACTGGCCATTAGTAATTACAGGTATCTTTTTTTTTATTAGTTTCTCCAAATTTATTGGATTTTATCGGCAGAATTCACCTTGTAGAAAATGGAATGGGCTAACATGTATATAAAACTGGGCTAACATGTATATAAAACTCGTGCCAGGTTTAAAAATAGGATCCCACTGGAATTGTTTTATTCTGGCTGCAAGTTAATAAAGTATTCAAGCTTTACTAAACAGTATTTGAAACAGCTGAAGTGTTTGCTTCACTGTTTATAGGGTCGTCGCCAAGTTTCTCAGGTATTTAAGACAGATGTGCATTAAATAAAGTCTCACCAAAAAAACCTTTAATCAATTTTATTCTTCATATGTGGGTAAGGGTACAGATTCTAGACCATGTCTGTGAAGTCATGGTGATATCACTGTGCTAAAGATCATGGCTGTAGGTTGGCTGAGAATTTAAAATGCAAGAAAAATCAGAAGCAGCACATCATTGCTTCTTATTCTAGGACATACAGAGAGTTTCTTCAGTAAGTACCACTCCAGTTGTCTTCACAATTTAATGCTACAGAAACCTAAATGTTTCTACTTCAGCTACGAAATCATTCAATTGGCAGGCAAAACATTTTTTATTACCTATTTATAAAAACATGAGAAAGGGAGGAAAAATAATAGAATGTATAAACTCATGCTATCATAATTCTAATGTCTAGCTATAAAGGCATATGGTTGTAACAATTGCTATCTAAAATTTTTTATTAGCTGCAGTAGCTGCATTCCATTTTCATTACCATTTTTTAAAGTCTTTTTGCTTGGTCATCTAAAGACGTTTTTCAAATTTCAAAAGATCAGCTATTATTGTCCTCCTTGTGCCCCTAAGGAATTAATAAAATGCACATTCATTTCCTTCTTTCTAAATGTTCCAGTTAAAAACGAAACAATGCAAAAATGGCAAACATTTTCTTGGACCATTTTTTTCACTGTAACAACAAAAAATGTGCAAGGTAAATAGAACTCAAGTTTTGTTTTATTTTTTGTCTGTTTGTATTTTAATAAGTCCGTCCAGAATAATACAGGTTACATAGCTGTAACCATCTTAAGGAAAATGACATTAAGTTTGCAACAAATACTTGCTGGTGAAAACACATTACTAGCATTTCAAAAATTTACAAAAATGTAACAAAATATCCTAAACAGCTATCTTTATATTTGTAAAGGAAGTATGAACAACTGGCTTAACCAGTTTCCACTGCACATCAAACAGGTGGCAAAGTGATAGAGATCATCTTTGATTTTTAAGAGAATAATAAAAACTAATTTATATCCCACACATTACAATTCTAGGGGATTAGGAACAGGCTAACACATGATGTCATCTACTTTAACAGCCTTTTCATTTACTCGTATTGTCTTGATACTTTACAATGATTTTTTTTTTCCTATAAGATAATCGTATTGTTGCTGTAAAAGCCGTAATTCTTTTATTTTTTTTAATTCCCTTAAAGAAATCGTGTGATCCATTTCCCATTAGATTTCATAAACACACGTGAAACTTCAGACACAATAGGAGGGTGGTGGTTTTCTTTCGGTTTCTGAGGTCTTCTCTCTGAAACATCAGAGCTGATAATAGTTCGGCCTATACATGCATGCTGCCATAGATAATTGGGTGGTACGTGCACCTCCTGTTTCAAAAACGCAAGCAGAACATAGGTCTGGACAAGGGCAAGCTGCAACTCAATTTCTGCTGCAACCCTAGCTCAGGTAAGTTATGTTTATTCCTTCACTTTGCTGATATAGTCAGTGAGTCTGTTGATGCCTTCTTCCTGCTGTTCTAGGGCATCCAGGACAATGCCCATCGGTGTCCTCTTCAAACCTATTCCTTCCATTTTATTCTCCAGTTTGTTCTTGAGGTTCCGAAGTCTCAACGATGCATGGATAAACATCACTGCAGAGAAGGGACACCTGGTTAACACCAAAGCAACAATTCTCTTTTGCCATATCAATATTACACTCCCTCTCTTCACACTATTAGTAAACTGCCTTAGTTAGCCACAGTCCAGTCTGCTTCTCGAATTGATGCAAGCTTTCAAATGGCTCCTTGGACTTTATGTAAAGCTCTCCATCAAGTCATACATAGTTTTTTTTCTGCATTAAAGGAAAATGCTGTATTCAACAGGAAGGACCATTATCTGGAAGCCACACCCTTTCCTTCACACACTGATATCATCACCTTGCAGATGCTACTTAAATGTCCTGAAATTCAGAGTGAATCAACGGGATTCCATCCTACTTAAAAATCAACTTACCCGAGGCTTTCCAGAAAAGAACTCTTGCTCGATTCGGGATTATCTGTATCTTGTTCCCTGCAGGAGCACGTGAGTAAAGTCCACTTTTAAAGTGCCTCCCGGAGGCTTTACCCAAAGTGTTGGGTATAGAATTCTAGATGTAAAAATCTAAGGGCTTTACAGAGTTTCTATAGCCTACCGTTCCCCAAACTTGCTTGATTATTTTACCACAGATTCCCTATCCCCTTTCCTGGACCTCCTCCACCTGAGCCTTAAAGAGACAGGCCTGGGAATCTGTATTTTAAACAGGTAACCCTCTCTCCATATGATCTATACCAGTGGTTTTACAACTTCCATGTACATTCAAATCACCTGGAGAGCCTGTTAAATAGGCAAATTCCT
This sequence comes from Homo sapiens, assembly GCF_000001405.40. Lineage (NCBI taxonomy): Eukaryota > Metazoa > Chordata > Mammalia > Primates > Hominidae > Homo > Homo sapiens. The sequence continues at coordinate 69,103,721 of NC_000003.12, read as the reverse complement.
GGTCTCCATCACCCCAAATTCAGACTGTTACAACTGAGGGAAGGCTCCAGAATTCATTATTTTAATAATCACTCCAGATGATTCTGATGTAGGTGGATCTTGGACCCTTATTTTGAAAAACCCTGATGTGGATTCATCTGGAGGATCTCAACCTAGACCACCCGTTAGAAATAGTTGACGAGCTTTCTAAAAACCTAACATCCTTGGGTACCACTGTTGACCCACAAAATAAAGATGTGGCTGGGAAATGTATATTTTTAAAAAGTATCCTGAATGCTTGTCACAATTATCCGTTTGGGAATCACTTATCTAATCTCCTTACTTTAGAGATGAGTGAACTACAGCCCATATAGGATGACTGGTCCAAATCACATGCTGGTTTCCAGCAGGTCTAAGAATAGAAATCAGGACTCTTAACTGTCTACCTCTGATACATTTCGTTACACTGGCCTGTCTCAGGTTCTGATGTGGAAAGGTATTAAAATTAGCAAGCTGTTTGATTAAACAGTATCATTGAAATACTAAGCGTTAAGCACCTACAGAAAACCTGAAGAAAATTCCAAAAATGTGTGAATTTGTTGGCTCAGATATTTTATCCAATAGGGTATGGGATGTATCCATAAATATTCTGGACTTAATCTAACAAAGCCCTAAACAAGCAAATAATTTCATTTAGTGGAATAAGTGCACATGTCAAATGTTATTGAAAGTTAAAGGGATGTGCCTGTCACTTAATATACTAGAATTTTAATCAGATTTCTGCTGATTAGGCTGGGATTTTATTTCTTGTCTATTTCAGGCTTCAAGTGTTTGGAGTCTTAGTAAATAATTCATGTAAAACTTAGAGAATATCTAGATCTCTTCACCAGAATCTGAGTATTTAGTACCTATATTCTGAGCCAATTATTCCTATAGACTTACCAAACTTTTAACACTAGTTATGATCTCCTGAGCAAGTGGAGAATAAATAGTCTACTTCCAAATAATAAATACATTCATTCCTGTGTCAGGACAATAGGAATGGCACTTAAAAATTGAGAATAGACTCTCTTATTAGACAAATCTGGAGTCTAGTGCAGGTTATGCCACATTCCTGCTGTATGACCTGGGATTTGTCTTTGTTCTGTTTACTGTTGTGTCCCCATAAGAATGTATGGCACACAGCTGGGCGAAGTGGCTCACGCCTGTAATCCCAGCACTTGGGGAGTCCAAGGAAGCTAGATCACTCAAGCTTGGGAGTCCGAGATCAGCCTGGGCAACATAGTAAAACCCCGGTCTCTACCCAAAACACAAAAAATTAGCTGGGTGTGCACCTGTGGTCCCAGCTATTCAGGAGGCAGAGGTTGCAGTAAGCCGAGATAACACCACAGCGTGGGTGACAGAGTAGACCCCATCTCAACAACAACAAAAGAATGTATGACACATAGCAGATGCCCCAACAAATATTTGTGGAATTAATGAACTATAAGGCCTTGACCTCATAGTTCTTGACCTCAGTTCTGTGTTATCTGGGTCTAGTTGGATAACAAGTAGAAAGCTGTTTTAGAAAATTCTGACACTTTTGCTGACATGCCAACACATATAAGAAATGGGTTATGGAATTCCCGTTGGATAATTGCTTCTACATTTTTTTGATGATGGAAGAAAAAACTCAAGTTCACTTACACAGCAAAGGAAAAGTAATGCCAAACACAAAGACCATGACTCCTCCAAACATGGAGATAAGGAAATAGCTCGCCAACATGACCACCATAACGAACGTCGTGGGGTAGCGCTTCTTCATCCGGCGAAGGACGTCTTTATTGTGGGCTGCCCACACAAACCCTGTGAACACCAGCACCACCACGATTCCTCCCAGGATCATGTTGAAGGGACTCAGAAACCTGAAATATGAGGAAGAAAAAATGAGGGGTGACTAGTTCAGCAATAGAAGTAGCAAAAGGAGAAAGAGGAGTAAAAACAATTATTGAGAACTTACTAATACTTTAATACTTTATCTAAATTGTCTCATTTGATTTCTCATAACCTTATAAAGGAGATACTATTAGTTCATTTCTCAAATGAAGAAGCTAAGGCACAGAGGTTAGAAAATGGTGGGGAAGGCCAGGAATGGTAGTTCACACCTATAATCCCAGCACTTTCAGAGGCCAAGGTGGGAGGATCACTTGAGCCCAGGGGTTCAAGACCAACCCAGGCAACATGGCAAAACCCATCTCTACAAAAATATGAAAATTAGCCAGGTGTGGTGGCACACACCTGTGTTCCCAGCTACTCAGGAGGCTGAGGTGGGAGGATCACTTGAACCTGGGAGGTTGAGTCTCCAGTGAGCCAAGATTCCCCCACTGCACTCCTGGCTGGGTGACAGAGTGAGACCTTATCTCATTAAAAAAAAAAAAAAAAAAAAAGGTGGAGCTGAGATCACACCCAGGCAGTTCCCATCAAAGTATCTCGTTAGAGGTCCACAATTTTGAAGACTAAAACTTCTTTTGAAGGTACTATGTTTAGCTTCCTTACATCCTGGGCTCTAGTACACAGTAGGTTGTGTTTTCTTAGCTCTAAAGGTTTATTTAAATCCTCAGAGAAGCTCATGATGGACGAATGTAGAATACAGGCCACATAATGGCCTCCATGGGCTAGATCCAGTATACAGTCACATTTTTGTTTGGCCTGTACAGTGTTTTAAAAAACTTTTACTTGAAACCCATGTGTTAAAAAAAAATCCAGAAAACTTGGGATTTCTTGTTCTCCTGGAACAAGAAAATAACAGTGCTAGGCCCACTTTCCCACATGTCAACAGCTGGCTTGAGTGCCT